>NC_000011.10:48544848-48847878 GCF_000001405.40 Homo sapiens | reverse complement strand
TATCACACTCTGGGGACTGTGGTGGGGTCGGGGGAGGGGGGAGGGATAGCATTGGGAGATATACCTAATCCTAGATGACACGTTAGTGGGTGCAGCGCACCAGCATGGCACATGTATACATATGTAACTAACCTGCACAATGTGCACATGTACCCTAAAACTTAGAGTATAATAAAAAAAAAAATTAAAAATAAAAAAAATTAAAAAAAAAAAAGAAAATGTGGCACATATACACCATGGAATACTATGCAGCCCTAAAAAGTGATGAGTTCATGTCCTTTGTAGGGACATGAATGAAATTGGAAATCATCATTCTCAGTAAACTATCGCAAGAACAAAAAACCAAACACCACATATTCTCACTCATAGGTGGGAACTGAACAATGAGATCACATGGACACAGGAAGGGGAATATCACACTCTGGGGACTGTTGTGGCGTGGGGGGAGGGGGGAGGGATAGCATCGGGGGATACACCTAATGCTAGATGACGAGTTAGTGGGTGCAGCGCACCAGCATGGCACATGTATACATATGTAACTAACCTGCACAATGTGCACATGTACCCTAAAACTTAAAGTATAAAAAAAAAAGGGTTCTTCAAAACTGCTCTATCAAAAGACAGGTTCAACTCTGTGATTTTAACGCACACATCAGGAAGAAGTTTCTGAGAATGCTTCTGTCTAGTTTTTATGTGAAGATATTTCCTTTTCCACCGAAGGCCTCAAAGCGCTCCAAATGTCCACTTGCAGATTATACAAAAACAGTGTTTCAAAACTGCTCTATCAAAAGAAAAGTTCAACTCTGTGAGTTGAATGCACACATCACAAAGAAGTTTCTGACAGTGTTTCTGTTTAGTTTTTATGTGAAGATATTCCCGTTTCCACCGTAGTCCTCAAAGCATTCCAAATATCCATTTGCAGATTCTACAAAAAGAGTGTTTCAAAACTGCACTATCAAAAGGAAGGTTCAACTCTCTGAGTTAAATGCTCACATCACAACGAAGTTTCTGAGAATGCTTCTGTCTAGTTTTTACGTAAAGATATTCCCATTTCCAATGAAGGCCTGAAAGCAGTCCAAATATCCACTTGCAGATTCTACAAAAAGAGTCTTTCAAACTTCTCTATCAAAAGAAACGTTCAACTCTGTGATTTGAATGAACGCATCCCAAAGAAGTTTCTGAGAATGCTTCTATCTAGTTTTAATGTGAAGATATTCCGTTTTCAACCGTAGGCCTCAAAGCGCTCCAAATATCCACTTGCTGATTCTACAAAAAGAATGTTTCAAAACTGCTCTATGAAAAGGTATGTTCAACTCTGTGAATTGAATGCAATCATCACAAAGAAGTTTCTGAGAATGCTTCTGTCTAGTTTTTAGGTGAAGATACTTCCTTTTCCACCATAGCCCTCAGAGCGCTTCAAATGTCCACTTGCATATTCTACAAAAAGGGTGTTTCAAAACTTCTCTATCAAAAGACAGGTTCAGCTCTGTTCGTTGAATGCACATATCAAAAAGAAGTTTCTGAGAAAGATTCATTCTAGTTTTTATGTGAAGATATCCCCGTTTCCAACGAAGGCCTCAGAGCAGCACAAATATCCACTTGCAGATTCCACAAAAAGAGTATTTCAAAACTGCTCTATCAAAAGAAAAGTTCAACTCTGTGTGTTCAATGCACACATCACCAAGAAGTTTCTAAGAATTCTTCTGTCTATTTTTTATGGGAAGATATTCCTCTTTCAACCGTAGGCCTCAAAGCCCTCCAAATATCTACTTGCAGATTTTACAAAAAGAGTGTTTCATAACTGTTCTATCAAAAGGAAGTTTCAACTCTGTGAGTTGAATACACACATCACAAAGAAGTTTCTAAGAATGCTTCTGTCTAGTTTTTATATGAAGTTATTCCCGTTTCCAACGAAGACCTCAAAGCAGACTAAATATCCACTTGCAGATTCTACAAAAAGAGTTTTTCAAAACCACTCTATCAAAAGGAAGTTTCAACTCTGTGAGTTGAATGCACACTTCATAAAGAAGTTTCTGAGAATGCTTCTGCCTGTTTTTTATGTGAAGATATCCCCGTTACCAACGAAGGCCTCAAAGCAATCCAAATATCCAGTTGCAGATTCTACAAAAAGAGTTTTTCAAAACTACTCTATCAAAAGGAAGTTTCAACTCTGTGAGTTGAATGCACACTTCATAAAGAAGTTTCTGAGAATGCTTCTGCCTGTTTTTTACACGAAGATATCCCCGTTACCAACGAAGGCCTCAAAGCAATCCAAATATCCAGTTGCAGATTCTACAAAAAGAGTGTTTCAAAACTGCTCTATCAAAAGACACGTTCAACTCTGTGAGTTGAATGCACGCATCACAAAGAAGTTTCTGAGAATGCTTCTGTCTAGTTTTTATGTGAACATATTTCCTTTTCCACCGAAGGTCTCAAAGCACTCCAAATGTCCACTTGCTGATTCTACAAAAAGATTGCTTCAAAACTGCTCTATCAAAAGGAAAGTTCAACTCTGTGAGTTGAATGCACACATCAAAAAGTAGTTTCTGACTATGCTACTGTCTAGTTTTTATATGAAGATATTTCCTTTTCTGCCATAGGCCTCTAAGCGCTCCAAATGTCCACTTGCAGATTCTACAAAAAGAGTGTTTCAAAACTGCTCTATCAAAAGGAAAGTTCAACTTTGTGAGTTAAATGGACACATCACAAAGAAGTTTCTGAGAATGCTTCTGTCTAGTTTATGTGAAGAAATTCCCGTTTCCAACGACGGCTTCAAAGCACTCCAAATATCCAATTGCAGATGCTACAAAAAGAATCTTTCAAAACTGCTCTATGAAAAAGAAGGTTCAACTCTCTGAGATGAATGCACACATCAAAAAGAAGTTTCTGAGAATGCTTCTGTCTAGTTTTTATGTGAAGATTTCCCTATTTCCAATGAAGGCCTCAAAGCGGTCCAAATATTCACTAGCGGATTCTACAAAAAGAGAGTTTCAAAACTGCTCTATGAAAAGGTATGTTCAAATCTGTGAGCTAAATGCAAACATCACAAAGGAGTTTCTGAGAATGCTTCTGTCTAGTTTTTTTTTGTGAAGACATTTTCTTTTCCACCAGTGCCCTTAAAGCGCTCCTAATCTCCACTTGCAGATTCAACAAAAAGAGTGTTTCAAAACTGCTCTATAAAAAGAAAGGTTCAAATCTGTGAGATGAATGCAAACATCACAAAGTAGTTTCTGAGAATGCTTCTCTCTAGTCCTTATATGAAGATATTTCCTTTTCTACCATAGGTCTCAAAGCTCTCCAAATATCCCCTTGCACATTCTACAAAAAGACTGTTTCAAAACCGCTCTATCAAAAGGAAGGTTCAACTCTGTGAGTTGAATGCACACATCACAAAGTAGTTTCTGAGAATGCTTCTATCTAATTTTTATGTGAAGATATTCCCGTTTGCAACTAAGGCTTCAAATCGCTCCGTATATCCACTTCCAGATTCTACAAAAAGAGTTTTTCAAAACTTATCTCTCAAAGGGAAGGTTCAACTCTCTGAGTTGAATGCACACATTACAAAGAAGTTTCTGAGAATGGTTCTGTCTAGATTTATGTGAAGATATTCCCGTTTCCACCATCGGCCTCAAAGTGATCCAAAAATCCACTTGCAGATTCTACAAAAAGAGTGTTTCAAAACTACTCTATCAAAAGGAAGGTTCAAATCAGTGAGTTTAATGCACACATCACAAAGAACTTCCTGAGAATGCTTCTGTCCCGTTTCTATGTGAAGATATTACCTTTTCCACCGAAGGGCTCAAAGCGCTAAAAATATCCAATTGCAGATTCTACAAATAGAGTGTTTCAAAATTGCTCTATCTTTCAAAAGAAAGGTGAAAATCTGTGAGTTGAACGAACACATCACAAAAAAGTTTCTGAGAATACTTCTGTCTAGTTTTTATGTGAAGAAATTCCGGTTTCAACCGTCAGACTCCAAGTGCTCCAACTGTACACTTGCAGATCATAGAAAAGAGTGTTTCAAAACTGCTCTATCAAAAGGAAGGTTCAACTCTGTGAGTTGAATGCACACATCACAAAGAAGTTTCTGAGAATGCTTCTCTCTACTTTTTATGTGAAGATATTCCCGTTTGCAACTAAGGCTTCAAATCGCTCTGTATATCCACTTCCAGATTCTACAAAAAGAGTCTTTCAAAGTGATCTCTCAAAGGGAAGGTTCAACTCTCTGAGTTGAATGCACACATTTCAAAGAAGTTTCTGAGAATGGTTCTGTCTAGATTAATGTGAAGATATTCCCGTTTCCACCATAGGCCTCAAAGCGATCCAAATATCCACTTGCAGATTCTACAAAAAGAGTGTTTCAAAACTACTCTATCAAAAAGAAGGTTCAAATCAGTGAGTTTAATGCACACATCACAAAGAACTTCCTGAGAATGCTTCTGTCCCCTTTCTATGTGAAGATATTACCTTTTCCAATGAAGGCCTCGAAGCACTCCAAATATCCACTTGCAGATTCTACAAAAAGAGTGTTTGAAAAGTGCTCTGTCAAAAGAAAGGTTCAGCTATGTGAGTTCAATGCACACATCACAAAGAAGTTTCTGAGAATGCTTCTCTCTACTTTTTATGTGAAGCTATTCCAGTTTCCAATGAAGGCCTCAAAGCAGTCCAAATGTCAATTGCAGATTCTCTAAAAAGAGTGTTTCAAAACTGCTCTATGAAAAGGTATGTTCAACTTCGTGAGTTGAATGCAAACATCACAAAGAAGTGTCTGAAAATGCTTCTGTCTACTTTTTAGGTGTAGATATTCCCGTTTCCAATGAAGGCCTCAAAGCAGTCCAAATATCCACTTGCAGATTTTACAAAAAGAGTGTTTCAAAACTGCTGTATTAAAAGAAAGGTTCAACTCTGTGAGTTGAATGCACACATCACAAAGAAGTTTCTGACAAAGCTTCTGTCTAGTTTTTATTTTAAGATATTCCCGTTTTCAATGAAGTCCTCAAAGCAGTCCCAATATCCACTTGAAGATTCTATGAAAAGAGTTTTCCAAAACTGCTCTATGAAAAGGTATGTTCAGCTCTGTGATTTGAATGCAATCGTCACAAAGAAGTTTCTGTGAGTGTTTCAAAACTGCTCTAACAAAAGAAAGGTTCAACTCTGTGAGTTGAATGCACACATCACAAAGAAGTTTCTGAGAATGCCTCTGAATAGTTTCTATATGAAGATATGCCCGTTTCAACCGTAGGCCAAAAAGCGGACCAAATGTCAACTGCAGACCCTACTAAATTAGTGTTTCAAAACTCTTCTATAAAAAGGAAGCTTCAACTCTGCGAACTGAATGCAAACATATCAAAGAAGTTCCTGAGAATGCTTCTGTCTAGTTTTCATGTGAAGATATTCCCGTTTTCAATGAAGGCCTCAAAGCAGCCCCAATATCCACTTGCAGATTCTACGAAAAGAGTGTTCCAAAACTGTTCTATGAAAAGGTCTGTTCAGCTCTGTGAGTTGAATGCAATCATCACAAAGAAGCTTATCTTATGTGAAGATATTTCCTTTTCCACCATAGCCCTTAAAGCACTCCAAATGTCCACTTGCAGATTCTACAAAAAGAGTGTTTCAAGACAGCTCTATCAAAACACAGGTTCACCTCTTGGAGTTGAATGCACATATCCCAAAGAAGATTCTGAGAGTGCTTCTATCTAGTTTTTATGTGAAGATATTTCCTTTTCCACCGAAGGCCTCAAAGCACTCCAAATTTCCACTTGCAGATTCCAGAAAAAGTGTTTCAAAACTGCTCTATCAAAAGACAGGCTGAACTCTGTGAACTGAATTCACATATCACAAAGAAGTTTCTAAGAATGCTTCTATCTAGTTTTAATGTGAAGATATTTCCTTTACCACTGAAGGCCTCAAATCGCTCCAAATATCCACTTGCAGATTCTACAAAAAGAGTGTTTCAAAGCGGCTCTGTCAAAAGAAAGGTTCAAATCTGTGAGTTGAATGCACACATCACAAAGACGTTTCTCAGTATGCTTCTGTCTAGTTTTTATGTGAAGATATTCCCGTTTCAACCGTAGGCCTTAAAGCTCTTCAAATATCCACTTGCAGATTCTACAAAAAGAGTGTTTCAAAACTGCTCTATCAAAAGGAAGGTTCAACTCTGTGTGTTGAATGCACATGTCACAAAGAAGTTTCTGAGAATACTTCTGTCTAGTTTTTATGTGAAGATATTCCCGTTTCAAAGGAAGGCCCCAAAGTGGTGCAAATATCCACTTGCAGATTCTACAAAAAGAGCGTTTCAGAACTGCTCTATGAAAAAGTATCTTCAAATCTGTGAGTTGAATGCAATCGTCCCAAAGAAGTTTCTGAGGATGCTTCTGTCTCATTTTTATGTGAAAATACTTGCTTTTCCACCATAGTCCTCAAAGCGCTCCAAATATCCCCTTGCAGATTCTACAAAAAGAGAGTTTCAAAACTGCTCTATCAAAAGACAGGTTCAACTCTGTGAGTTGAATCCATACATCACAAAGAACTTTCTGAGAATGATTCTGTCTACTTTATATGTGAAGATATTCCCGTTTCCACCGTAGGCTTCAAAGCGCAAAAAATGTACACTTGCACATTCTAAAAAAAGAGTGTTTCAAAACTGCTCTATCAAAAAGAATGTGAACTCTGTGAGTTGAATGCACACATCACAAAGAAGTTTCTGATAATGCTTCTGTCTAGTTTTTATGTGAAGATATTTCCTTTCCCACGGTAGGCCTCAAAGCGTTCCAAATACCCACTTGCAGATTCTACGAATAGAGTGTTTGAAAACTACTCCATCAAAAGGAAGGTTCACCTCTGTGAGTTTAATGCACACATCACAAGTTAGTCCCTGAGAATGCTTCTATCTATTTTTTATACAAAGATATTTGCTTTTCTACCATAGGCCTCAAAGTGCTCCAAATATCCTCTTGCAGATTCCACAAAAAGAGTGTTTCCAAACTGCCCTATTAAAAGAAACGTTCAACACTGTGAGTTGAATGCACACATCACAAAGAAGTTTTTGAGAATGCTTCTGTCTGGTTTTCATATGAAGATATATCCTTTACCAGCATTGGCCTTAAAGGGCTCCAAATATACACTTGCAGAATCTAGAAAAAGGGTGTTTCAAAACTGTTCTATCAAACGAAAGGTTCAACTCTGAGTTGAATGCACACATCACAAAGAAGTTTGTTAGAATGTTTCTGTCTGGTTTTTATGTGAAGATACTTCCTTTTCCACCATAGGCTACAAAGCGCTCCAAATATCCACTTGCAGATCCTACAAAAAGAGTGTTTCAAAACTTCCATATCAATATAAAGGTTCAACTCTGTGAGTTGAATGCACACATCACAAAGTAGTTTCTAAGAATGCTTCTGTCTAGTTTTTTGTGAACATAATCCCATTCCCAATGAAGGCCTCAAAGCAGTCCAAACATTGACTTGCAGATTCTACAAAAAGAGTGTTTCAAAACTGCTCTGTCAAAAGGAAGGTTCAACTCTGTGAGTTGAATGCACACATCACAAAGTAGTTTCTGAGAAATCTTCTGTCTAGTTTTTATATGAAGATATTTCCATTTCTACCATAGGCCTCAAAGCGCTGTAAATATCCACTGGCAGATTCTACAAAAAGAGTGTTTCAAAACTGCTGTTACAAAAGGAAAATTCAGCTCTGTGAGTTGAAAGCACACTACACAAGAAGTTTCTGAGAATGCTTCTGCTTAGTTTATATGTGAAGATATTCCCGTTTCCCCTGAAGGCCTCAAAGCGCTCCAAAATCCACTTGCAGATTTTACAAAAAGAGTGTTTCAAAACTGCTCTATCAGAAGGAAGGTTCAAATCTGTGAGTTGAATGCACACATCACAAAGCAGTTTCTGAGAATACTTCTGTCTAGTTTTTATGTGAAGATATTTCCTTTTCCACCAGAGGACTCAAAGCGCTCCAAATATCCACTTGCAGATTCTCCAAAAAGAGTGTTTCAAAACTGCTCTATCAAAAGAAATGTTCAACTCTGTGAGTTGAATGCAGACATCACAAAGAAGTTACAGAAAATTCTTCTTTCTAGTTTTTTGTGAAGATATTCCCATTTCCAACGAAGACTTCAAAGTGCTCCGAATGTCCACTTACAGATTCTACAAAAAGAGTGTTTAAAACTACTTTATCAAAAGAAAGTTTAAACTCTGTAATTTGAATGCACACATCAAAAAGAAGTTTCTGAGAATGCTTCTGTCTAATTTTTACATGAAGATATTTCCTTTTCCACCATTGGCCTCAAATCGCTCCAAATGTCCACTTGCAGATTCTACAAAAAGAGTGTTTCAAAACTGCTCTGTCAAAAGGAAGGTTCATCCCTTTGTATTGAAAGCATACATCACAAAGAAGTTTCCTAGAATACTTCTGTCTAGTTTTTTTATGAAAGATATTCCCGTTTCCACTGTAGGCCACAAAGCACTCAAAATGTCCCCTTGCAGATTCTACAAAAAGAGGGTTTCAAAACTGCTCTATCAAAAGGAAAGTTCAACTCTGTGAGTTGAATACACACATCACAGAGAAATTTCTGAGAATGCTTCTGTCTAATTTTTATATGAAGATATTTCCTTACCTACCATAGGCCACAAAATCTACCTGCAGATTCTTCAAGAAGAGTGTTTCAAACCTGCTCTATCAAAAGAAAGGTTCAACTCTGTCAGTTGAATGAACACGTCACAAAGAAGTTTCTGAGAATGGTTCTGTCTAGTTTATATGTGAAGATGTTCCCATTTCCCCTATAGGCCACACAGCACTCAAATATCCACTTGCAGATTCTACAAAAAGAGTGTTGCTAAACTGATCTATCAAAAGGAAGGTTCAACTCTGTGAGTTGAATGCACACATCACAAAGAAGTTTCCAAGAATGCTTCTGTCTAGTTTTTAAGTGAAGATATTTCCTTTTCCACCATAGGCCTCCATGCGCTCCAAATATCCACTTGCAGGTTCTACAAAGAGAGTGTCTCAAAAGTGCTCAATTAAAAGGAATGTTCAACTCTGTGAGTTGAATGCAAACATCACAAAGTCTTTTCTGAGAATGCTTCTGTCTAGTTTTGATATGAAGATATTTCCTTTTCAAACTTGGGCCTCAAAGTGATCCAAATATCCACTTGCAGTTTCTACAAAAAGAGTGCTTCAAAAGTACTCTGTCAAAAGGATGCTTCAACTCTCTGAGTTGAATTCACACATCACAAAGTTGCGTCTGAGAACGCTTTTGTCTAGTTTTTCTGTGAAGATATTCCCGTTTCCACTGTAGATCTCAAAGTGGTCCAAATATCCGATTGCAGATTCTACAAATAAGAATTTCAAAACTGCTCTATGAAAAGGAAGTTCAACTCTTTTAGTTGAATGCACACATCACAAGGAAGTTTCTGAGAATCCTTTTGACTAGTTTTTATGTGAAGGTGTTCCCGTTTCCACCGAAGGCCTCAAAGTGCTCCAAATATACATTTGCAGATTCTACAAAAAGAGTGTTTCAAAACTGCACTGTCTAAAGCAATGTTTAACTCTGTGAGTTGAATGCACACATCTCGAACTAGTTTCTGAGAATGCTTCTATTTAGCTTTTATGTGAAGATATTTCCTCTTCCACCATTGGCCTCAAAGTGAGCCAAGTGTCTACTTGCACATTCTACAAAAAGAGTGTTTCAAAACTGCTCTATCAAAAGAAAGGATCACTTCTGTGAGTTGAATGCACACATCACAAAGTAGTTTCTGAGAATTCTTCTGTCTAGTTTTTATATAAAGATACTTTCTTTTCTACCATGGTCCTCAAAGCGCACCAAATATCCACTTGCAGATTCCACAGAAAGAGTGTTTCAAAACTGCTCTACCAAGAGGAAGGTTCAACTCTCTGAGTTGAATGCACACATAACGAAGAAGTTTCTGAGAATGCTTCTGTCTAGTTTTTATGTGAAGACATACCGTTTCCACTGCAGGCCTCAAAGCGTTTCAAACATCCACTTGCAGATTCTACAAAAAGAGTGTTTCAAAACTGCTCTGTCAAAAGGAAGGTTCTACTCTGTGTCTTGAATGCACACATCACAATGTAGTTTCTGATAATGTTTCTGTCTAGTTTTTATATGAGGATACTTCCTTTTCTACCATAGTCCTCAAAGTGCTCCAAATATCCACTTGCAGATTCCACAAAAAGAATTTTTCAAATCTGCTCTACCAAAAGGAAGTTTTACCACTCTGAGTTGAATGCACACATCATAAAAAAGTTTCTGAGAATGCCTCTGTCTAGTTTTTATGTAAAGATATTCCTGTTTCCACCATAGGCCTCAAAGCGCTCCAAATATCCACTTGCCGATTCTACAAAAGACTGTTCCAAAACTGCTCTACCAAAAGGAATGTTCAACTCTCTGAGTTGAATGCACACATCACAAAGAAGTTTCTGAGAAGGCTTCTGTCTAGTTTTTATGTGAAGAAGTGCTGTTTCCACTGTAGGCCTCAAAGCGCTCCAAACATCCTCTTGCAGATTATACAAAAAGAGTGTTTCAAAACTGCTCTATCAAAAGAAAGGTTCAACTCTGTGTGTTGAATGCACACATCACAAAGTAGTTTCTGAGAATGCTGCTGTCTAGTTTTTATATGAAGATACTTCCTTTTCTACCATAGTCTTCAAAGTGCTCCAAATATCTACTTGCAGATTCTACAAAAAGAATGTTTCAAAACTGCTCTACAAAAAGGAAGGTTCAACTCTCTGAGTTGAATGCACACATCACAAAGAAGTCTCTGAGAAAACTTCTGGCTAGTTTTTATGTGAAGATGTTCCCGTTCCACTGAAGGCCTCAAAGAGCTCCAAATATCCACTTGAAGATTCTGCAAAAAGAGTTTTTCAAAACTGCTCTATCAAAAGGAACGTTCAACTATGTGAGTTGAATGGAAGCATCACAAAGAAGTTTCTGAGAATGCTTCTGCCTAGTTTTTATGTGAAGATATTTCCTTTTCCCCCCTAGGCCTCAGAGCGCTCCAAATATCGACTTGCAGATTTTACAAAAAAAGTGTTTCAAATCTGATCTATCAAAAGGAAAGTTCAACTCTGTGAGTTGAATTCACACATCTCCAAGATGTTTCTGAGAATGGCTCTGTCTCTTTTTTATGTGAAGGTATTTCCTTTTCCACAGTAGGCATCAAAGCACTCCAAATATCCACTTGCAGATTCTCCAAAAAAGTGCTTCAAAACCATTCAAACAAAAGAAAGGTTCAACTCTGTGATTTGAATGCGCACATCACAAAGAGGTTTCTGAGAATGCTTCTGCTAGTTTTTATGTGAAGATATGTCCTTTTCCACCATAGGCCTCAAAGCTCTACAAATATCCACTTGCTGATTCTACAAAAAGAGTGTTTCAAAACTGCTCTATCAAAAGAAAGGCTCAACTCTGTGATTTGAATGCGCACATCACAAAGAAGTTTCTCAGAATTTTTCTGTCTAGTTTTTATTTGAAGATATTTACTTTTCCACCGTAGGCCTCAAACTGCTCCCAATAACCACTTGCAGATCCTACAAAAGGAGTGTTTCAAAACGTCTCTATCTGAAGGAAGGTTCAAATCTGTGATTTTAATGCACACATCACAAAGAAGTTTCTGAGAATGCTTCTGTCTAGTCTTTATGTGAAGATATTTACTTTTCCACTCTAGTCCTCAAAGCCCTCCAAATATCCACTTGCAGATACTACAAAAAGAGGGTTTCAAAACTGCTCTGCCAAAGCAAGGGTTCAACTCTGTGAGTTTAATGCACAAATCGCAAAGAAGTTTCTGAGAATGCATCTGTCCAGTTTTTCTGTGAAGATATTTCCTTTTCCATCGTAGGCCTCAAAGCATTCCAAATATCCAGTTGCACATTCTGCAAAGAGAGTGTTTCAAAACTGCTCTGTCAAGAGGAATGTTCAAACCTGTGAGTTGATTGCACACATCACAAAGAAGTTTGTTATATTGCTTCTGTCTAGTTTCTATGTGAAGATATTCCCTTTTCCACCGTAGGCCTCAAAACGCTTCACATATCTCTGAGAATGCTTCTGTCTAGTTTTTATGTGAAGATATTTCCTTTTCCACCATAAGCCTCAAAGCGCTCCAAATATCCACTTGCAGATTCTACATAAAGGGTGTTTCAAAACTGATCTAACAATAGAAAGGTTCAACTCTGTGAGTTGAACGTACACATCATAAAGTAGTTTCTGAGAATGCTTCTGTCTAGTTTTTAT
This sequence comes from Homo sapiens, assembly GCF_000001405.40. NCBI lineage: Eukaryota > Metazoa > Chordata > Mammalia > Primates > Hominidae > Homo > Homo sapiens. The sequence goes on along the minus strand of NC_000011.10, from coordinate 48,835,625 downwards.
GAGAACATATTTCCTTTTCCACCATAGGTCTCAAATTGTTCCAAATATCTACTTACACATTCTGCAAAAGGAGTGTATAAAAACTGCTCTATCAAAAGGAATGTGAACTCTGTGAGTTGAATGCACACATCACAAAGAAGTTTCTGATAATGCTTCTGTCTAGTTTTTATGTGGAGATGTTTCCTTTTCCACCATAGGCCGCAAAGCATTCCAAACATCCCCTTTCAGATTCTACTAAAAGAGTGTTTCAAAACTGCTCTGTCAAAAGGAAGGTTCAACTCTGTCAGTTGAATGCACACATCACATAGTAGTTTCTAAGAATGATTCTGTCTAGTTTTTATGTGAAGATATTTCCTTTTCCACCATAGGTCTCAAAGCGTTCCAAATATCCACTTGCACATTTTACAAAAAGAGTGTTTCAAAACTGCTCTATCAAAAGGAAGGTTCAAACGTGTGAGTTGATTGCAACCATTACAAGATGTTTCAGAGATTGCTACTGTGTAGTTTCTATGTGAACATATTTCCTTTTCCACCGTAGGCCTCAAAGTGCTCCAAATATCTCTGAGAATGCTTCTGTCTAGTTCTTATGTGAAGATATTTCCTTTTCCACCGTAGCCCTCAAATTCCTCCAAATATGCACTTGCTAATTCTACAAAAAGGGTGTTTCAAAACTGCTCTATCAAAAGAAAGGTTCAACTGTGTGAGTTGAATCCACACACCCAAAAGGAGTTTCTGACAATGCTTCTGTCAAGTTTATGTGTGAAGATATTTCTTTTCCACCGTAGGCCTCAAAGCTCTCCAAATATCTCTGAGAATGCTTCTGTCTAATTTTTCTGTGAAGATATTTCCTTTTCCACCGTTGGCCTCAAAGCGCTCCAATTATCCACTTGCAGATGCTACAAAAAGTGTGTTTCAAAACTGCTCTGTCAAAAGAAAGGTTCAACTCTGTGAGTTGAATGGACACATCACAAGAAAGTGTCTGAGAATGCTTCTGTCTTGTTTTTATGTGAAGATATACCCTATTCCACCACAGGACTCAAAGTTTCCAAATATCCACTTGCAGATTCTACAAAAAGAGTGTTTCAAAACTGCTCTATCAAAAGGAAGGCTCAACCCTCTGAGTTGAATGCACACATAACAAAGAAGTTTCTGAGAATGCTTCTGTCTAGTTTTTCGGTGAAGATATTTCCTTTTCTATCATAGCCCTTAAAGCTCTCCAAATATCCAGTTGCAGATTCTACAAAAATAGTGTTTCAAAACTGCGATATCATAAGGAATGTTCAACTCTGAGAGTTCAATGCACATATCACAAAGAAGTTTATGAGAGTGCTTCTGTCTAGTTTTCATCTGAAGATATTTCCTTTCCCACCGTGGGCCTCAAAGCCTTCCAAATATCCACTTGTGGATTCTACAAAATGAGTGTTTCAAAACTGCTCTATCAAAAGGAAGGTTCAACCCTGTGAGTTGAAATCACACATTTCAAAGATGTTTCTGAGAATGCTTCTGTCTAGTTTATATGTGAAGATATTTCCTTTCCATCATTGGTCTGAAAGCGCTCCAAATATCTCTGAGAATGCTTCTGTCTAGTTTTTCTGTGAAGATATTTCCTTTTCCACCCTAGGCCTCAAAGCCCTCCAAATATCCGCTTGCAGATTCCACAGAAAGAGAGTTTCAAAGCTGCTGTATCAAAACAAAGATTCAACTCTGTGAGTTGAATGGACACATCACAAGGAAGTTTCTGAGAATGCTTCTCTCTAGTTTTTATGTGAAGATATATCCTTTTCCAGCATAGGACTAAAAGCATTCCAAATATCCACTTGCAGATTCTACAAAAAGAGTGTTTCTAAACTGCCCTATCAAAAGAAAGTTCAACTCTGAGAGTTGAATGCACACATCCAAAACATGTTTCTGGCAATGCTTCTGTCAAGTTTATGAGTGAAGATATTTCCTTTTCCACCGTAGGCCTCAAAGCGGTCCAAATATCTCTGAGAATGCTTCTGTCTAGTTTTTTTGTGAAGATATTTCCTTTTCCACCATAGGCATCAAAGCGCTCCAAATATCCACTTGCAGATTCTACAAAAGGAGTGTTTCAAAACTGCTCTCTCAAAAGAAAGGGTCAACTCTGTGAGTTTAATGCACCCATCACAAAGTAGTCTCTGAGAATGCTTCTGTCTAGTTTTGATGTGAAGATATCTCGTTTTTCACCATAGGCCTCAAAGCTCTCCAAATACCCACCTGCAGATTCTCCAAAAATAGTATTTCAAAACTGCTCTATCAAAAGGAAGGTTCCACTCTGTGAGTTGAATGCAGACATCACAAAGTAGTTTCTGAGAATGCTTCCATCTAGTTTTTATGTGAAGATAATTCCTTTTCCACCATAGGCCTCAAAGCACTCAAAATATCTCTAAGAATGCTTCAGTCTAGTTTTTATTTGAAGATATTTCCTTTTCCACCACAGGTCTCAAAGCATTCCAAATAACCACTTGCAGATTCTCCAAAAACGGTGTTTCAAAACTTCTCTATCAAAAGGAAGGTTCAACTCTTTGAGTTGAATGCACACATCACAAAGTTGTTTCTGAGAATGCTTCTGTCTAGTTTTTATGTGAAGAAATTTCTTTTTACACCGTAGGCCTCAAAGCACTCTAGATATCCACTTGCAGATTTTACAAAAAGAGTGTTTCAAAACTCCTCTATCAAAAGAAATGTTCAACTCTGTGAATTGAATGCACGTATCACAAATAATTTTCTGAGAAAGTTTCCGTGTAGTTTTTATGTGAAGATACTTCCTTTTCCACCATAGGCCTCAAAACATTTCAAATATCCACTTGCAGATTCCACAAAAAAAGTGTTTGAAAGCTGCTCTATCAAAACGTAGTTTCAACTCTGTGAGTTGAATGCACCCATCCAAAGAAGTTTCTGAGAATGCTTCTGTGTAGTTTTTATGTGAAGATATTTCCTTTTCCACCACAGGCCTCAAAGCACTCCAAATATCCCCTTGCAGATTCTACAAAAACAGTGTTTCAAAACTGCTCTATCATAGAAAAGGTTCAACTCTGTATGTTGAATGCACACATCACAAAGAAGTTTCTAGGAATTCTTCTGTCTAGTTTTTATGTGAAGTTATTTCCTTTTCCACCATAGGCCTCAAAGCGTTCCAAATATCCACTTGCATCCTACAGAAAGAGTGTTTCAAAACTCCTCTATCAAAAGGGAGGTTCAACTCTGTGAATTGAAAGCACACATCACAAAGAAGTCTCTGAGAATGCTTCTGTCTACTTTTTATGTGAAGATATTTCCTTTTCCATGGTAGGCCTCAAAGCGCTCCAAATATCCACTTGCAGATTCCACAAAAAGATTGTTTCAAAACTTCTCAATCAAGAGAAAGTTTCAACCTTGTGATATGAATCCACACATCACAAAGAAGTTTCTCAGAAAGATTCTGTCTAGTTTTTATGTGAAGATGTTTCCTTTACAACTTTGGGCCTCAGAGCGCTACAAATATCCACTTGCAGTTGCTACAAAAACAGTGTTTCCAAACTGCTCGATGAAAATAAAAGTTCAACTCTGAGAGTTGAATGCACACATCACAAAGAAGTTTCTACGAATGCTTCTGTCTAGTTTTTATGTGAAAATATTTCCTTTTCCACCATAGGCCTCAAAGCCTTTCAAACATCCACTTGCAGATTCTACAAAGAGTGTTTCAAAACTGTTTAATCCAAAGTAATGTTCAACTCTCTGAGATGAAGACACACATTACAAAGTAGTTTCTCTGAACGCTTCTATTTTTTATGTAAAGATATTTCCTTTTCAGCTATAGACCTCAAAGCCCAACAAATATCCATTTGCAGTTACTACAAATAGAATGTTTCCAAACTGTTCAATCAAAGGAAAGGTTCAATTCTGAGAGTTGAATGCACACATCATAAAGATGTTTCTAAGAATGCTTCCATCTAGTTTTTATGTGAAGATATTTCCTTTCCAACAATACGAATCAAAGCACTCCAAATATCCACTTGCAGATTCTACAAACACAATGTTTCAAAGCTGTTCAATCAAAAGAAAGGTTCAAATTTGTGAGATGAATCCACACATCACAAAGAAGTTTCTCAGAACTCTCCTGTCTAGTTTTTATATGAAGCGATTTCCTTTTCAGCTACAGTCCTCAAAGCACCCTAAATATCCATTTGCAGTTTCTAGAAAAGTAGTGTTTCCAAGCTGCTCAATCAAAAGAATGGTTCAACTATGAGAGTTGAATGCACACATAAAAAATAAAATTCTGAGAATGCTTTTCTCTAGTTTCTATGTGAAGATATTTTCTTTTCTACCATAGGCCTCAAAGCACTACAAATCTCTTCTTGCAGGTTCTACAAAACGAGTGTTTCAAAACTGCTCAATCAATAGAAAGGCTCAAATGTATGAGATGAATGCGCACATCACAAAGTAGTTTCTCAGAATGCTTCTGTCTAATTTTTATGTGAAGATATTTCCTTTTCCACAGTAGGCATCAAAGCACTCCAAATATCCACTTGCAGATTCTACAGAAAGAGTGTTTCCAAAATGCTCACTCAAAAGAAATGTTCAACTCTGTGAGTTGAATGCACACATCACAAAGAGGCTTCTAAGAATGCTTTTGTCTAGTTTTTATGTGAAGATATTTCCTTTTCCACCATAGGCCTCAAAGCGCTCCAAATATCAACTTGCAGATCCTACAAAAAGAGTGTTTCAAAACTTCTCTGTTAAAAGAAGGGTTCAACTCTGTGAGTTGAATGCACACATCACAAAGAAGTTTCTCAGAATGCTTCTGTCTAGTTTTTATTTGAGGATATTTCCTTTTCAGCTATTGGTCACAAAGCGCCCCAAATATCCATTTGCAGTTACTACAAAAGAATGTTTCCAAACTGTTCAATCAAAAGAACAGTTCAACAATGAGAGATGAATGCACACATCACAAAGACGTTTCTGAGAATACTTCTTTCTAGTTTCTATGTGAAGATATTTCCTTTTCCACCACAGGCCTCAAAGTGCACCAAGTAAATAATTGAAGATTGTTTCAAAACTTCTCAATCAAAACAATTGTTTATCTCTGTGAGATGAATACACACATAACAGAGTTTCTCAGAATACTTCTGTGTAGTTTTTATATGAAGATATTTCCTTTTCAGATATAGGTCTCAATGCACTGCATATATCCAATTGCAGTTACTACAAAAAGAGTGTTTCCAAACTGCTCAATCAAAAGAATGGTTCCACTCCAAGATTTCAATGCACACATTACAAAGAAGTTTCTGAGAATGCTTCAGTCTAGCTTTTATGTGAAGATATTTCCTTTTCAGCTATAGGATTCAAAGCACTCCAAATATCCATTTGCAGTTAATATAAAAAGAGTGTTTCCAAACTGCTCTATCAAAGGAAAGTTTCAATTCTGTGAGTTGAATGCACACATCACAAAGAAGTTTCTGAGAATGCTTCTGTCTAGTTTTTCTTTGAAGATAATTCCCTTTCCACCATAGGCCTCAAAGCGCTCCAAATATCCATTGCAGATTCTACATCAAGAGTGTTTTAAAACTTCTCATTGAAAAGAAAGGTTCAACTCTGTGAGTTGAAGGCACACGTCAAAAAGCAGTTTCTCAGAATGATTCTGTCCAGTTTTTAATGTGAAGTTATTTCCTTTTCAGCTATAAGCCTCAAAGCGATCCAAATATCCTTTTGTAGTTATTACAAAAAGATTGTTTTCAAACTGCTCAATCAAAAGAAAGTCACAAATCTGAGGGTTATAAGCACACATCACAAAGTAGTTTCTGAGAATGCTTCTGCCTAGTTTTTATGTGAAGATATTTCCTTTTCCACCATAGGCCTTAATGCACTCCAAGCATCCACTTGCAGATTCTTCAAAAAGAGTTTTTCAAAGCTGCTCAATCAAAAGAAAGGTTCAAATCTGTGACATGATTCCACACACCAAAAAGAAGTTTCTCAGAATGTTTCTGTGTAGTTTTTATGTGAAGACATTTGCTTTTCAGCTATAGGCCTCAAAGCACTCCAAATATCCATTTGCATTTACTACAAAAAGAGTGTTTCCAAACTGCTCAACCAAAAGAATGGTTCCACTCCGAGATTTGAATGCACACATCACAAGGAAGTTTCTGAGAATGCTTCTGTCTAGTTTTTATGTGAAGATATTTCCTTTTCAGCTATAGGATTTAAAGTGCTCCAAATATCCATTTGCAGTTACTATAAAAAGAGTGTTTCCAAACAGCTCAATCAAAAGAAAGGTTCAATTCTGTGAGTTGAATGCACACATCACAAAGAAGTTTCTGAGAATGCTTCTGTCTAGTTTTTCTTTGAAGATATTTCCCTTTCCACCATAGGCCTCAAAGCGCTCCAAATATCCATTGCAGATTCTACAACAAGAGTGTGTCAAAACTTCTCATTGAAAAGAAAGGTTCAACTCTGTGAGATGAATGCACACATCACAAAGAAGTTTGTCAGAATTCTCCTGTGTAGTTTTTATGAAGATATTTCCTTTTCAGCTATAGGCCTCAAAATGCTCTAAATATCCATTTGCTGTTATTACAAAAAGATTGTTTCCAAACTGCTCAATAAAAAGAAAGGTTCAAGACTGAGAGCTAAATGCACACATCACAAAGAAGTTTCTGACAATGATTTTGTCTAGTTTTTATGTGAAGATATTTCCTTTTCCACCATAGGCCGCAAAGCGCTCCAAATATCCATTGCAGATTCTACAACAAGAGTGTGTCAAAACTTCTCATTGAAAAGAAAGGTTCAACTCTGTGAGATGAATGCACACATCACAAAGAAGTTTGTCAGAATTCTCCTGTGTAGTTTTTATGAAGATATTTCCTTTTCAGCTATAGGCCTCAAAATGCTCTAAATATACATTTGCTGTTATTACAAAAAGATTGTTTCCAAACTGCTCAATAAAAAGAAAGGTTCAAGACTGAGAGCTGAATACACACATCACAAAGAAGTTTCTGACAATGATTTTGTCTAGTTTTTATGTGAAGATATTTCCTTTTCCACCATAGGCCTCAAAGCACTCCAAATATCCACTTGCATACTATACAAAAAGAGTGTTTCAAAACTGCTCAATCAAAAGAAAGGTGCAACACTGTGAGATGAATCCACACATTACAAGGAAGTTTCTCAGAATGCTTCTGTCTAGTATTTATGTGAAGGTATTTCCTTTTCACCTATAGGCCTCCAGGTCATCCAAATATGCATTTGCAATTACTACAAAAAGGTATTTCAAAACTGCTCAATCAAAAGTAAGGTTCAACTCTGAGAGTTGTATGGACACATCACAAAGTAGTTTCTGAGAATGCTTCTGTCTATTTTCAATGTGAAGATATTTCCTTTTCCACCACAGGCCTCAAAGCACTCCAAATATACACTTGCAAATTCTACAAAAAGAGTGTTTCAAAACAGCTCAATCAAAAGAAAGTTTCAACACTTTGAGACGAATGCGCACATGCAAAGAATTTTCTGACAATACTTCTGTCTAGTTTTTATGTGAAGATATTTCCTTTTCCACCATAGTCCTCAAAGCACTCCAAATATCCACTTGCAGATTCTACAAAAAGAGTGTTTCAAAACTTGTCAATCAAAATAAAGGTTCAACTCTGTGAGATGAATGCACACATCACAAAGAAGTTTCTCAGAATGCTTCTGTCTAGTTATTATATGAAGATATTTTCTCTCAGCTATTAGTCTCAAAGCACTCCCAATATCCATTTGCATTTACTACAAAAGGAGTGTTTCCAAACTGTTCAATCAAAAGAAAGTTTCAATTCCGTGAGTTGAATGCACTCATCACAAAGAAGTTTCTGAGAATGCTTCTGTCTAGTTTCTATGGGAAGATATTTCTTTTTCCACCATAGACCTCAAAGCACTCCAAATATCCACTTGCAGATTCTACAAAAAGAGTGTTTCAAAACTGTTCAATCAAAAGAAAGGTCCAACTCTGAGAGACGAATGCACACATCACAAAGAAGTTTCTCAGAATTCTTCTGTCTAGCTTTTATGTGAAGACATTTCCTTTTCCACCATAGGACTCAAAGCGCTGGAAATATCCACATGCAGAATCCACAAAAAGAGTGTTTCCAAACTGCTCAATCAAAAGAAAGTTTCAACTTCGTGAGATGAATGCACACGTCCCAAAGCAGTTTCTCAGAATGCTTCTGTCCAGTTTTTATGTGAAGATATTCCCTTTTCAGCTATAGGCCTCAAAGCGATCCAAATATCCTTTGCAGTTATTAAAAAAAAGATTGTTTTCAAACTGCTCAATCAAAAGAAAGGTACAAATCTGAGGGTTGTATGCACACATCACACAGTAGTTTCTGAGAATGCTTCTGCCTAGTTTTTATGTGAAGATATTTCCTTTTCCACCATAGGCGTTAATGCACTCCAAGTATCCACTTGCAGATTCTACAAAAGAGTTTTTCAAAGCTGCTCAATCAGAAGAAAGGTTTAAATCTGTGACATGATTCCATACATCAAAAAGAAGTTTCTCAGAATGTTTCTGCGTAGTTTTTATGTGAAGACATTTCCTTTTCAGCTATAGGCCTCAAAGCGCTCCAAATATCCATTTGCAGTTACTACAAAAAGAGTGTTTTCAAACTGCTCAATCAAAACAAAAGTTCAACTATGAGAGGTGAATTCACACATCACAGAAACGTTTCTGAGAATGCTTCTGTCTTGTTTCTGTGTGAAGATATTTCCTTTTCCATCATAGGCCTCAAAGCTCTCCAAATCTCCACTTGCAGATTCTACAAAAAGTGTGTTTCCAAACTGTTCCATCAAAAAAAAGTTCAATCTGTGAGATGAATGTGCACATCACAAAGATGTTTCTCAGAATGCTTCTGTCTAGTTCTTACCTGAAGATATTTCCTTTTCAGCTACAGGTTTCAAAGCTCTCCAAATATCCACTGGCAATTACTACAAAAAGAGTGTTTCCAAACTGCTCAATCAAAAGAAAAGCTCAACTCTGACTGTTGAATGCACACAACACAAAGAAGTTTCAGAGAGTGCTTCTGTCTAGTTTTTATGTGAAGATATATCCTTTTCCAACATAGGCCTCAAAGCGCTCAAAATATCCACTTGCAGATTCTACAAAAAGAGTGTTTCAAAACTCCTCAATCAAAAGAAAGTTTCACCTCTGTGAGATGAATGTGCACATCAAAAAGAAGTTTCTCAGAATGCTTCTATCTAGTATTTGTGTGAAGATATTTCATTTCACACCTTAGGCCTCATAGAGCTCCAAATATCCACTTGCAGATTCTATTAAAAGAGTGTTTCCAAACTGCTCAATCAAAAGAAAGGTTCAATTTTGTGAGTTGAATGCACACGTCACAAAGAAGTTTCTCTGAATGCTTCTGTCTAGTTTTTATGTGAAGATATTTCCTTTTCAACTACAGGCTTCAAAGTGTTCCAAATATCCTTTTGCAGTTATTTCAAGAAGAGTGTTTCCATACTGTGCAATCAAAAGAAAAGTACAACTCTGAGTGTTGAATGCACACATCACAAAGAAGTTTCTGACAATGCTTCTGTCTAGTTTTTATGTGAAGATATTTAATTTTCAGCTATAGGTCTCAAAGCACTCCACATATCCAGTTGCAGATTCTACAAAAAGAGGGTTTCAAAACTGCTCAAATAAAAGAAAGTTTCAACTCTGTGAGATGAATGCGCACATCACAAAGAAGTTTCTCAGAATGCTTCTGTCTAGTTTTTATGTGAAGATATTTCCTTTGCCACCATAGGCCTCAAAGCGCTCCAAGAATCCACTTGCAGATTCTGCAAAAAGAGTGTTTCAAAACTGCTCAATCAAAAGAAAGTTTCAACTCTGTGAGTTGAATGCACACATGACAAAAAAGTTTTTGAGAATGCTTCTGTCTTGTTTTTATGCAAAGATACTCCCTTTTCCACTATAGGCCTCAAAGCGCTCCAAATATCCACTTGCAGATTCTTCAAAAAGAGTGTTTCAAAACTGCTCAATCAAAAGAAAAGATCAACTCTGTGAGTTGAATGCACACATCACACAGAAGTTTCTGAGAATGCTTCTCTCTAGTTTTTATGTGAAGTTTTTCCTTTTCCACCATACGCCTCAAACCTCCCAAATATCTACTTGCAGATTGTAGAAAAAGAATATTTCAAAACTGCTCAATCAAACGAAAGGTTCAAATCTGTGTGATGTATGCACACATCGCAAAGAAATTTCTCAGAATGATTTTGTCTATCATTTATGTGAAGATATTACCTTTTGAGGTATAGGCTTCAAAGCCCTCCAAAAATCCATTTGCAGTTACAACACTAAGAGTGTTTCCAGACTGCTCAATGAAAAGAAAAGTTCAACTCTAAGACTTGAATGCACACATCAAAAAGAAGTTTCTGAGAATGCTTCTGTCTACTTTCTATGTGAACATATTTCCTTTTCCACCATAGGCCTCTTACCATTCCAAATATCCACTTGAAGATTCTACAAAAAGAGTGTTTCAAACTTCTCAATCAAAAGAAAGATTCAGCTATTTGAGATGAATGCACACATCACAAAGAAGTTTCTCAGAATGCTACTGACTAGTTTGCATGTGAAGATACTTCCTTTTCAGCAATGGGCTACAAGGCGCTCCAAATATCCATTTGCAGTTACTACAAAAAGAGTGTCTCCAAACTCCCCAATCAAAAGAATGGTTCAAATCTGTGAGTTGAATGCACTCATCACAGAGAAGTTTCTGACAATGCTTCTGTCTAGTTTTTATGTGAAGATATTTCCTTTTCCTCCGTAGGCCAGAAAGCGCTCCCAATATCCACTTGCAGATTCTAAAAAAGAGGGTTTCAAAACTTCTCAAACAAAAGAAAGCTCCAAATCTGTAAGATGAATGCACACATCACAAAGAAGTTTCTCAGAATGCTTTTGTCTAGCTTTTATGTTAAGATAATTCCTTTTCAGCTATAGGCCTCAAAGCACTCCAAATATCCATTTGCAGTTACTACCAAAAGAGAATTTCCAAACTGCTCAATAAAAGGAAATTTTCAACAGATGAATACACACATCACAAAGAAGTTTATGAGAATGCTTCCGTCTAGTTTTTATATGAAGATATTTCCTTTTCAGCTATAGGCCTCAAAGAGCTCCAAATATCCATTTGCAGATACTACAAAAAAAGTGTTTCCAATCTGCTCAATCAAAAGAAAGGTTCAACTCTGAGAGTTGAAGGCACACATCACAAAGAAGTTTCTGAGAATGCTTCTGTCTAGTTTTTATGTAAAGATATTTCCCTTTCCACCATCGGTCTCCAAGTGCTCCAAATATACACTTGCAGATTCTACAAAAAGAGTGTTTCAAAACTTCTCAATCAAAAGAATGGTTCAACTCTGTGAGGTGAATGCACCAATAACAAAGAAGTTTCTCAGAATGCTTCTGTGTAGTTTTAATATGAAGATATTTTCTTTTCAGCGATAGGCCTCAAAGCGCTCCAAATATCCTTTTGCAGTTCCTACCAAAAGAGTGTTTCCAAAATGCTCAATCAAAAGAAAGGTTCATCTCTGTGAGTTGAATGCACACATCACAAAGAAGTTTCTGAGAATGCTTCTCTCTAGTTGTTATGTGAAGATATTTCCTTTTCCAACATAGGCCTCAAAGCCCTCCCAATATCCACTTGCAGATTCTACAAAAAGAGTGTTTCAAAACTGCTCAATCAAAAAGGTAAAAATATGTGAGATGAATCCACACATCATAAAGAAGTTTCTCAGAATTATTCTGTGTAGTTTTTAGGTGTAGATATTTCCGTTTCAGCTATAGTCATCAAAGTACTCCAAATATCCATTTTCTGTTACTACAAAAAGAGTGTTTCTAAACTGCTCAATCTAAAGAAAGGTTCAACTCAGGAGTTGAATGCACACATCACAAAGAAGTTTCTGAGAATGCTTCTGTCTTGTTCCTTTGTGAAGATATTTCCTTTTCCACCATAGGCCTGAAAGCACTACAAACATCCACTTGCAGATTCTACAAAAAGTGTGTTTCAAAACTGTTCAATCAAAAGAAAGGTGCAACTCTGTGAGATGAATGCGAACATCACAAACAACTTTCTCAGAATGCTCCTGTCTAATTTTAATGTGAAGATATTTCCTTTTCCACCATAGGCCTCAAAGCACTCCAAATAGGCACTTACAGATTCTACAAAAAGAGTGTTTCCAAACTGCTCAATCAAAAGAAATGTTCAACTTTGTGAGTTGAATGCACTCATCGCAAAGAAGTTTCTGAGAATGCTTCTGTCTAGGTTCTATGTGAAGATATTTCCTTTTCCACCATTGGCCTCAAAGCACTCCAAATATCCACATGCAGATTCTACAAAAAGATTGTTTCCTAACTGCTCTATCAAAAGAAAAGTTCAACTCTGAGAGTTGAATGCACACATCACAAAGGAGTTTCTGAGAATGCTTCTGTCTAGTTTTTATGTGAAGATATTTCCTTTTCAGCTATAGGCCTCAAAGAGCTCCAAATATCCATTTGCAGTTTCGACAAAAAGTGCTTCCAAACTGCTCAATCAAATGAAAGGTTCAACTCTGTGAATTCAATGCACTAATCACAAAGAAGTTTCTTAGAATGCTTCTGTCTAGTTTCTATGTGAAGATATTTCCTTTTCCACCATAGGCCTCAAAGCGTTCCAAATGTCCACTTGCAGATTCTACAAAAAGAGTGTTTCAAAACTGCGCAATCAAAAGAAGGGTTCAACTCTGTGAGACAAAAGCGCACATGCAGAAAGTTTCTCAGAATGCTTCTATCTGGTTTTTATGTGAAGATATTTCCTTATCCACCATAGGCCTCAAGGCACTCCAAATATCCACTTGCAGATTCTACCAAAAGAGTGTTTCTAAACTGCTCAATCAAAAGAAAGGTTCAACTCTGTGAGATGAATGCACACATCACAAAGAAGTTTCTCAGAATGATTCTCTGTAGTTCTTTCTGAAGATATTTCCTTTTCAACCATTGGCCTCAAAGCGCTCCAAATATCCACTTGCAGATTCTACAAAAAGAGTGTTTCCATGTTGCTCAATCAAAAGAAAATTTCACCTCTTTGAGTTGAATGCACACATCACAAAGAAGTTTCTGAGAATGCTTCTGTAGAGTATTTATGTGAAGATATTTCCTTTTCAACCACAGGCCACAAAGCGCTCCAAATATACATTTGGAGATTCTACAAAAAGAGTGTTTCAAACCTTCTCAATCAAAAGAAAGGTTCAAATCTGTGATATGAATACACCCATTTCAAAGAATTTTCGCAGAATGCTTCTGTATAGTTTTTATGTGAAGATACTTCTTTTTCAGCTATAGGCCTCTAAGTGCTCCAAACATCCATTTATAGTTACAACAAAGAGAGTGTTTCCAAACTGCCCAATCAAAAGAAATTTTCATTCCTGACTGTTGAATGCACACATCACAAAGAAGTTTCTCAGAATTCTTCTGTCTAGTTTTTATGAGAAGATATTTCCTTTTCCACCATAGGCCTCAAAGTTCTCCAAATACCCACTTACAGATTCTACAAATGAGTGTTTTAAAATTTCTCAATCAAAAGAAAGTTTCCACTCTGTAAGGTGAATGCACACATCCCAAAGAAGTTTCTCAGAATTCTTCTGTCTACTTTTTATGTGAATATATTTCCTTTTCTGCTGTAGGCCTCAAACCGCTTCAAATATCCACTTGAAGTTACTACAAAAAGAGTGTCTCCAAGCTGCGCAAGTGAAAGAAAGGTTCATCTTTATGAGTTGAATGCACACATCACAAAGAAGTTTCTGAGAATGCTTCGGTCTAGTTTTTATGTGAAGACATTTCCTTTTCCACAATAGGCCTCAAAGCACTCCCAATATCCACTTGCAGATTCTACAAAAAGAGTGTTTCAAAACTTCCCAATCAAAAGAAATGTTCAACTCTGTGAGATGAACGAACACATCACAAAGAAGTTTCTCAGAATGCTTCCGTCTACTTATTATATGAAGATATTTTCTCTTCGCTCTAGGTCACATAGTGTTCCTAATAGACATTTGCAGTTCTTACTAAAAGAGTGTTTCCAAACTGCTCAATCAAAAGAAAACTTCGACTCTGAGAGTTGAATGCACACATCACAAAGAAGTTTCTGAGAATGCTTCTGTCTAGTTTTTATGCTAAGATATTTCCTTTTCCAACATAGGCCTCAAAGTGCTCAAAATATCCACCTGCAGATTCTACAAAAAGTGTGTCTCAAAACTGCTCAATCAAAGATAGTTAAAAGTCTGTGTGATGAATCCACACATCACAAAGAAGTTTCTCAGAATGCTTCTGTGTAGTTTTTAAGTGCAGATATTTCCGTTTCAGCTATTGTCGTCAAAGCACCCCAAGTATCCATTTGCAGTTACTACAAAAAGAGTGTGTCCAAACTGCTCAATCAAAAGAAAGGTTCAACTATGAGAGTTGAATGCACACATAACAAAGAAGTTTCAGAGAATGCTTCTGTCTAGTTTCTTTGTGAAGATATTTTCTTTCCACCATTGGCCTCAAAGCACTCCAAATATCCACTTGCAGGTTCTACAAAAAGAGTGTTTCAATACTTCTCAATCAAAAGAATATTTCAACTCTTTGCCTTGAATGCACACATATCAAAGAAGTTTCTCAGAATTCTTCTGTCAAGTTTTTATATGAAGATATTTCCTTTTCAGCTATATATATATATATATTTGGAGGACTCAAAGTGCTCCAAATATCCATTTGCACTTACTACAAAAAGAGTGTTTCAAAACTTCTGAATCAAAAGAATTGTTTAAGACTGTGATATGAATGCACACATAACAAAGAAGTTTCTCAGAATGATTCTGAGTAGTTTTTATATGAAGATATTTCCTTCTCAGATATACGCTTCAAAGTGATGCACATATCCATTTGCAGTTACTACAAAAAGAGTGTTTCCAAACTGCTCAAGCAAAGGAAATGTTCAACTGCGAGAGTTAAATGCACACATCACAAAGTAGTTTCTGAGAATGCTTCCGTCCAGCTTCTATGTGAAGATATTTCCTTTTCCTCCATAGGTCTCAAAGCACTCCAAATATCCACTTGCAGAATCTACGAAAAGAGTGTTTGAAAACTTCTCAATCAAAAGAAAGGTTCAACTCTGTGAGATGAATGCACACATCACAAAGAAGTTTCTCAGAATGTTTCTGTCTAGTTTTTATGTGCAGAAATTTTCTTTTCCACCATAGGCCTCAAAGCGCTCCAAATATCCACTTGCAGATTCTACAGAAAGAGTGTTTTCAAACTGCTCAATCAAAAGAAAGGTTGAACTACGTGAGTTGAATGAACACATCACAAAGAAGTTTCTCGAATTCTTCTGTCTCGTTTTTATGTGAACATGTTTCTTTTCCACCGTTGGCCACAAAGCACTCCAAATATCCACTTGCAGATTCTACAAAAAGAGTGTTTCAAAAGTGCTCAATCAAAAGAAAGGTTCAACTCCGTGAGGTGAATGCACACATCACAAATAAGTTTCTCAGAATCCTTCTGTCTTGTTTTTATGTGAAGATATTTCCTTTTCCACCATAGGCCTCAAAGCACTCCAAATATGCACTTGCAGATTCTACAAAAAGAGTTTTTCAAAACTTCTCAGTCAAAAGAATGGTTCAACTCTGTGAGGTGAATGCACACATAACAAAGAAGCTTCTCAGAATGCTTCCGAGTAGTTTATATATGAAGATATTTCCTTTTCAGATACATTCCTCAAAGCGCTCCATATATCCATTTGCAGTTACTAATAAAAGATTGCTTCCAAAATGCTCAATCAAAAGAAAGATTCACTTCTGAGAGTTGAATGCCCACATCACAAAGAAATTTCTGAGAATGCTTCTGTCTAGGTTCTATGTGAAGATATTTTCTTTTAAAACATAGGTCTCAAAGAACTCCAAATATCCATTTGCAGATTGTAGAAAAAGAGTGTTTCCAAACTGCTCAATCAAAAGAAAGGTTCAAATCTGTGAGATAAATGCGAACATAACAAAGAAGTTTCTCAGAATGCTTCTGTCTATTTGTAATGTGAAGATATTTCCTTTTCCACCATAGGCATCAAGGCCCTCCAAATATCCACTTGCAATTGTACAAAAAGAGTGTTTCAAAACTTCTCAATCAAAAGAAAGGTTCAACTCTGTGAGATGAATGCACACATCACAAAGAACTCACTCAGAGTGCTTCTGTCTAGTTATTATATGAAGATATTCCCTTTTCAGCTATAGACCTCAAAGGGCTCCAAATATCCATTTGCAGTTACTACAGAAAGAGTGTTCCCAAAATGCTCAAACAAAAGAGAAGTTCAACTCTGAGAGTTGAATGCACACATCACAAAGAAGTTTCTGAGAATGCTTCTGTCTAGTTTTTATGTAAAGATATTTCCTTTTCCACCATAGGCCTCAAAGCGCTCCAAATATCCACTTGCAGTTTCCAAAAAAAGAGTGTTTCAAAACTTCTTAACCAAAAGAAAGGTTCAACTCTGTGAGATTAATGCACACATCACAAAGAAGTTTCTCAGAATGCTTCTGTCTAGTTTTTATGTGAAGATATTTCCTTTTAAGCTATAGGCCTCAAAGCGCTCCAAGTATCCATTTGTAGTTACTACAAAAAGATTGTTTCCAAACTGCTCAATCAAAAGAAAGGTTCAACTCTGTGAATTGAATGCACTCATCCCAAAGAAGTTTCTGAGAATGCTTCTGTCTAGTTTCTATGTGAAGATATTTCCTTTTTCACCATAGGCCTCAAAGCACTCCAAATATCCAATATCAGATTCTACAAAAAGAGTGTGTCAAAACTGCCCAATCAAAAGAAAGGTTTAACACGGTGAAGTGAATGCACACATCATGAAGAGGTTTCTCAGAATGCTTCTGTCCAGTTTTTATGTGTAGATATTTCATTTTCAACTACAGGCCTCAAAGCGTGCCAAATATCCCTTTGCAGTTACTACAAAAAGAGATTTTTAAAATGCTCAATCAAAAGAAAGATTCAACTCTGAGAGTTGAATGCCGTCATCACAAAGAAGTTTCTGAGAATGCTTCTCTCTATTTTTTATTTGAAGATATTTCCTTTTCCACCATAGGAATCAAGGCGCTCAAAATATCCACTTACAGATTCTACCAAAAGAGTGTTTCAAAACTGCTCAATCCAAAGAAAGGATGAAATCTGTGAGATGAATCCACACATTGTAAGGAAGTTTCTTGGAATGCTTCTGTCTAGTTTTTATGTGAAGATGTTTCCTTTTCAAATATAAGCCACAAAGTGCTCCAAATATCCATTTGCAGTTGCTACAAAAAAAGTGTTTCCAAACTCCTCAATCAAAAGAAAGCTTCAACTCTGAGAGTTGAATGGACACATCACAAAGAAGTTTCTGAGAAAGCTTCTGTCTAGTTTTTTGTGAAGATATTCCCGTTTCCAACGAAGGACTCAAAGCGGTCCAAATATCCACTTGCAGATTCTACAAAAGAGTGTCTCAAAACTGCTCTATCAAAAGAAAGGTTCAACTCTGTGAGTTGAGTGCACACATCACAAAGAAGTTTCTGACAATGCTTCTATCTAGTTTTTATGTGAAGACATTTCCTTTTCCACCATAGGCCTCAAACCGTTCCAAATATCCACTTGCAGATTGTACAAAAAGAGTATTTCAAAACTGCTCTATCAAAAGGAAGGTTCAAACATGCGAGTTGAAAGCACACATCACAAACAAGTTCCTGAGAATGTTTCTGTCTAGTTCATATGTGAAGATATTTCCTTTTCCACCGTAGGCCTCAAAGCGGTCCAAATATCTCTGAGAATGCTTCTGTCTAGTTTTTTTGTGAAGATATTTCCTTTTCCACCATAGGCATCAAAGCTCTCCAAATATCCACTTGCAGATTGTACAAAAAGAGAGTTTCAAAACTGCTATATCAAAAGAAAAGTTCAACTCTGTAAGTTGAGTCCACACATCTCAAAGTAGTTTCTGAGAATGCTTCTGTCTAATTTTTATTTGAAGGTAATTCCTTTTCAAATGTAGGCCTCAAAGTGCTCCAAATATCCTCTTGCTGATTCTATAAAAAGAGTGTCCCAAAACTGCTCCATCAAAAGAAAGGCTCAACTCTGTCAGTTGAATGCCCACATCACAAAGAAGTTTCTGAGAATGCTTCAGTGTATTTTTTATGTGAACATATTTCCTTTTCCACTGTAGGCCTCAAAGCGCTCCAAATATCCTCTTGTGGATTCTTCAGAAAGAGTGTTACAAAACTGCTCTATCAAAAGGAAGGTTCAACTCTGTGAGTTGAATGCACACATCACAAGGAAGTTTCTGAGAATGCTTCTGTCTAGTTTTTAAGTGAAGGTATTTCCTTTTCCACCGTAGGCCTCAAAGTGCTCCAAATATCCACTTGCAGTTTCTGGAAAAAGTGTGTCTCAAAGCTGCTATAATAAAAGAAAGGTTCAAATCTGTGAGTTGAATGCACACATAACAAAGAAGTTTCTCAGAATGCTTCTGTCTAGTTTCTTTATGAAGATATTTTCTTTTCCACCATTGGCCTCAAAGCACTCCAAATATCCACTTTCAGCTTCTACAAAAAGAGTGTTTCAAAACTTCTCAATGGAAAGAACATTTTAACTCTTTACCTTGAATGCATACATATCAAATAAGTTTCTCAGAATGCTTCTGTGTAGTTTTTATATGAAGATATTTCCTTTTCAGCTCTAGGACTCAAAGTGCTCCAAATATCCATTTTCACTTACTAAAAAAGAGTGTTTCAAAACTTCTGAATCAAAAGAATGGTTCAACTATGTGACATGAATGCAAACATAACAAAGAAGTTTCTCAGAATGCTTCTGTGTAGTTTTTATATGAAGATATTTCCTTTCCAGCTATAGGCTTCAAAGTGATGCAAATATCCTTTGCAGTTACTACAAAAAGAGTGTTTCCAAACTGCTCAATCAAAAGAAAAGTTCAACTCTAAGAGTTAAATGCCCACAGCAGAAAGTTGTTTCTGAGAATGCTTCTGTCTACTTTTTATGTGAAGTTATTTCCTTTTCCAACATAGGCCTCAAAGTGCTCCAAATATCCACTTGCAGATACTACAAAAAGTGTTTTTCAAGTTGCTCAATCAAAAGAAAGGTTCAAATATTTGAGATGAATACACACATCACATAGAAGTTTCTCAGAATGTTTCTGTCTAGTTTTTATGTGAAGATACTTCCTTTTCAGCTGTAGGCCTCAAAGAGCTCCAAATATCCATTAGTAGTTACTACAAAAAGAGTGTTTCCAAACTGCTCAATCAAAAGAAAGGTTCAACTGTGAGAGTTAAATGCACACATCACAAAGTAGTTTCTGAGAATGCTTCTGTCCAGCTTCTATGTGAAGATATTTCCTTTTCCACCATAGGTCTCAAAGCACTCCAAATATCCACTTGCAGAATCTACAAAAAGAGTGTTTAAAAACTTCTCAATCAAAAGAAAGGTTCAACTCTGTGAGATGAATGCGCACATCACAAAGAAGTTTCTGAGAATGTTTCTGTCTAGTTTTTATGTGCAGAAAATTTCTTTTCCAACATAGCCCTCAAAGCTCTCCAAATATCCACTTGCAGATTCTACAAAAAGAGTGTTTTCAAACTGCTCAATCAAAAGAAAGGTTGAACTATGTGAGTTGAATGAATACATCACAAAGAAGTTTCTCAGAATTCTTCTGTCTAGTTTTTATGTGAACATGTTTCTTTTCCACTATCGGCCTCTAAGCAGTCCAAATATCCACTTGCAGGTTCTATAAAAAGAGTGTTTCAAAAGTGCTCAATCAAAAGAAAGATTCAACTCCGTGAGGTGAATGCACACATCACAAATAAGTTTCTCAGAATCCTTCTGTCTTGTTTTTATGTGAAGATATTTCCTTTTCCACCATAGGCCTCAAAGCACTCCAAATATGCACTTGCAGATTCTACAAAAAGAGTTTTTCAAAACTTCTCAGTCAAAAGAATGGTTCAACTCTGTGAGGTGAATGCACACATAACAAAGAAGTTTCTCAGAATGTTTCAGTGTTGTTTTTATATGAAGATATTTCCTCTTCAGATACATTCCTCAAAGCGCTCCATATATCCATTTGCAGTTACTAATAAAAGTGTGTTTCCAAAATGCTCAATTAAAAGAAATGTTCACCTCTGAGAGTTGAATGCTCACATCACAAAGAAATTTCTGAGAATGCTTCTGTCTAGTTTCTATGTGAAGATATTTTCTTTTTAAACATAGACATCAAAGCACTCCAAATATCCACTTGCAGATTGTAGAAAAAGAGTGTTTCCAAACTGCTCAATCAAAAGAAATTTTCAAATCTGTGTGATAAATGCGCACATAACAAAGAAGTTTCTCAGAATGCTTCTGTCTAGTTTTTATGTGAAGATAATTCCTTTTCCACCATAGGCATCAACGTGCTCAAATTATCCACTTGCGATTGTACAAAAAGAGTGTTTCAAAACTTCTCAATCAAAAGAAAGGTTCAACTCTGTGAGATGAATGCACACAAAGAAGTTTCTCAGGTTGCTTCTGTCTAGTTACTATATGAAGATATTTCCTTTTTAGCTATAGGTCTGAAAGCCTTCCAAATATCCAATTGCAGTTACTACAAAAAGAGTGTTTCCAAACTGCTCAATCAAAAAAAATTTCAACTCTGAGTGTTGAATGCACACGTCAAAAAGAAGTTTCTGAGAATACTTCTGTCTAGTTTTTATGGAAGATATTCCCTTTTCCACCATAGGCCTCAAAGCTCTACAAATATCCACTTGCAGATTCTACAAAAAGACTATTTCAAATCTTCTAAATAAAAAGAAGGGTCCAACTCTGTGAGATGAATGCACACATCACAAGGAACTTGCTCAGAGTGCTTCTGTCTAGTTATTATATGAAGATATTCCCTTTTCAGCTATAAGGCCTCTAAGGGCTCCAAGTATCCATTTGCATTTACTACAAAAAGAGTGTTTCCAAACTGCTCAAACAAAAGAAAAGTTCAACTCCGAGAGTTGAATGTACACATCACAAAGAAGTTTCTGAGAATGCTTCTGTCTAGTTTTTATGTGAAGATATTTCCGTTTCCACCTTAGGCCTCAAAGCACCCCAAATATCCACTTGCAGTTTCCAAAAATAGAGTGTTTCAAAATTTCTTAATCAAAAGAAAGGTTCAACTCTGTGAGATTAATGCACACATCACAAAAAAGTTTCTCAGAATGCTTCTGTCTCGTTTTTATGTGAAGATATTTCCTTTTCAGCTGTAGGCCAAAAAGCGCTCCAAGTATCCATTTGCAGTTTCTACAGAAAGATTGTTTCCAAACTTCTTAATCAAAAGAAAGGTTTAACACTGTGAATTGAATGCACTCATTTCAAAGAAGTTTCTGAGAATGCTTCTGTCTAGTTTCTATGTGAACATATTTCCTTTTCTACCACATCCTTCAAAGCGATACAAATGTCCACTTGCAGATTCTACAAAAAGAGTTTCAAAAGTGCTCTGTCAAAAGAAAGGTTCAACCCTGTGACTTGAATGCAAACATCTAAAAGAAGTTTCTGAGAAGGCTTCTGTCCAGTTTTTATGTGAAGATATTTTCATTTCCACCGCAGGTTTCAAAACGTTCAAAAAATCCACTTGCAGATTACACAAAAAGAGTGTTTCAAAACGGCTGTATCAAAAGGAAGGTTCAACTCTGTGAACTGAATGCACCCATCACAAAGAAGTTTCTGAGAATACTTCTATCTAGTTTTTATGTGAAGTTATTTCCTTTTCCACCATAGGCCTCAAAGCGCTCCAAATATCCACTAGCAGTTTCTACAGAAAGAGTGTTTCAAAACTACTCTATCAAAAGAAATGTTCAACTCTGTGAGTTGAATGCACACATCACAAAGAAGTTTCTGAGAATGCTTCTCTATAGTTTTTAGGTGAAGATATTTCCTTTTCCACCACAGGCCTCAAAGCGCTCCAAATATCCACCTGCAGATTTCACAGAAAGAATATTTCAAAACTGCTCTATCAAAAGAAAGGTTCAGCTCTGTGAGTTGAATGCACACATCCCATAGATGTTTCTGAGAATGCTTCTGTACAGTTTCTATGTGAAGATATTTCCTTTTCTACCATAGGATTCCAGGCGCTCCAAATATCCACTTGCAGATTCTACAGAAAGAGTGTTTCAAAACTCATCTATCAATAGGAAGGTTCAACACTGTGAGTTGATTGCACACATCACAAAGAAGTTTCTGAGAATGTTTCTGTCTAGTTTTTATGTGAAGATATTTCCTTTTCCAACCTAGGTCTCAAAGCGCTCCAAATATCGACTTGCAGATTCTACAAAAAGAGTGTTACAAAACTGCTGTATCAAAAAATAGGTTCAACTCTGTGAGTTCTATGCACACATCACAATGAAGTTTCTGAGAATGCTTCTGTCTAGTTTTTATGTGAAGATATTTCCTTTTCCACCATAGGCCTCAAAGCACTCCAAATATCCACTTGCAGATTCAACAAAAGAGTGTTTCAAAGCTGATCTATCAAAAGGAAGGTTCAACTCTGTGAGTTGAATGCACACATCTCCAAAAAGTTTCTGAGAGTGCCTCTGTCTCGTTTTTATGTGAACATATTTCCATTTCCACAGTACGGGTCAAAGGGCTCCAAATATCCACTTGCAGATACTACAAAAAGAGTGCTTCAAAACTGTTTTAACAAAAGAAAAGTTCAACTCTGTGAGTTGAATGCACACATGACAAAGAGGTTTCTGAGAATGCTTCTGCTAGTTTTTATGTGAAGATATTTCCATTTCCACCGTAGGCCTCAAAGCCCTACAAATATACACTTGATGATTCTACAAAAAGATTGTTTCAAAACTGCTCTATCAAAAGAAAGATTCAACTCTGAGTTAAATGTGCACATCACAAAGAAGATTCTGAGAATGCTTATGTCTAGGTTTTATTTGAAGATATTTACTTTTCTACCATAGGCCTCAAAGTGCTCCAAAAATCCACTTGCAGATCCTACAAAAGGAGTGTTTCAAAACTGCTCTATCTAAAGGAAGGTTCACCTCTGTGAGTTTAATGCACACATCACCAAGAAGTTTCTGAGAAGACTTCTGTCTAGTTTTTATGTGAAGATATTTCTTTTTCCACCATAGGCCTCAAAGCACTCCAAGAAGGAATTACAGATTCTACAACAAGAGTGTTTCAACACTGCTCTATCAAAAAAAAGGTTCAACTCTGTGAGTTGAATGCACACATCAGAAAGAAGTTTCTGAGAATGCTTCTGTCTCCTTTTTATGTGAAGATATTTCCTTATGCACCATAGGCCTCAAAGCGCTATTTTTTATGTGAAGTTATTTCCTTTTCCACTGTAGCCCTCAAAGCGTTCCAAATATCCACTTGCAGTTTCTAGAAAAAGAGTGTCTCAAATCTGCTCCATCAGAAGAAAACTGTAACTCTGTGAATTGAATGCACAGATCTCAAATAAATTTCTGAGAATGCTTCTGTCTAGTTTTCATGTGATGATATTTTCTTTTCCACTCTAGGCATCAAAGCGCTCCTAATATCCACTTGCAGATTCTACAAAAAGAGTGTTTCAAAACTGCTCTATCAAAAGAAAGGCTCAACTCCGTGAGTTGAATGCACCATCACAAAGAAGTTTCTGAGAATGCTTCTGTCTAGTTTTTATGTGAAGATATTTCCTTTACCATCTTAGGCCTCAAAGCACTCCAAGTATCCACTTGCAGATTCTACAAAAAGAGTGCTTCAAAACTGCTCTATCAAAAGAAAGGTTCAACACTGTGAGTCAAATGCACATATCAAAAATACATTTCTGAGAATGCTTCTGTCTAGTTTTTATGAGAAGATATTTCCTTTACCACCGTAGGCATCAAAGAGTTCAAAATATCGAGTAGCAGATTCTACAAATAGAGTGTTTGAAAACTGCTCCATCAAAAGAAGTTTCAACTCTGTGAGTAAAATGCACACATCACAAACAAGTTTCTGAGAATCCTTCTGTCTAGTTTTTAAATGAAGATATTTCCTTTTCCACTGTAGACCTCAAAGCGCTCCAAATATCAACTTGCAGATTCTACAAAAACAGTCTTTCCAAACTGCTCTATCTGAAGTAAGGTTCCACTCTGTTAGTTGAATGCACATATCACAAAGAGATTTCTTATTATGCTTCTGTCTCCTTTTTATGAGAAGATATTTCCTTTTCTACCATAGGCCTCAAAGCGCTGCAAATATCCATTTGCAGATACTACAAAAAGAGTAATTCAAAACTGCTCTATCAAAAGACAGTTTCAACTCTGTGAGTTGCATGCACACATCACAAAGAAGTTTGTGAGAATGCTTCTGTCTAGTTTTTATGTGAAGATATGTCCTTTTCCACTGTAGTCCTCAAAGAGCTCCAAATATCCAATTGCAGATACTAAAAAAAGAAAGTTTCAAAACTGCTTTATCAAAAGAAAAGTTCAACTCTGTGAGTTGAGTGAACACATCACAAAGAAGTTTCGGAGAATGCTTCTGTCTAATTTTTATGTGAAGGTATTTCCTTTTCCAATGTAGGCCTCAAAGTGCTCCAAATATCCACTTGCAGTTTCTAGAAAAAGAGTGTCTCAAAACTGCTCCATCAAAAGAAAGGTGCAACTCTGAGAGCTGAGTGCACACATCACAAAGAAGTTTCTGAGAATGCTTCTCTCTAGTTTTTACCTGAAGATATTTCCTTTTCCACCATAGGCCTCAAAGCGTTCCAAATATCCACTTGCACATTCTACAGAGTGTCTCAAAACTACTCTATCAAAAGGAATGTTCAATCCTGTGAGTTGATTGCACAAATCACAAAGTAGTTTCTGATATTGCTTCTGTCTAATTTCTATGTGAAGATATTTCCTTTTGTGCCATAGGCCTCAAAGCGCTACAAGTATCTCTGAGAATGCTTCTGTCTAGTTTTTATGTGAAGATATTCTCTTTTCCACCGTAGGCCTCAAAGCACTCCAAATATCCACTTGCAGATTCCACATAAAGAGTGTTTAAAAACTTATCTATCAAAAGAAAGGTTCAACTCTGTGAGTTGAATGCCCACATAACAAAGAAGTTTATGAGAATGCTTCTGTCTGTTGTTGTGAGAAAATATTTTCTTTTCCACCATAGCCCTCAAAGCGTTCCAAATATCCACTTGCAGATTCAACAAAAAGAGTGTTTCAAAGCTGCTCTATCAAAAGAAAGCCTAAACTCTCTGAGTTGAATGCACACATCACATAGAAGTTTCTCAGAATGCTTCTGTCTAGTTTTTGGGAGAAGATATTTCCTTTTCCACCGTAGGCCTCAAAGCGCTCTTAATATTCACTTGCAGATTCTACAAAAAGAGTGTTTCAAAACTGCTCTACCAAAAGAAAGGTTCAACTCTGTGAGTTGAAAGGACACATCACAAGGAAGTTTCTGAGAATGCTTCTGTCTAGTTTTCAGGTGAAGATAATGTCCTTTTCCACCATAGGCCTCAAAGCGTTCCAAATATCCACTTGCACATTCTACAAAAAGAGTGTTCCAGAACTGCTCTATCAAAAGGAAGGTTCAACTCTGTGAGTTGAATACACACATCAGAAAGAAGTCTCTGAGAATGCTTCTGTCTAATTTTTATGTGAAGATATTTCCTTTTCCACAGTAGGACTCAAAGCGCTCCAAATATCCACTTACAGATTCCATAAAAAGAGTGTTTTAAAACTGCTCTATCAAAAGGAAGTTTCAACTCTGTGAATTGAATGCACACATCAGAAAGAAGTTTCTGAGAATCCCTCTGTCTAGTTTATATGTGAAGATATTTCCTTTTACACCACTGGCCTCAAAGTGCTCCAAACATCCACTTGCAGATACAACAAAAAGAGTGTTTCAAAACTGCTCTATGAAAAGAAAGGTTCAACTCTGTGTGTTGAATGAACACAGCACAAGGTAGTTTCTGAGAATGCTTCTGTGTAGAGTTTTTGTGAAGATATTTCCTTTTCCACCGTAGGCGTCAAAGCGCTCCAAATATCCATTTGCAGATTCTACAAAAAGAGTGTTTCAAAACTGCTCTATCAAAAGAAAGGTTCAACTCTGTGATTTGAATGCACACATTGCAAAGAAGTTTTCGATAATGCTTCTGTCTAGTTTTTATGTTAAGATGTTTCCTTTTCCACCATAGGCATCAAAGCGCTCCAAATATCCACTTGCAGATTCTACAAAAGGAGTTTTCCGAAACGGCTCTATCAAAAGAAAGGTTCAGCTCTGTGAGTCCAATGGATACATCACAAGGAAGTTTCTGAGAATGCTTCTGACTAGCTTTTATGTGAAGATATATCCTTGTCCACCATAGGACTCACAGCATTCCAAATATCTACTTGCAGATTCTACAAAAAGGGTTTTTCAAATCTGCTCTATCAAAAGAAAGGTTCATCTCTGTGACTTGAATGCACACACCCAAAAGGAGTTTCTGACAAAGCTTCTGTCAAGTTTATATGTGAAGATATTTCCCTTTCCACCGTAGTCCTCAAAGCAGTCCAAATATCTCTGAGAATGCTTCTGTCTACTTTTAATGTGAATATATTTCCTTTTCCAACGTAGGCCTCAAAGCGCTCCTAATATCTGCTTGCAGATTCTACAAAAAGAGTGCTTCCAAAGTGCTCTATCAAAAGCAACTTTCAACTCTGTGAGTTGAATGCACACATCACAAATAAGTTTCTGAGAATGCTTCTGTCTAGTTTTTATGTGAAGATATTTCCTTTTCACCATAGGCCCCAAAGCATTCCAAATATCTACTTGCAGATTCTACAATAAGAGTGTTTCAAAACTGCTCCATCAAAAGGAAGTTTCAACTCTGTGAGTTGAATGCACACAACACAAAGAAATTTCTGAGAATGTTTTTGTCTAGTTTATATGTGATGATATTTCCTTTTCCACCATAGGCCTCAAAGCGTTCCAAACATCCACTTGCTGATTCTACAAAAAGAGTGTCTCAAAACTGCTCTGTCAAAAGGAAGGTTCAAACCTGTGACTGGAAAGCACACATCACAAACAAGTTTCTGAAAAAGCTTCTCTCTAGGTTATATTTGAAGATACTTCCTTTTCCACTGTAGTCCTCAAAGCGCTCCAAATATTTCTCAGACTGCTTCTCTCTAGTTTTTCTGTGAAGATATTTCGTTTTCCACCCTAGGCCTCAAAGCGCTCCAAATATCCACTTACAGATCCTACAAAAAGAGTGTTTCAAAACTGCTCTGTCAAAAGAAAATTTCAACCCTGTGAGTTGAATGCACACATCCTGAAGTTGATTCTCAGAATGCTTCTGTCTAGTTTTAAGGGAAGATATTTCCTTTTGAACCGTAGTCCTGAAAGCACTCCAAATATCCACTTGCAAATTCCACAATAAGAGTGTTTCAAAACTGCTCTATCAAAAGGAAGGTTCCAATCTGTGAGTTGAATGCACAAATCACAAAGAAGTTTCTGAGAATGCTTCTGTCTAGTTTTTATGCGAAGATATTTCCTTTTCCACTGTAGGCCTCAAAGTGTTCCAAATATCCACTTGCAGATTCTACAAAAAGAGTGTTTCAAAACTGCTCTATCAAAAGAAAAGTTCAACTCTGTGAGTTGAATGCACACATCACAAAGAAGTTTCTGAGAGGGCTGCTTTCTAGTTTTTATGTGAAGATATTTCCTTTTCCACCGTAAGTCTCAAAGTGCTACTAACATCCACTTGCAGATTCTACAAAAAGAGTGTTTCAAAACTGCTCTATCAAAAGGAAGGTTCAACTCTGTGAGTTGAATACACACATCACAAAGTAGTTTCTGCGAATGCTTCTGTCTGTTTTTTATATGAAGATATTTCCTTTTAAACCATAGGCCTCAAAGTGCTCCAAATATCCACTTGCAGATTCTACAAAGACAGTGTTTCAAAACTGCTCTACCAAAAGAAAAGTTCAACTCTGTGAGTTCAAGGCACACATCACAAAGAAGTTTCTGAGAATGCTTCTCTGTAGTTTTTATGTGAAGATATTTTCTTTTCCACCGTAGGCCTCAAAGCACTCTTAATATTCACTTGCAGATTCCACAAAAAGAGTGTTTCAAAACTCCTCTATCAACCGAAAGTTTCAACTCAGTGAGTTGAATGCACACATCACAGAGAAGATTCTGAGAATGCTTCTGTCTACTTTTTATGTGAAGATATTCCCTTTACCACCGTAGGCCTCAAAGCACTCCAAATATCCACTTGCAGATTCTACAAAGAGAGTGTTTCAAAACTGGTCTACCAAAAGAAAGGTTCAACTCTGTGAGTTGAATGGACACAACAAAAAGAAGTTTCTGAGAATGCTTCTGTGTAGTTTTTATGTGAAGATATTTCCTTTTCCACCGTTGGCCCTGAAATGTTCCAAATATCCATGTGCAGATTATACAAAAAGAGTGTTTCAAAACTGCACTATCAAAAGGAAGGTTAAACTCTGTGAGTTCAATGCACAAATCACAAAGAAGTTTCTAAGAATGCTTCTGACTAGTTTTTATGTGAAGATATTTCCTTTTCCACCATAGGTCTCAAAGCATTCCAAATATCCACTAGCAGATTGTACAAAAAGGGTGTTTCAAAACTGCTCTATCAAAAGAAAGTTTCCACTCTGTGAGTTGAATGCACACATCACAAAGAAGTTTCTGAGAATGCTTCTGTGTAGTTTTTATGGGAAGATATTTCCTTTTCCACCGTAGGTCTCAAAGCGTTACAAATATCCACTTGCAGATTCTACAAAAAGAGTGTTTCCAAACTACTCTATCAAAAGAAAGGTTCAACTCTGTGTGTTGAGTGCACACATCACAAAGACGTTTCTGAGAATGCTTCTGTCTAGTTTATATGTGAAGATATTTCCTTTCCACCGTAGGCCTCAAAACGCTACATATATCTCTGCAAATTCTTCTGTCTATTTTTTATGTGAACATATTTCCTTTTCCACCGTAGGACTCAAAGTGCTCCTAATATCCACTTGCAGATTCTACATAAAGAGTGTTTCATAAGTGCTCTATCAAAAGAAACTTTCAACTCTGTGAGTTGAATGCACACATCACAAAGAAGTTTCTGAGAATTCTTCTGCCTCGTTTTTATGTGAAGATATTTCCTTTTCCACCTTAGGCCCCAAAGCGTTCCAAATATCCACTTGCAGATTCAACAAAAAGAATGTTTCAAAACTGTTCCATCAGAAGGAAGGTTCAACTCTGTGAGTTGAATGCACACATCACAAAGAAATTTCTGAGAATGCTTCTTTCTAGTTTACATGAGAAGATATTTCCATTTACACCGTAGAGATCAAGGTGGTGCAAATATCTCTGAGAATACTTCTGTCTAGTTTTTATGTGAAGATATTTCCTTTTCCACCACAGGCCTCAAATTGCTCCAAATATCCACTTGCAGATTCTATGAAAAGAGAGTTTCAAAACAGCTCTATCAAAAGAAAGGTTCATCTCTGTGAGTTGAATGCACACATCACAAGGAAGTTTCTGTGAATGCTTCTGTCTAGTTTTTATGTGAAGATATTTCCTTTTCCACTATAGGCCTCATAGCACTCCAAATATCCATTTGCAGATATGACAAAAAGTGTGTTTCCAAACTGATCAATCAAAAGAAAGGTTCAACTCTGTGAGTTGAATTCTCTCATCACAAAGAAGTTCTTGAGAATCCTTCTGTCTAGTTTTTATGTGATGATATTTCCTTTTCCACCATAGGCCTCAAAGTGTTCCAAATATCCAATTGCAGATTCTACAAAAACAGTGGTTGAAAACTGCTCAATCAGAAGAAATGTTCAACTCTGTGAGATGAATGCTCACATCACAAACAAGTTTCTCAGAATGCTTCTGTCTAGTTTTTATGTTAAGATACTTCCTTTTCCACCATAGGCCTCAATGCACTCCAAATATCCAGTTGCAGTTTCTACAGAGGGTTTTGAAACTGCTCAATCAAAAGAACAGTTTAACTCTGTGATTTAAATTCCCACATGACAGAGAAGTTTCTGAGAATGCTTCTGTCCAGTTTTTATGTGAAGATATTTCCTTTTCCACCATAGGCCTCAAAGTGCTCCAAATATCCACTTTCAGTTTCTACAAAAAGTGTTTCCAAACTGCTCAATCAAAAGTAAGGTTCATCATAGTGAGTTGAATGCATACATCCCAAAGTTGTTTCTCAGAATGCTTCTGTCTATTATTTATGTGAAGATATTTCGTTTTCCACCATAGGCCTCAAAGCGCTCCAAATATCCATTTGCATATACTACTAAAAGAGTGTTTCCAAACTGCTCAATCAAAAGAAAGATTCAACACTGTGAGTTGAATGCACACATTTCAAAGAAGTTTCTGAGAATGCTTCTGTCTTTTTTTTATTTGAAGGTATTTCTTTTTCCACCATAGGCTTCAATGTGCTCCAAATATCCACTAGCAGATTCTACAAAAAGAGTGTTTCAAAACTGCTCAATTAAGAGAAAGGTTCAACTCTGTGAGATGAATGCACACACCACAAAGAAGTTTCTCAGAATGCTTCTATCTAGTGTTTATTTGAAGACATTTCCTTTTCCAGCTGTAGGCCTCAAAGCACTCTAAATGGTCCTACAGATACTACATAAATAGTGTTTCCAAACTGTTCAGTCAAAAGAAAGTTTCAACTGTGTAAGTTGAATGCACACATTGCAAAGTAGTTTCTGAGAATGCTTCTGTCTAGTTTTTATGTGAAGATATTTCCTTTTCCACCATAGGCCTCAAAGTGCACCAATTATCCACTTGCAGATTCTACAAAAAGAATGTTTCAAAACTGCTCAATCAAAAGAAAGTTTCAAGTCTGTGAGATGAGTGCACACATCACAAAGGGGTTTCTCAGAATGCTTCAGTCTAGTTTTCATGTGAAGATATTTCCTTTTCAGCTATGGGCCTCAAAGCATTCCAAATATCCATTGCAGATAAAACAAAAATAGTTTTTTGAAACTGCTCAATCAAAAGAAATGTTCAGGAAATCAGGAGCTGGCAGCCAAGATGGCTGAATAGTTGCAACTCCGGTCTATAGCTCCCAGCATGAGTGATGCAGAACACGGCTGATTTCTGCATTTCCATCTGAGGTACCAGTTTCATCCCACTAGGGAGTGCCAGACAGTGGCTGCAGGACAGTGGGTGCAACGCACCATGTGGGAGCCGAAGCAGGGTGAGGCATTGCTTCACTCAGGAAGTGCAAGGTGTCAGGCAGTTCCCTTTACTATTCAAAGAAAGGGGTGACAGAAGGCACCTGGAAAATCGGGTCACTCCCACCCTAATACTGCACTTTTCCGATGGGCTTAAAAAATGGCACATCAGGAGATTATATCCTGCACCTGGCTTGGACGGACCTATGCCCACGGAGTCTCACTGATTGCTAGCACAGTAGTCTGAGATCAAACTACAAGGCGTCAGCGAGGGTGGGTGAGGGGCACTCACCACTTCCCAGGCTTGCTTAGGCAAACAAAGCAGCCAGGAAGCTCGAAATTGGTGAAGCCAATTCAAGTGAAGCAGCTCAATTGGTGAAGCAGCTCAAGGAGGCCTGCCTGCCTCTGTAGGCTCCACCTCTAGGGGCAGAACACAGACAAACAAAAAGACAGCAGTAACCTCTGCAGACTTAAATGTCCCTGTCTGACAGCTTTGAAGAGAGCAGTGGTTCTCCCAGCACACAGCTGGAAATCTTATAATGGGCAGACTGCCTCCTCAAAAGGGTCCCTGACACCTGACACCCG
Organism: Homo sapiens; assembly: GCF_000001405.40. Classification (NCBI taxonomy): domain Eukaryota; kingdom Metazoa; phylum Chordata; class Mammalia; order Primates; family Hominidae; genus Homo; species Homo sapiens. The sequence continues at coordinate 48,803,864 of NC_000011.10, read as the reverse complement.
AGCAGCCTAACTGTGAGGCACCCCCCAGTAGGGGCAGACTGACACCTCACACGGCCGGGTACTTCTCTGAGACAAAACTTCCAGAGGAATGATCAGACAGCAGCATTCACTGTTCACGAAAATCCGGTATTCTGTAGCCACTGCTGCTGATACCCAGGCAAAGAGGGTCTGGAGTGGACCTGTAGCAAACTCCAACAGACCTGCAGCTGAGGGTCCTGTCTGTTAGAAGGAAAACTAACAAACAGAAAGGACATCCACACCAACAACCCATCTGTACATCACCATCATCAAAGACCAAAAGTAGATAAAACCACAAAGATGGGGAAAAAACAGAGCAGAAAAACTGGAAACTCTAAAAAGCAGAGCACGTCTCCTCCTCCAAAGGAACGCAGTTCCCCACCAGCACTGGAACAAAGCTGGATGGAGAATGACTTTGATGAGTTGAGAGAAGAAGGCTTCAGATGATCAAACTAATCTGAGCTACAGGAAAAAATTCAAACCAAAGGCAAAGAAGTTAAAAACTTTGAAAAAAATTTAGACTAATGTATAATTAGAATAACCAATACAAAGAAGTGCTTTAAAAAGCTGATGGAGCTGAAAGCCAAGGCTTGAGAACCACGTGAAGAATGCAGAAGCCTCAGGATATGATGTGATCAACTGGTAGAAAGGGTATCAGTGATGCAAGATGAAATGAAGTGAGAAGGGAAGTTTAGAGAAAAAAGAATAAAAAGAAATAAACAAAGCCTCCAAGAAATATGAGACTATGTGAAAAGACCAAATCTATGTCTGATTGGTGTACCTGAAAGTGACGGAGAGAGTGGAATCAAGTTGGAAAACACTCTGCAGGATATTATCCAGGAGAACTTCCCCAATCTAGCAAGGCAGGCCAACATTCAGATTCAGGAAATACAGAGAATGCCACAAAGATACTCCTTGAGAAGAGCAACTCCAAGACACATAATTGTCAGATTCCCCAAAGTTGAAATGAAGGAAAAAATGTTAAGGGCAGTCAGAGAGAAAGGTCGGGTTACCCACAAAAGGAAGCCCTTCAGACTAACAGCAGATCTCTTGGCAGAAACTCTACAAGCCAGAAAAGAGTGGGGCCAATATTCATCATTCTTAAAGAAAAGAATTTTCAACCCAGAATTTCATAACCAGCAAAACTAAGCTTCATAAGCGAAGGAGAAATAAAATCCTTTACAGACAAGCAAATGCTGAGAGATTTTGTCACCACCAGGCCTGCCCTACAAGAGCTCCTGAAGGAAGCACTAAACATGGAAAGGAACAACCAGTACCAGCCACTGCAAAAACTTGCCAAATTGTAAAGACCATCAAGGCTAGGAAGAAATTGCATCAACTAACGAGCAAAATAACCAGCTAACATCATAATGACACGATCAAATTCACACATAACAGTATTAAATTTAAATGTAAATGGACTAAATGCTCCAATTAAAAGACACAGACTGGCAAATTGGATAAAGAGTCAAGACCCATCAGTGTGCTGTATTCAGGAAACCCATCTCATGTGCAGAGACACAGATAGGCTCAAAATAAAAGGATGGAGGAAGATCTGCCAAGCAAATGGAAAACAAAAAAAGGCAGGGGTTGCAATCCTAGTCTCTGATGAAACAGACTTTAAATCAAAAAAGATCAAAAAAGACAAAGAAGGCCATTACATAATGGTAATGGGATTGATTCAACAAGAAGAGTTAAAAATCCTAAATATATATGCACCTAATACAGGAGCACCAAGATTCATAAAGCAAGTCCTGAGTTACCTACAAAGAGACTTAGACTACCACACAATAATAATGGGAGACTTTGACACCCACTGTCAACATTAGACAGATCAACGTGACAAGGATACCCAGGAATTGAACTCAGCTCTGCACCAAGCAGACCTAATAGACATCTACAGAACTCTCCACCCCAAATCAACAGAATATACATTCTTTTCAGCACCACAGCACACCTATTCCAAAATTGACCACATAGTTGGAATTAAAGCACTCCTCAGCAAATGTAAAAGAACAGAAATTATAACAAACGGTCTCTCAGACCACAGTGCAATCAAACTAGAACTCAGGATTAAGAAACTCACTCAAAACTGCTCAACTACATGGAAACTGAACAACCTGCTCCTGAATGACTACTGGGTACATAACGAAATGAAGGCAGAAATAAAGATGTTCTTTGAAACCAATGAGAACAAAGACACAATATACCAGAATCTCTGGGACGCATTCAAAGCAGTGTGTAGAGGGAAATTTATGGCACTAAATGCTCACAAGAGAAAGCAGGAAAGATCCAAAATTGACACCCTAACATCACAATTAAAAGAACTAGAAAAGCAAGAGCAAACACATCCAACAGTTAGCAGAAGGTAAGAAATAACTAAAATCAGAGCAGAACAGAAGGAAATAGAGACACATAAAACCCTTCAAAAAATTAATGAATCCAGGAGCTGGTTTCTTGAAAGCATCAACAAAATTGACAGACTGCTAGCAAGACTAATAAAGAAGAAAAGAGAGAAGAATCAAATAGACGCAATAAAAAATGATAAAGGGGATATCACCACCGATCCCACAGAAATACAAACTACCATCAGAGAATACTACAAACACCACTACACAAATAAACTAGAAAATCTAGAAGAAATGGATAAATTCCTCGACACATACACTCTCCCAACGCTAAACCAGGAAGAAGTTGAATCTCTGAATAGGCCAATAACAGGATCTGAAATTGTGGCAATAATCAATAGCTTACCAACCAAAAAGAGTTCAGGACCAGATTGATTCAAGCCGAATTCTACCAGAGGTATGAGGAGGAGCTGGTACCATTCCTTCTGAAACTATTCCAATCAATAGAAAAAGAGGGAATCCTCCCTAAGACATTTTATGAGGCCAGCATCATCCTGATACCAAAGCCGTTCAGAGACACAACCAAAAAAGATAATTTGAGACCAATATCCTTGATGAACATTGATGCAAAAATCCTCATTAAAATACTGACAAACCGAATCCAGCAGCACATCAAAAAGCTTATCCACCATGATCAAGTGGGCTTCATCCCTGGGATGCAAGGCTGGTTTAATATACCCAAATCAATAAATGTAATCCAGCATATAAACAGAGCCAAAGACAAAAACCACATGATTATCTCAATAGATGCAGAAAAGTCCTTTGACAAAATTCAACAACCATTCATGCTAAAAACTCTCAATAAATTAGGTATTGATGGGACGTATCTCATAATAATAAGAGCTATCTATGACAAACCCACAGCCAATATCAAACTGAATGGGCAAAAACTGGAAGCGTTCCCTTTGAAAACTGGCAAAAGACAGGGATGAACTCTCTCACCACTCCTATTCAACATAGTGTTGGAAGTTCTGGCAAGGGCAATTAGGCAGCCGAAGGAAATAAATGTTATTCAATTAGGAAAAGAGGAAGTCAAGTTGTCCCTCTTTGCAGATGACATGATTGTAGATCTAGAAAACCCCATTATCTCAGCCCAAAATCTCCTTAAGCTGATAAGTAATTTCAGCAAACTCTCAGAATACAAAATCAATGTACAAAAGTCACAAGCTTTCTTACACACCAATAACAGACAAACAGAGAGCCAAATCATGAGTGAACTCCCATTCACAATTGCTTCAAAGAGAATAAAATACCTAGGAATCCAACTTACAAAGGACGTGAAGGAACTCTTCAAGGAGAAATACAAACCACTGCTCAATGAAATAAAAGAGGATACAAACAAATGGAAGAACATTCCACGCACGTGAGTAGGAAGAAACAATATCGTGAAAATGGCCATACAGCCCAAGGTAATTTACAGATTCAATGCCATCCCCATAAAACTACCAAAGACTCTCTTCACAGAATTGGAGAAACCACTTTAAAGTTCAAATGGAAACACTCTTTGTGTACTATCTGCAAGTGGATATTTGGAGCGCTTTGAGGCCTATGGTGGAAAAAGAAATAACTTCACATAAAAACTAGACAGAAGCATTTTCAGAAACTTCTTTGTGATGTGTGCATTAAACTCTGAGAGTTGAACCTTTCTTTTTATTGAGCGGTATGGAACAACTCTTTTTGTAGTGTCTGCAAATGAATATTTGGAGCACTTTGAGACCTATGCTTTAAAAGGAAATATCTTCACATAAAAGCTAGACAGAAGCATTCTGAGAAACTTCTTTGTGATGTGTGCATTCATCGCACAGAGTTGAACCTTGCTTTTGATTGAGCAGTTTTGAAACACTCTTTTACAATCTGCTGGTGGATATTTGGGGTGCTTTGAGGTCTATGTTGGGAAAGGAAATATCTTCACATAAAAATAAACAGAAGCATTCTCAGAAACTACTTTGTGATGTGTGCATTCAACTCACAGAGTTGAACATTTCCTTTGGTTGAGGAGTTTGGAAACTCTCTTTTTGTAGTATCTGAAAATGGATATTTGGAGCACTTCAAGGAATATAACTGAAAAGGAAATATCTTCAAATAAAAACTATACAGAAGCATTCTGAGAAACTTCTTTGAGATGTGTGCATTCATCTCACAGAGGTGAACATTTCTTTTGATTGAGCAGGTTTGAAACACTGTTTTTTTAGAATCTGCACATGGATATTTGGAGCACTTTGAGCCCTGTAGTGGAAAAGGAAATATCTTCACATAAAAACTAGACAGAAGCATGCTAAGAAACTTCTTTGTGATGTGTGCCTTCATCTCACAGGATTGAACATTTCTTTCGATTGAGAAGTTTGGAAACAGTCTTTTTATAGTATCTGCAAATGGATTTTTGGAGCTCTTTGAGGCCTAAAGCTGAAAAGGAAATATCTTCACATAAAAACTAGACAGAAGTATTCTCAGAAACTTCTTTGTGATGTGTGCATTCAACTCACAGAGTTGAACCTTTCTTTTGATTGGGGAGTTTGGAAACACTCTTTTCGTAGTTTGCGCAAATGGATATTTGGAGCGCTTTGTGGTCTATATCTGATAAGGAAATATCTTCACATAAAAACTAGACAGAAACATACTGAGAAACTTCTTGGTGATGTGTGCATTCATGGCATGGAGTTGAACCTTTCTATTGATTGAGCAGTTTTCAAACACTCTTTGTGGAACCTGCAAGTGGATATTTGGAGCACTTTGAGGCCTATGGTGGAAAAGGGAATATCTTCACATAAAAACTAGACAGAAACATTCCCAGAAACTTCTTTGTGATATGTGCATTCAACTCACAGAATTGAACATTTCTTTTCATTGAGCAGTTTGGAAGCACTCTTTTTGTAGTATCTGCAAATGGATATTTGGAGTGCTTTTGAGTCCTATTGCTGAAAACGAAATATCTTCATATAAAAACTACACAGATGCATTCTGATAACTTCTTTGTGTTGTGTGCATTCTTCTTACAGAGTTGAACATTTCTTATCATTGAGCAGTTTTGAAACGTTCTTTTTGTAGAATCTGCAAGTGGATATTTGGACAGCTATGAGGCCTATAACTTGAAAGGAAATACCTTCACATGAAAGCTAGACAGAAGTATTATCACAAACTTCTTTGTGATGTGTGCATTCAACTCACAGAGTTGAACTTTTCTTTTGAGTGGTTTTGATCCACCCTTTTTGTAGTATCTACAAATGGATATTTGGGTTTCTGGAGGCCTGTGGTATTAAAGGAAATACCTTCACATAAAAACTAGACAAAGCATTCTGAGAACCTTCTTTGTGATTAGTGGATTCACCTCACAGAATTGAACTTTTCTTTTGATTGAGCAGGTTGAAAACACTCTTTTTGTACAATCTGCAAGTAGATATTTGGAGCACTTTGAGGCCTATGGTGGAAAAGGAAATATCTTCCAATAAAAACTAGAGAGATGAATTCTCAGAAACTTCTTTGTAATGTGTGCATTCAGCTGACGGAGTTGAACCTTTGTTTTGACTGAGCAGTTTGGAAACACTCTTTTTGTAGTATCTGCAAATGTATATTTGGAGCGTTTTGAGGCATATGCTGGTAAAGGAAATATTTTACATAAAAACTAGATAGTAGCATTCTCAGAAACTTCCTTGTGATGTGTGCATTCACCTCACAGAGTTGAAACTTTCTTTTGATTCAGCAGTTTAGAGACACTCTTTTTATAGAATCTGCAAGTGGATATTTGGAGCACTTTGAGTCCTATGCTGAAAAGGAAATATTTTTACATAAAAACTAGACAGAAGCATTCTGAGAAACTACTTGTTGATGTGTGCATTCATCTCACAGTGTTGAACCTTTCTTTTGCTTGAGCTGTTTTGAAACACTCTTTCTGTAGAATCTGCAAGTGGATATTTGGAGCTCTTTGAGGCCTATGGTGGAAAAGGAGATACCTTCACATAAAAACTAGACAGAAACATTCTCAGAAAATTTTTTGTGATGTGTGCATTGAACTCACAGAGTTGAACCTTGCTTTTGATTGAGCCCTTTGCAAACATTCTTCTTGCAATATCTGCAAAAGTATATTTGGAGCGCTTTGAGGCCTGTAGCTGAAAACGAAATATCTTCACAAAAAACTAGACAGAAACATTCTCAGAAACCTCTTTGTGATGAGTGCATTCACCTCACAGAGTTGAACCTTTCTTTTGATTGAGAAGTTTGGAAGCACTCTTTTTGTAGTATCTGCAAATGGATATTTGGAGCGCTTTGAGGCATATGTTGGAAAAGGAAATATCTTCACATAAAAACTACACAGAAGCATTCTGAGAAAGTTCTTTGTGCATGTGGGCATTCACTTCACAGAGTTGAACCTTTCTTTTCATTGAGCAGTTTAGAGTCACTGTTTTTGCAGAATCTGCAAGAGGATATTTGGAGTGGTTTGAGGCCTTTAGCTGAAAAGGACAAATCTTCACATGAAAACTAGACAGAAGCATTCTATGAAACTTCTTTGTGATTAGTGCATTCAATTCACAGATTTGAAACTTCCTTTTGACTGAGCAGTTTGAAAACTCTCTTTTTGTAGTATCTGAAAATGGATATTTGGAGCTCTTTGAGGCCTGTAGGTGAAAAGGAAATATCTTCACTTAAAAACTAGACAGAAGAATTCTGAGAAACTTCTTTGGATGAGTGCATTCTTCTCACAGAGTTGAACCTTTCCTTTGATTTAGCAGTTTGGAAACACTCTTTTTGTAGAATCTGCAAGTGGATATTTATACCGCAATGAGGCCTACAGCTGAAAAGGAAATATCTTCACATAAAAACCAGACAGAAACATTCTGAGAAACTTCTTTGTGATGTGTGCATTCTTCTCACAGAGTTGAATATTTCTGTTGATTGAGCAGTTTTGAAACAATATGTTTGCAGAATCTGCAAATGGATATTTGGAACGTTTGAGGCCTATGGTGGAAAAGGAAATATCTTCACATAAAAACTAGACAGAAGCATTCTCAGAAACTTCTTTGTGATGTGTGCATTCAACTCACAGAGTTGAACCTTTCTTTGATAGAGCAGTTTTGAAACATTCTTTTTGAAGAATCTGCAAGTGGATATTTGGGGCCCTTTGAGGCCTATGGTGGGAAAGGTAATATCCTCACATAAAAACTACACAGAAGCATTCTCTGAAACTTCGTTGTGATATGTGCATTCAACTCACAGAGTTGAACCTTTCTTTTGATTGAGCAGTTTGGAAAGACTCTTTATGTTGAATCTGCAAGTGGATACTTACAGCGCTTTGAGGCCTGTAGTGGAAAAGGAAATATCTTCACACAAAAACTAGACAGAGGCATTCTGAGAAACTTCACTGTGATGTGTGCATTCATCTCACAGAGTTGAAACTTTCTTTTGATTGAGCATTTTGGAAACACTCTTTTTGTAGTATCTGCAAATGGAAATTTGGAGGGCTTTGGAGCCTATGGTGGAAAAGGAAACATCTTCACATAAAAACCAGACCGAAGCATTCTGAGAAACTTCTTTGTGATGTGTGCATTCATTTCACAGAATTTAACCTTTCTTTTGATTGAGCAGTTTTGAAACCTTCTTTTTGTAGAATCCGCAAGTGGATATTTGGAGCGTTTTGAGGCCTATGGTGGAAAAGGAAATATCTTCACATGAAAACTAGACAGAAGCATTCTCTGGAACTTCTCTGTGATGTGTGTATTCAACTCAAAAAGTTGAACCTTTCTTTTGATTGAGTAGTTTGATAACACTCTTTTTGTAGTATCTGCAAATGCATATTTGGAACAGTTTGAGGCCTATAGCTCAAAAAGAAATATCTTCACATAAAACAAAAGACAGAAGCATTCTCTGAAACTTCTTTGTGATGTGTGCATTCATCTCACAGAGCTGAAACTTTCTTTTGGTTGAACAGTTTCAAAACACTCTTTTTGTAGAATCTGCAAGTGGATATTTGGAGAGCTTTGACGCCTATGGTGGAAAAGGAAATAGCTTCACATAAAAAATAGACAGAAGCATTCTCAGAAACTTCTTTGTGATATGTGCATTCAACTCACATAGTTGAACCTTTCTTTTGATTGAACAGTTTGGAAACACTCTTTTTTTAGTATCTGCAAGTGGATATTTGCAAGGCTTTGAGTCCTATACCTGAGAAGCAAATATCTTCCCTTAAAAACTAGACAGTAGCGTTCTGAGCAACTTCTTTGTGATGCGTGCATTCATCTCACACAGTTGAACCGTTCTTTTGATTCAGCAGTTTTGAAACTCTCTTTTTGTAGAATCTGCAAGTGGATATTTGGAGCACTTTGAGGCCTTTGGTGGAAAAGGAAATATCTTTACATGAAAACTGGACAGAAGCGTTCTGGGAAACTTCTTTGTGATGAGTGCATTCATCTCACAGAGTTTAACCTTTCTTTTGATTTAGCAGTTTTGAAACACTGTTTTTATAGAATCTGCAAGTGGATATTTGGAGTGCTTTGAGGACTATTTTGGAAAAGGTAATATCTTCAGATAAAGACTAGGCAGAAGGATTCTCAGAAACTTCTTTGTGATATGGGCATCCAACTCACAGAGTTGAACCTTTCTTTTGATTCAGCTGTTAGGAAAAACTCTTTTTGTAGTATCTGCAAATGGATATTTGGGGCGCTTTCAGGCACATGTTGGAAAAGGAAATATCTTCACATATCAACCAGACAGAAGCATTCTGAGAAACTTCTTTGTGATGTGTGCATTCACCTCACAGAGTTGAAACTTTGTTTGGATTGAACATTTCAGAGGCACTCTTTTCATAGAATCTGCAAGTGGATATTGCGAGCACTTTGAGGCCTATGTTGGATAAAGAAATAACTTCACATAAAAACTAGATAGAGGCATTGTCAGAGACTTCTTTGTGATGTGTGCATTAAACTCTCAGAGTTGAAACTTTCTTTGATTCAGCAGCATCGAACCACCCTTTTTGTAGTGTCTGCAAATGAATATTTGGAGAGCTTTGAGGCCTATGTTTTAAAAGGAAATATCTTCACATAAAAGCTAGACAGAAGCATTCTGAAGCATTTCTTTGTGATGTGTGCATTCGTCTCACGGAGTTGAACCTTTCTTTTCATTGAGGAGTTTTGAAACACTGTTTTACAATCTGCAAGTGGATATTTGTAGTGCTTTGTGGCCTGTGGTGGAAAAGGAAATATCTTCATATAAAACATAAACAGAAGCATTCTAAGAAACTTCTTTGTGATATGTGCATTCATCTCACATAGTTGAACATTTCTTTTGATTGAGCACTTTGGAAACACAATCTGCAAGTGGATATTTGTAGTGCTTTGAGGCCTATGGTGGAAAAGGAAATATCTTCACATAAAACATAAACAGAAGCATTCTAAGAAACTTCTTTTTGATATGTGCATTCATCTGACAGAGTTGAACATTTCTTTTGATTGAGAACTTTGGAAACACTCTTTTTACAGTATCTGCAAATGGATATTTGGAGCACTTTGAGGCCTAAAGCTGAAAAGGAAATATCTTCACATAAAAACTAGACAGAAGTATTCTCAGAAACTTCTTTGTGATGTGTGCATTCAACTCACAGAGTCGAACCTTTCTTTTGATTGGGGAGTTTGGAAACACTCTTTTTGTAGTATGTGCAAATGGATATTTGGAGCGCTTAGTGGCCTATATCTGAAAAGGAAATATCTTCACATAAAAACTAGACAGAAACATTCTGAGAAACTTCTTGGTGATGTGTGCATTCATCCCACGGAGTTGAAACTTTCTTCTGATTGAGCAGTTTTCAAACACTCTTTTTGTGGAACCTGCAAGTGCATATTCAGAGCGCTTTGAGGCCTATGGTGGAAAAGGAAATATCTTCACATAAAAACTAGATAGAAACATTCTCAGAAACTTCTTTGTGATGTGTGCATTCAACTCAGAGAATTCAACATTTGTTTTCATTGAGCACTTTGGAAGCACTTTTTTTGTAGTATCTACAAATGGATATTTGGAGCACTTTGAGGCCTGTTGCTGAAAACGAAATATCTTCACACAAAAGCAAGACAGAAGCATTCTGATAAACTTCTTTGTGTTGTGTGCATTCTTCTCACAGAGTTGATCATTTGTTATCATTGAGCAGTTTTGAAACGCTCTTTTTGCAGAATCTGCAAGTGGATATTTGGACCACTTTGAGGCCTGTAACTTAAAAGGAAATATCTTCACATAAAAACTAGACAGAAGCATTCTCTCAGAAACGTCCTTGTGATGTGTGCATTCAACTCACAGAGTTCAAACTTTCTTGTTAGCAGTTTGGAAACACTCTTTTTGTAGTATCTGCAAATGGATGTTTGGAGCTGTTTGAGGTCTATCGTTGAAATTGAATTATCTTCACATAAAAACTAGACAAAGCATTCTGAGAAAATTCTTTGTGATGTGTGCATTCATCTCACAGAGTTGAACCTTTCTTTGAGCAGTTTGGAAACACTCTTTTTGCAGAATCTGCAAGTGGATATTTGGAGGGAATTGAGGCCTATGGTGGAAAAGGAAATATCTTCACATAAAAACTAGACAGAATCATTCTGAGAAACTTCTTTGTAGTGTCTGCATTCAACTCTCAGAATTGAACCTTTCTTTGAGCAGTTTGGAAACACTCTTTTTGTAGTATCTGCAAATGGATATTTGGGGTTCTTAAGGCCTATGGTTTTAAAGGAAATATCTGCACAAAAAAACTAGACAGAAGCATTCTGAGAAACTTCTTTGTGATGAGTGCATTCATCTCACAGAATTGAACTTTTCTTTTGATTGAGTAGGTTTAAAACACTCTTTTTGTAGAATCTGCAAGTAGATATTTGGAGCCCTTTGAGACCTATGGTGGAAAAGGAAAAATCTTCACAAGAAAACTAGACAGAATCATTCTAAGAAACTTCTTTGTGATGTGTGCATTGAACTCACAGAGTTGATCTTCTGTTTGATTGAGCAGTTTGGAAACACTCGTTTTGTAGTATCTGCAAATGGATATTTGAAGTGCTTTGAGGCAAGTAGCTGAAAAGGAAATATCTTCACATAAAAACTAGACAGAAGCATTCTGAGAAACTTCTTTGTGATGTGTGCAATCACCTCACAGAGTTGAACCTTTCTTTTGATTGGGCAGTTTTGAAACACTCTTTTTGGAGAATCTGCAAGTGGATGTTTTAGGCGCTTTGAGGCCTATGGTGGAAAAGGAAATATCTTAGCATAAAAAATAGACAGAAGAATTTTGAGAAACTTCTTTGTGATGTGTGCATTCATCTCATAGATTTGAATCTTTCTTTTGATTGAGTAGTTTGTAAACACTTGTTGTAGAATCTGCAAGTGGATATTTGGAACTCTTTGTGGGGTACTGTAGAAAATGAAATAACTTCACAGAAAAACTAGAAAGAAGCATTCTCAGAAACTTCTTTGTGATGTGTTCATTCAACTCACAGAGTTGAACATTTTATTTCATTGAGCAGTTTGGAAACCCTCCTTTTGTAGAATTTGCAAGTGGATGTTTGGAGCACTTTGTGGCCTATGGTGGAAAAGGAAATATCTTCACATAAAACCTAGACAGAAGAATTCTCAGAAACTTCTTTGTGATGTGTGCATTCAACTCACAGAGTTGAAACTTTCTTTTGATTGAGAATTTCGAAACACTCTTTTTGTAGTGTCTGCAAATGGATATTCAGTGCGCTTTGAGGCCTATGTGGAGAAGGAAGTATCTTTACTTAAAAACTAGACAGAAGCATTTTGAGAAACTTCTTTGTGAGGTGTGCATTCATGTCACAGAGTTGAACCTTTCTTTTGATGGAATAGTTTGTAAACACTCTTTTTGTAAAATCTGCAAGTGGATATTTGGAGCACTTTGAGGCCTATGGTGGAAAAGAAAATATCTTCACAAAGAAACAAGACCGAAGCATTTTCAGAAACTTCTTTGTGATGTGTGCATGCAACTCACAGAGTTGAACCTTTCTTTTGATTGACCAGTTTGGAAACACTCTTTTTTAGTATCTGCAAATGGATATTTGTAGCCCTTTGAGGCCCTTAGCTGAAAAGGATATATCTTCACATAAAAACTAGACAGAAGCATTCTGAGAAACTTCTTTATGATGTTTGCATTCACCTCACAGAATTGAAATTTTGTTTTGATTGAGCAGTTTTGAAACTCTCTTTTTGTAGAATCCACAAAAGGATATTTGGGGGGCTTTGGGGCCTATGGTGGAAAAGGTAATATCTTCACATTAAAACTAGACAGAAGCATTCTCTGAAACTTCGTTGTGATGTGTGCATTCAACTCACAGAGTTGAACCTTTCTTTTGATTGAGCAGTTTGGAAACACTCTTTTTGTATTATCTGCAAATGTATATTTCAAGTGTTTTGAGGCCTATTGTTGAAAAGGAAATATCTTCAAAAAAAACTAGACAGAAGCATTCTCAGAAACTAATTTTGATGTGTGCATTCATCTCACAGGGTTGAAACTTTCTTTTAATTGAGCATATTTGAAAAACTCTTTTTGTAGAATCTACAATTGGATATTGGGAGCCCTTTGTGACCTATGAGGGAAAAGGAAATATCTTCATGTAAAAACTAGACAGAAGCATTATCAAAAACTTCCTTGTGATGTGTGCATTCAACTCACAGAGTTGAAAATTTTTTTGATTGAGCAGTTTGGAAATACTCTTTTCGTAGTATATGCAAACGGAAATCTGGAGCACTTTGAGGCCTATAATTGAAAAGGAAATCTCTTCACATAAAAACTAGACAGAAGCATTCTGATTAACTTCTTTCAGATGTGTGCATTCACCTCACAGTGCTGAAATTTTCTTTTGATTGAGCAGTATGGAAACACTCTTTTTGTAGTATCTGCAAATTTATATTTGGAGCGCTTTGAGGCCTATAGTTGAAAAGGAAATATCTTTGCATAAAAACTAGACAGAAGCATTCTGAGAAACATATTTGTGATATTCGCATTCATCTCACAGAGTTACACCTTTATTTTGATTGAGCAGTTTTTAACACTCTTTTTGTAGAATCTACACTTTGAGGCCTAAGGTGGAAAAGGAAATATCTTCACATAAAAATTAGATAGCAGCATTCTCAGAAACTTGTTTGTGATGTGTGCATTCATCTCACAGAGATGAAACTTTCTTTTGATTGAGCAGTTTGGAAACACTCTTTTTCTAGATTCTGCAAGTAGATATTTGGAGCACTTTGAAGCCTATGGTGGAAAAGGAAGTATCTTCACATAAAAATTAGACAGCAACATTCTCAGAAACATCTTTGTGATGTGTGCATTCATCTCACAGAGTTGAACGTTTCTTTTGATGGAGCAGTGTGGAAACCATCCTTTTGTAGTATCTACAGAGGCATATTTGTGAGTGGTTTAAGGCCTATGGTGAAAAGGGGAATATCTTCACATAAAAACTAGACAGAAGCATTCTGAGAAACTCCTTTGGGATGTGTACATTCATCTCAAACAGTTGAAGCTTTCTTTCGATGGAGCAGTTTGGAAACAGCCTTTTTGTAGTATCTGCAGAGGGATATTTGTGAGTGGTTTAAGGCCTATGGTGAAAAAGGAAATATCTTCACATAAGAACTAAACGGAACTTTTGGTAGAATCTGCAAGGGGATATTTGGAGGGCTTTGCGGTCTATAGTTTAAAAGGAAACATCTTCACAAAAAAACTAGACAGAAGCATTCTGAGAAACTTATTTGTGATGTGTGCATTCATCACACAGAGTTGAACCATTCCTTTGATTGAGCAGTTTGGAAACAGTCACTTTGTAGAATCCGCAAAGGGATATTTGTGAGCCCATTGAGGCCTCTGGGGAAATACGAAATATCTTCACATGAAAACTAGACAGAAACTTTCTGATGAATTTCTTTGTGATGTGTGCTTTCATCTCACAGGTTAGAAATTTTCTTTTGATTGAGCAGTTTGGAAACAGTCGTTTTGTAGAATCTGCAAAGGGATATTTGGAGCACTTTGAGGCCTATGGTGAAAAAGGAAATATCTTCCCATAAAAGCTAGGCAGAAGCATTCAGAGGAACTTCTTTGTGATGTGTGCTTTCATCTCACAGAGTTGAACCTTTCTTTTGATTGAGCAGTTTCTAAACAGCCTTTTTGAAGTATGTGCAAATTTATATTTGGAGCACATGGAGGCATGTAGTGAAAAAGGAAATATCTTCACATAAAAACTAGATAGAAGCATTCTGAGAAACTTCTTTGTGATGTGTGCATGCATCTCACACTGTTGAAGATTTCTTTTGATTCCGTAGTTTGGAAACACTCTTTTTGTAGAAACTGCAAGTGGATATTTGGAGCTTTTTTAGGTCTATAGTGGAAAAGGAAATATCTTCACACAAAAACCAGACAGAAGCATTCTAGAAACTTCTTTGTGATGTGAGGATTCATCTCACAGAGTTGAACCTTTCTTTTGGTAGAGCAGTTTGGAAAAAGTCACTTTGTAGAATCTTCAAAGGGATATTTGTGAGCCCATTGAGGACTCTGGGGGAATAGGAAATATCTTCACATAAAAATTAGACAGAAACTCTGAGAAACTTATTTGTGATGTGTGCATTCATCTCACAAGTTAAACCTTTCTTTTGATTGAGCGTTTTGGAAACTGTCTTTTTGTAGAATCTGCAAATGGATATTGGGAGCGCTTTGAGGCCTACGGTGAAAAAGGAAATATCTTCCCATAAAAACTAGGCAGAAGCATTCCGAGGAACTTCTTTGTGATGTGTGCTTTCATCTCACAGAGTGGAACCTTTGCTTTGATTAAGCAGTTTGGAAACCGTCTTTTTGAAGTATGAGCAAATGGATACTTGGAGCGCGTTGAGGCCTATGTTGAAAAAAAGAAATAGGATCACATAAAAACTAGACAGAAGCAATCTGAGAAACTTCTTTGTGAAGTGTGCATTCATCTCATAGAGCTGAATCCTTCTTTTGATTGAGCACTTTGGAAACACTCTTTTTGTAGAATCTGCAAGTGGATATTTGGAGTGCTTTGAGGCCTATGTTGGAAAAGGAAATATCTTCACATAAAAACTAGACAGAAGCATTCTCAGTAAGTTCTTTGTGACGTGTGCATTCATCTCACAGAGTTGAAACTTTCTATTGATTGAGCAGTTTTGACACAGTCTTTTTCTAGAATCTGTAAGTGGATATTTGGAGCACTTTGAGGCCTGTGGTGGTAAAGGAAATATCTTCACAAAAAAACTAGACAGAAGCGTTCTGAGAAACTTCATTCTGATGTGTGCATTCATCTCATGGTGTTGAACCTCTTGATTGAGCAGTTTGGAAACAGTCTTTTTGTAGTATCTGCAAATGGATATTTGCAGCACTTTGAGGCCTATGGTGAAAAAGTGAATATCTTCAGATGAAAACTAGATGGAAGCATTCTGAGAAACTTCTTTCTGGTGTGTGCATTCATCTCACAGAGTTGAAACTTTCCTTGTATTGAGCAGTTTTGAAACACTCTTTTTGTAGAATCTGCAAATGGATATTTGGAGCGCTTTGAGACCTATGGTGAAAAAGCAAATATCCTCACATAAAAACGAGACAGAAGCATTCTGAGAAACTTCTTTGTGATGTGCACATTAATGTCACATGGTTCAACTTTTCTTTAGATGAAGCAGTTTGGAAACAGTCTTTTTGTAGTATCTGCTGAGGGACATTTTTGAGCCATTTAAGCCTATGGTGAAAAATGAATTATCTTCACATAAAAACTAGGCAGAAGCATTCTGAGAAACTTCTTTGTGATGTGTGCATTCAACTCACAGTATTGAAAAATTCTTTTGATTGAGCAGTTTGGAAACAGTCTTTTTGTATAATCTGCAAATGGATATTTGCTGTGCTTTGGAGCCTATGGTGAAAAAGGAAATATTTTCACATAAGAACTAGACAGAAGCTTTCTGAGAAACTTCTTTGTTATGAGTGCATTAATCCACTGAGTTGAACGTTTCTTTTGATTGAGCAATTTGTAAATAGGCTTTTTGAAGAATCTGCAAATGAATATTTGGAGCACTTTGAGGCCTATGGTGAAAAAGGAAATATATTCACATAAAAACTAGACAGAAGCATTCTTTGAAACTTCTTTGTGATGTGTCCATTCATCTCACGGATTTGAAGATTTCTTTTGATGGAGCAGTGTGGAAACAGTCTTTTTGTACAATCTGCAAAGGGATATTTTTGAGCCCTTAATGGCCTATTGTGAAATATGAAATGGCTTCACATAAAAACTAGACAGAATCCTTCTGAGAAACTGCTCTAGGAGGTGAGCTTTCAATTCACAGAGTTGAACCTCTCTTTAGATTGAGCAATTTGGAAAACGTCTTTTGGTAGAACATTGAAATGGACATTTTGAGTGCTTTGAAGCCTATGGTGAAAAAGGAAATATCTTCACATAAAACTCAGACAGAAGCATTCTGAGAAACTTCTTTGTGTTGTTTGCATTCGTCTCACAGAGTTGAACCTTTCTTTTGATGGAGCAGTTTGGAAATATTCTTTTTGTAGAATCTGCAAATGGATATTTGTGAGTTGTTTAAGGTCTATGGTAAAACAGGGAATATCTTCACATAAAAACTAGACAGAAGCATTCTGAGAAACTTCTTTGTGATGTGTGCATTCATCTCTCAGAGTTGAACCTTTCTTTGTATTGTGCAGTTTGGAAACACTTTTTTTGTAAAATATGAAAGTGGATGTTTGGAGCGCTTTTAGGCCTATGAAGAAAAGGAAATATCTTCACATAAAAACTAGACAGAAGCATTCTGAGAAACTTCTTTATGATGTGTGCTTTCATCTCACCTTTCTTTTCTACCTTTCCTTTGA
Organism: Homo sapiens; assembly: GCF_000001405.40. Lineage (NCBI taxonomy): Eukaryota > Metazoa > Chordata > Mammalia > Primates > Hominidae > Homo > Homo sapiens. The sequence continues at coordinate 48,786,602 of NC_000011.10, read as the reverse complement.
TGGAGCAGTTTGGAAACAGTCTTTTTGTAGTATCTGCAGAGGGATATTTGTGAATGGTTTAAGGCCTATGGTGAAAAAGGAATTACTTTCACATAAAAACTAGACAGAAGCATTCTGAGAAACTTCTTTGTGATGTGTGCATTCATTTCACACGGTTGAAGCTTTCTTTTGATTGAGCAGTTTGGAAACCCTCTTTTTGTAGAATATGCAAATGGATATTTGGAGTGCTTTCAGGCTTATAGCGAAAAAGGAAGAATCTTCACATAAAAACTAGAGAGAAGCATTCTGAGAAACTTCTTTGGGATGTGTGCTTTCATCTCACATAGTTGAACTTTTCTTTTCATGGAGCACATTGGAAACAGTCTTTTTGTAGTATCTGCAGATGAATATTTGTGACCAGTCTAAGGCTCATGTTGAAAAAGGAAATATCTTCACATAAAAACCAGACAGAAACATTCTGAGAAACTTCTTTGTGATGCATGCATTCATCTCCCAGGGTTGAAACTTTCTTTTGATTGAGCCATTTTGAAACACTCTTTTTGTAGAAACTGCAAATGGATATTTGGAGTGCTTTCAGGCCTATGGTGAAAAAGGAAGTACCTTCACATAAAAATTAGACAGAAGCATTCTGAGAAACTTCTTTGTGATGTGTGCACTCATCTCACAGAGTTGTATCTTTCTTTTGATAGAGCAGTTTGGAAACCATCATTTTGTGCAATCTGCAAAGGGATATTTCTGAGTCCTATGAAGCCTATGGTGAAAAAGAAGTATCTTCATATAAAAACTAGACAGACGAATTCTGAGAAACTTCCTTCTGTTGCTTCAATTCGTCTCACAGAGTTGAAACTCATTTTTGCTTGAGCAGGTTGGAAACAGTCTCTTGGAAGAATCTGCCAAAGGGTAATTGGAGCGATTGAGGCTGATGTTGAAAAAGAAAATATCTTCACATAAAAAGAAGACAGAAGCATTCTGAGAAACTTCTCTGTGATGTGTGCATTGTTCTCACAGTGCTGAACCTTTCTTTTGATGGAACAGTTTGGAAACAGTCTTTTGGAGTATCTGCAGAGGGATATTTCTGAGTGGTTTAATGCCTATGGTGAAAAAAGAAATATCTTCACATAAAAACAAGACAGAAACATTCTGAGAAACTTCTTCGTGAGGTGTGCATTCATCTCACAGACTTGAAACTTTCTTTTGATTGAGCAGTTTGGAAACACTCTTTTTGTAGAATATGCAAATGGATTTTTGGAGTGATTTTAGACCTATGGTTGAAAAGGAAATACCTTCACATTAAAACTAAACAGAATCTTTCTTAGAAACTTCTTTGTGATGTGTTCTTTCATCTCACAGAGTTGAAACTTTCTTTTGATTGAGCATGTTGGAAACAGCCTTTTGTACAATCTGCAAAGGGATATTTCCAAGCCGCTTGAGACATACAGTGAAAAAGCTGTATCTTCACATAAAAACAAGACAGAAGCATTCTGAGGAACTTCTTTGTGTTGTGTCCATTCATCTCACAGAGCTGAAACTTTCTTTTTATTGAGCAGCTTGGAAACAGTCTTTTTGTAGAATCTGCAAATGGGTATTTGCTGTGCTTTGGAGCCTATGGTGAAAACGGAAATATTTTCACATAAGAACTAGAAAGAAGCTTTCTGAGAAACTACTTTGTGATGTGTACGTTAATCTCACAGTGTTGAAAGTTTCTTCTGATTGAGCAGTTTGGAAATGGGCTTTTTGAAGAATCTGCAAATGAATATTTGGAGCACTTTGAGGACTATGGTGAAAAAGGAAATATGTTCACATAAAAACTAGACAGAAGCATTCTGAGAAACTCCTCTGTGATGTGAGCATCCATCTCACAGAGTTGAAACTTACTTTTGATAGAGCAGTTTGGAAACAGGCTTTTTGTACAATCTGCAAAGGGATATTTTAGAGTCATTTGAGGCCTATGGTGAAAAAGAAGTACCTTCACATAGAAACTAGGCAGAAGCACTCTTTTAAACTTCTTTGTGATGTGTCAATTCATCTCACAGATTTGAACCTTTCTTTTGATTGAGCAGTCTGGAAGTAGTCTTTTTGTAGAATCTGCAAAGGGTTATTTTTGAGACCTTTGTGGCCTACTGTGAAATAGGAAATATCATCACATGAAAACTAGACAGAATCCTTCTGAGAAACTACTCTATGATGTGTGCTTTCATCTCACAGAGTCGAACCTCTCTTTTGATTGAGCAGTTTGGAAACACTCTTTTGGAAGAATATGCAAATGGATATTTTGAGCGCTTTGAAGCCTATGGTGAAAAAGGAAATATCTTCACATAAAAAGTAGACAGAAGCATTCTGCAAAACTTGTTTGTCGTGTGTGTATTCATCTCACAGAGTTGAACCTTTCTTCTGATGGAGCAGTTTGGAAACAGTCTTTTTGTAGAAACTGCAAATGGTTACTTGTGAGCTGTTTAAGGCATATGGTGAAAAAGGGAATATCTTCACACAAAAACTAGACAGAAGCATTCTGAGAAACTTCTTTGTGATATTTGCATTCATCTCACAGAGTTCAACTTTTCTTTTGATTCAGTAGTTTGGAAATAGTCTTATTGCACAATGTGCAAAGTGATATTTGAAGTGCTTTGGGGCCTATGGTGAAAAAGGAAATATCTTCACTTAAAAACTAGACAGAAGCATTCTGAGAAACTTCTTTGTGATGTGTCCCTTCATCTCACAGAGTTGAACCTTTCTTTTGATTGAACAGTTTGAAAACAGTCCTTTTGGTGAATCTGCAAATGGATATTTGTGAGCCCATTGAGGCCTATGGTGAAATAGGAATTATCTTCACATAAAAACTAGAAAGAAGCTTTCTGAGAAACTTCTTTGTGATGTGTGCTTTCATCTCACAGAGTTGAGCCTTTATTTTGATTGAGCAGTTAGGAAACAGTCTTTTTGTAGTGCCTGCAAGTGGATATTCAGAAGGTTTTGAGGCCTACGGTGAAAAAGGAAATATCTTCCCATAAAAACTAGACAGAAGCAATCTGAGAAACTTGTTTGTGATGTGCGCTTTCATCTCACAGAGTTGTACCTTTCCTTTGATGGAGCAGTATGGAAACAGTCTTTTTGTGGTATCTGCAGAGGGATATTTGTGAACAGTTTTAGGCCTACGGTGAAAAAGGAATTATCTTCACATAAAAACTAGACAGAACCATTCTGAGAAACGTCTTTGTGATGTGTGCATTCATCTCACACAGTTCAACCTTTCTTTTGATTGAGCAGTTTGAAAACCATCTTTTTGTATAATCTGCAAATGGATATTTGGAGCACTTTGAGGCTTATGGTGTAAAAGGAAGTATCTTCATATAAAAACTAGACAGAAGCATTCTGAGAAACTTCTTTGCAATGTGTGCATTCATCTCACAGAGTTGAACCTTTCTTTTGATGGAGCACTTTGGAAACAGTATTTTTGTAGTATCTGCAGAGGAATACTTGTGACCAGTTTTAGGCCTATGTTAAAAAAGGAAATATCTTCACATAAAAACTAGACAGAAGGATTCTCAGAAACTTCTTTGTGATCTGTGCATTCAACTCAAAGCATTGAACCTTTCTTTTGATTGAGCAATTTGGAAACACTCTTTTTGTAGTATCTGCAAATGGATATTTGTAATGCTTTAATTCCTGTAGCTCAAAAGGGAATATCTTCACATAAAAACTAGACAGAAGCTTTCTGAGAAACTTCTTTGTGATGTGTGCATTCATCTCACAGAGTTAAACCTTTCATTTGATTGAGCAGTTTGGAAACAGTCTTTTTCTAGAATGTCTAAGGGGATATTTCTGAGCGGTTTAAGGCCTACGATGAAAAAGGAAATATCTTCACATAAAAACTAGACAGAAACTTTCTGAGATACTTCTTTGTAATAAGGACATTCATCTCACAGAGCTGACCTTTCTTTTTATTGAGCAGTTTGTAAACAGTCGTATTTAAGGTCTACAAAGGGCTATTTCTGAGCGGTTTCAGGCCTATGGTGAGAAAGGGAATATCTTCCAATAAAAACCAGACAGAAGCTTTCTGAGAAACTTGTTTGTCATATATTTATTCATCCCTCAGAGTGGAAACTTTCTTTTGATTGTGCAGCTTGGAAATAGTCTTTTTGTAGAATTTGCAAAGGGATATTTGGGAGCCTTCAAGATCTATGGTGAAAAATGTAATATCTTCACATAAAAACTAGACTGAAGTTTTCTGAGGAACTTCTTTCTGATGTGGGCATTCATCTCACTGAATTGAATGTTTCTTTTGATTGACCAGTGTGGAAACAGTCTTTTTATAACATCTGCAAAGTGATATTTGAGATCCCTTTGATTCCTAAGGTGAAAAAGGAAATATCTTCACATAAAAACTGGACAGAACCTTTCTGAGTAACTTCCTTGTGATGGGGGCATTCATCTCACCGAGTTGAAACTTTCTCTTGATTGAGCAGTTTGGAAAGAGTCTTTTTGTAGAATATGCAAAGGGATATTTGGGAACCCTTTGAGGCCTCTGGTGAAAAATGGAGTATCTTCACATAAAAACTAGACTGAATCTTTCTGAGAAACTTGTTTGTGATGTGTGCATTCATCTCACTGAATTGAAACTTTCTTTTGATTGAGCAGCTTGGAAACAGTCTTTTTGTAGAATCTGCAAAGGGATATTTGATGGCGCTTTGAGGCCTATGTTAAAAAAGGAAATATCTTCATATAAAACAAAACAGAAAGTTTCTGAGAAACTTCTTTTTGAAGTGTGCATTCATCTCTCTGAGATGAACCATTCTTTTGATTGAGCAGTTTGGAAACAGACTTTTTGTAGAATCTGAATAGGGATATTTGGGATCCCTTGAGGCCCATGGTGAAAAAGGGAATATCTTCACATAAAAACTGGACAGAAGTTTTCTGAGAAATTTCTTTGTGATGTGCACATTCATCTCATGGAGTAGAATATTTCTTTTGATTGAGAAGTTTGGAAACAGTCTTTTTGTAGAATCTTCAAAGGGATATTTCTGAGCAGTTTGAGGCCTATGTTGAAAAAGGAAATATCTTCACATAAAAACTAGACAGAAGCTTTCTGAGAAACTTCTTTGTGATGCATGCATTCATCTCACAGAGTTGAAATTTCCTTTTGATTGAACAGTTTGGAAACAGTCTTTTTCTAGAATCTGCACTTTGAGGTCTATGGTGAAAAAGTGAATATCTTCACATAAAAACTAGACAGAAGCCTTCTGAGAAAATTGTTTGTGATGCATGCATTCATCTGCAAAGGGATATTTGGGAGCACTTTGAGGCCTATGGTGAAAAAGTAAATATCTTCACATAAAAACTAGACAGAAGTGTTTTGAGAAACTTCTTTGGGATGTGTGTATTCATCTCACGGAGTTGAACATTTCTTTTGATTGAGCAGTTTGGAAACAGTCTTTTTCTAGAATCTGCAAAGGGATATTTCAGAGCAGTTTGAGGCCTATGGTGAATAAGGAAATAGCTTCACATAATAACTAGACAGAAGGTTTCCATTAAACTTCTTTATGATGTGTCCATTCAAATAGCAGAGTTGAACTTTTGTTTTGATTGAGCAGTTTGGAAAAAGTCTCTTTCTAGAATCTGCAAAGGGATATTTGGGAGCCCTTTGAGGCCTAAGGTGAAAAAGGAAATATGTTCACATAAGAACTAGACAGAACCTTTCTGAGAAACTTCTTTGTGATGCATGCATTCAGCTGACAGAGTTGAACCTTTCTTTAGATTGAGCAGTTTGGAAACAGTCTTTGCAGAATCTGCAAAGGGATACTTGTATCCCATTGCAGCACATGTTGAAAAAGGGAATATCTTCACATAAGAATTTGACAGAAGCTTTCTGAGAAACTTCTTTGTGTTGCATGCATTCATTTCACAGACTTGAAACTTTATTTTGATTGGGGAGTTTGGAAACAGTCTTTTTGTAGAATCTGCAAAAGGATGTTTCTGAGCATTTTGAGGCCCATGGTGAAAACGGAAATATCTTCATATAAAAACTGAACAGAAGCTTTCTGGGTAACTTCTTTATGATGTGTGCATCCATCTCACAGAGTTGAACCCTTCTTTTGATTGAGCATTTTGGAAACAGTCTTTTTGTAGAACCTGTAAAGGGACATTTGAGGGTATTTTGCGGCCTATGGTGAAAAAGGAAATACCTTCACATAAAAATTAGACAGAAGCATTCTGAGAAACTTCTTTGAGATGTGTGCATTCATCTCACACAGTACAACCTTTCTTTTGATTTAGCAGTTTGGAATCAGCCTTTTTGTAGAATCTGCAAAGGGATATTTCTGAGCGATTTGAGGTCAATGGTGAAAAAGGAAATATCTTCAAATGAAAACTAGAAAGAAGCATTCTGGGAAACTTCTTCGTGATGGGTGCATTCATCTTACAGTGATGAACCTTTCTTTTGATTGGGCAGTTTGGAAACTGTTTTTGTAGAATCTGCAAAGGGATATTTAGGATCCCTTTGAGGCCTATTGTGAAAAAGAGAATATCTTCACATAAAAACTAGACAGAAGCTTTCTGAGAAACGTCTTTGTGATGTGTGCATTCATCTCACAGAGTTAAACCTTTCTTTTTTGAGTAGTTTTTAAACAGCCTTTTTGTAGAATCTGCAAAGGGATATTTCTGAGTGGTTTGATGCCTGCAGCGAAAAAGTAAATATCTTCATATAAAAACTAGACAGAAGCCTTCTGAGAAACTTCTTTGTGATGTGTGCTTTCATTTCACAGCGTTGAAACTTTCTTTTGATGGAGCCGTTTGGAAACAGTCTTTTTGTAGAATCTGCGAAGGGAATTTTGGGAGCCCTTTGAGGCCTATGGTGAAAAAGGAAATATCTTCACATAAAAACTAGACAGAAACATTCTGAGAAACTTCTTTGTGATGTGTACATTCATCTCACAGAGTTGGAACCCGTCTTTTTGTAGTATCTGCAAAGGGATAATTCTCAGCAATTTGATGCCTACAGTGAAAAAGGGAATATCTTCACATAAAAACTATAAAGAGGCTTTCTCAGAAAATTCTTTTGATGAGTGCATTCATCTCACAGATTTGAACCTTTCTTTTGATTGAGCTGTTTGGAAAGATTCTTTTTGTAGAATCTGCAAAGAGTTATTTGGGAGCCATTTGAGGGCTATAGAGAAAAAGGAAATATGTTCACATGAAAACTAGACAGAATCTTTCTGAGAAACTTCTTTGTGATGTGTGCATTCATCTCAGAGAGTTGAAAATTTCTTTAGATTGAGCAGTTTGGAAACACTCTTTTTGTATAATATGCACATGGATGTTTGGAGCTCTTTGAAGCCTATGGTGAAAAAGGAAATATCCTCACGTAAAAACTAAACAGAAGCAAACTAAACAGAAGCTTTCTGAGAAACATCTTTGTGATGTGCACTTTCAACTCACAGATTTGAAGCTTTCTTTTGATTCAGCAGTTTGGAAACAGAATTTTCATGTAATCTGCACAGGGATATTTGTGAGCCCCTTATGGACTATGGTGAAATAGGAAGTATCTTCACATAAAAACTAGACAGAAGCTTTCTGAGAAACTTCTTTGTGGCTCATGCATTCATCTAACAGATATGAAGCTTTCCCTTGATTGAGCACTTTGGAAACCCTCTTTCTGTAGAATCTGCAAAGGGATATTTGGTATCACTTTGAGGTCCATGGTGAAAAAGGAAATATCTTCAAATTAAAAGTGGCCAGAAGCATTCTGAGAAACTTCTTTGTGATCTTTGCATTCATCTAACGGAGCTGAAACTTTCCTTTGAGTGAGCAGTTTGAAAACGTCCTTTTGTCGAATTTGCAAAGGGATATTTCTGTGCGGTTTGAGGCCTATGGTGAAAAAGGAAATATCTTCACATAAAAACTATACTGAAGCTTTCTCAGAAACTTCTTTGTGATGTGTGCATTCATCTCACAGAATTGAACCTTTCTTTTTAAAGAGCAGGTTGTAAACAGTCTTTTTGTAGTATCTGCAAAGGGATATTTTGGAGACCTTCTAAGCCTATGGTGAAAAATGAAATATCTTCACATAAAAAATAGAAGCATTGTGAGGGACTACTTTGTGTTGTGTGCATTCCTCTCACAGAGTTGAAACTTCCTCTTCATTGAGCATTTTGGAAAGAGTCTTTTGTAGAATCTGCAAAGGGATATTTGGGAGGCCTTTGAGGCCTTTGGTGAAAACAGAAATATCTTCACCTAAAAACTAGACAGAATCCTTCTGAGAAACTTCTTTCAGGTGTGTGTATTCATGTCAGAGAGTTGAACCTTTCGTTTCATTGGGCAGTTTGGAAACATTCTTTTTATAGAATCTGCAAAGGGATATTTCTGAGCAGCTTGAGGCCTATGGTGAAAAAGGAATTCTCTTCACATAAAAAGTAGGCAGAATCTTTCTGAGAAGCTTCTTTGTGATGTGTGCTTTCATCTCATAGAGTTAAAATTTCTTTTGATTCAGCAGTTTCAAAACAGTCTTTTTATAGATTCTGCAAAGGGATATTTCTGAGCAGATTGAGGCCTATGGTGAAAAAGGAAATATTTTCATATAACATCCAGACAGAATCTTTCTGAGAAACTTCTTTTTGATGGGTGCATTTATCTCACAGAGTTGAAATTTTCTTTTGATTGAGCAGTTTGGAAACATTCTTTTTGTAGAATCTGCAAAGGGATATTTGAGGGTGCTTTGAGGCCTATGGTGAAAAAGAAATATCTTCACATAAAGACCAGACAGAAGGTTTCTGAGAAACCTCTTTGTGATGTGTGCATTCATTTCACAGACTTGAAACCTTCTTTTGATTGAGCAGTTTGGAAACATTCTTTTTGTAGAATCTGCAAAGGGATATTTGAGGGTGCTTTGAGGCCTATGGTGAAAAAGGAAATATCTTCACATAAAGACCAGAAATAAGATTCATGAGAAACTTCTTTGTGATGTGTGCATTCATCTTACAGAGATCAACATTTCTTTTGATTGAGTAGTTTGAAAACTGTCTTTTTGTAGAATCTGCAAAGGGGTATTTGGGAGCATTTTGAGGCCTATGGTGAAAAATGAAATATCTACAAATAAAAAATAGACAGAATCTGTCTCAGAACTTCTTTCTGATGCGTGCATTCATCTCACAGTGTTGAACTTTCTTTTCTTTGAACAGTTTCAAAACAGTCTTTTCACAGAATCTGCAAAGGAATATTTCTGAGGGCCTTGAGGCCTACGATGAAAAAGGAAATATCTTCACATAAAAACTAGACAGAAGCTTTCTGAGAAACTTCTTTGTGATGTCTGCATCCCTCTCACAGAATTGAACCATTCTTTTGATTGAGCAGTTTGGAAACATCTTTTTGTAGAATCTGCAAAGGGATATTTGGGAGCATTTTGAGTCCTAAGGTGAAAAAGGAAATGTCTTCACACAAAAACTAGACAGAAGCTTTTTTAGGAACTTCTTTGGGATGTGTGCATTCATCTCACAGAGTTGGACCTTACTTTTGATTGAGCAGTTTGGAAAAAGTCTTTTTGTAAAATCTGCAAAGGGATATTTGGGATCCCCTGGAGTCCTATGGTGAAAAAGGAAATATCATCACATAAAAACTAGACAGAAGCTTTATGAGAAACTTCTTCCTGATACGTACATTCATCTTACAGCATTGAACCTTTCTTTTGATTGAGCAGTTTGGAAACAGTCTTTTTCAAGAAACTGCAAAGGGATATTTGGGAGCCCTTCAAGGTCTATGGTGAAAAAGGGAATATCTTCATATAAAAACTAGACAGAAGTTTTCTGAGCAAATTCTTTGTGATGTGTGCATTCATCTCACAGAGTTGAACCTTTCCTTTGATTGAGAAATTTGGAAACAGTCTTTTTGAAAAATCTGCAAAGTGATATTTGGGATCCCTTTGAGGCCTATGGTGAAAAAGGAAATATCTTCACATAAAAAATAGAAAGAAGTTTTCTGAGAAACTTTTTTGTGATGTGTGCATTCATCTCACAGAGTTGAAACTTTCCTTTGATTGAACAGTTTGGAAACACTCTTTTTGTAGAATCTGCAAAGGGATATTTCTGAGCAGTTGAGGCCTGTGCTGAAAAAGGAAATATCTTCACATGAAAACTAGGCAGAAGTTTTCTGAGAAACTTCGTTCTGATATGTACATTCATTGCACAGAGTTGAACCTTTCCGTTGATTGAGCAGTTTCAAAACAGTCTTTTTGTAGGACCTGCAGGGGGACATTTGAGGGAGTTTTGAGGCCTTCGGTGAAAAAGGAAATATCTTCATATAAAAACTAGACAGAAGCTTTCTGAGAAACTTTTTTGTGATGTGTGCATTCATCTCACAGGGTTGAACCTTTCTTTTGGTTGAGCACTTTGGAAACAGTCTTTTTTTAGACTCTCCAAAGGGATATTTCTGAGTGGTTTGAGGCCTATGGTGAAAAAGGAAATATCTTCACATAAAAACTAGACAGTAGCTTTCTGTGAAACTTCTTTGTTATGTGTGCATTCTACTCACAGAGTAAAACTCTTCTTTTGATTGATCAGTTTAAAAATAGCCTCTTTGAAGAATCTGCAAAGGGATATTTGGGAGCCCTTTGAGGCCTAAGGTGAAAAAGGAAATACGTTCACATAAAAACTAGACAGAAGATTTCTGAGAAACTTCTTTTTGTTGCGTGCATTCCTCTCACAGATTTGAAACTTTCTTTAGATAGAGCAGTGTGGAAACAGTCATTTTGTAGAATCTGCAAAGGAATATTTCGGATCCCTTTGAGGATCATGTTGAAAAAGGGAATATCTTCACATTAGAACTAGAGAGAATTTTCTCAGAAACTTTTCTGTGATGGGTGAATTCATTTTATGGAGTTGAATCTTTTTTTGATTGAGCAGTGTGTAAACAGTCTTTTTGTAGAATCTGCATTGGGATATTTCTGAGTGGTTTGAGGCATATGGTGAAAAAGGAAATATCTTTATATAAAAACTGGACAGAAGATTTCTGAGAAACTTCTTAGTGATATGCACATTCGTCTCACATAGTTGAACCTTTCTTTTGAATAAGCAGTTTGGAAACAGTATTTTGAAGAATCTGCAAAGGGATATTCGAGGCCTGTGGTGAAAAAGGAAATATCTTCACATAAAGACTGGACAGAAGTTTTCTGAGAAACTTCTTTGCGATTTGTGCATTCATCTCACAGAGATGAACATATATTTGATTGAGCAGTTTGAAAAAAACAGTCTTTTTGTAGAATCTGAAAAGGGATATTCCAGGGCGCTTTGAGGTCTATGGTGATAAAGGAAATATCTTCACATAAAAACTAGACAGAACCTTTCTGAGAAACTTCTTTGTGATGTCTACATTCATCTCACAGAGCTGAACTTTCTTTTCATTGAGCATTTTGGAAACATTCTATTTGTAGATTCTGAAAAGGAATATTTCTGAGCAGTTTGAGGCCTGTTGTGAAAAAGGAAATATCTTCACATAAAAACTAGACAGAAGCTTTCTGAGAAACTTCTTTGTGATGTGTACATCCATCTCATGGGATTGAACCTTACCTTTCATTGAGCATTTTGGAAACACTCTTTTTGTAGAATCTGCAAAGAGATATTTGGGAGCCCTTCGAGGCCTGTGGTGAAAAAGGAAATATCTTCACGTAAAAACTAGACAGAAGTTTTCTGAGGAACTTATTTATGATGTATGCATTCATCTCAGAGTTGAATCTTCTTTTGATTGAGCAGTTTGGAAACAGTCTTTTTCTAGGATCCTCAAGGGGATACTTCTGAGCTTTTTGAGGCCTATGGTGAATAAGGAAATATCTTCACATTAAAAATAGACAGAAGCTTTCTTAGAAACTTCCTTGTGATGTGTGCATTCAAGTCACAGAGTTAAATCTTTCTTCTGACTGATCGGTTTGGAAACAGTCTTTTTGTAGAATCTACAAAGGGATATTTGGGAGCCCTTCAAGTCCTATGGTGAAAAAAGAAATATCTTCACATAAAAACTAGGCAGAAGCTTTCGGAGAAACTTCTTTGTGATGCATGCATTCATCTCACAAAGGTGACCTTTCTTTTCCTTGTGCAGTTTGGAAACTGTCTTTTTGTAGAATCTGCAAAGGAATATTTCTGAGCTGATAGAGGACTGTAGTGAAAATGCAAATATGAAGAATCGCCACACTGACTTCCACAATGGTTGAACTAGTTTACAGTCCTACCAAGAGTGTAAAAGTGTTCCTATTTCTCCACATCCTCTCCAGCACCTCTTGTTTCCTGACTTTTTAATGTTTGCCATTCTAACTGGTGTGAGATGCTATCTCATTGTGGTTTTGATTTGCATTTCTCTGATGGCCAGTGATGATGAGCATTTTTTCATGTGTCTTTTGGCTGCATAAATGTCTTCTTTTGAGAAGTGTCTGTTCATATCCTTAACCCACTTTTTGATGGGGTTGTTTGTTTTTTTCTTGTAAATTTGTTTGAGTTCATTGTAGATTCTGTATATTAGCCCTTTGTCAGATGAGTAGGTTGCAAAAATTTTCTCCCATTTTGTAGGTTGCCTGTTCACTCTGATGGTAGTTTCTTTTGCTGTGCAGAAGCACTTTAGTTTAATTAGATCCCATTTGTCAATGTTGGCTTTTGTTGCCATTGCTTTTTGTGTTTTAGACATGAAGTCCTTGCCCATGCCTATGTCCTGAATGGTAATGCCTAGGTTTTCTTCTAGGGTTTTTATGGTTTTAGGTCTAACGTTTAAGTCTTTAATCCATCTTGAATTGATTTTTGTATAAGGTGTAAGGAAGGGATCCAGTTTCAGCTTTCTACTTATGGCTAGCCAGTTTTCCCAGCGCCATTGATTAAATAGGGAATCCTTTCCCCATTGCTTGTTTTTCTCAGGTTTGTCAAAGATCAGATAGTTGTAGATATGCGGTGTTATTTCTGAGGGCTCTGTTCTGTTCCATTGATCTATATCTCTGTTTTGGTACCAGTACCATGCTGTTTTGGTTACTGTAGCCTTATAGTATAGTTTGAAGTCAGGTAGTGTGATGCCTCCAGCTTTGTTCTTTTGGCTTAGGATTGACTTGGCGATGTGGGCTCTTTTTTGGTTCCATATGAACTTTAAAGTAGTTTTTTCCAATTCTGTGAAGAAATGTATTGGTAGCTTGATGGGGATGGCATTGAATCTGTAAATTACCTTGGGCAGTATGGCCATTTTCATGATATTGATTCTTCCTACCCATGAGCATGGAATGTTCTTCCATTTATTTCTATCCTCTTTTATTTCCTTGAGCAGTGGTTTGTAGTTCTCCTTGAAGAGGTCCTTCACATCCCTTGTAAGTTGGATTCCTAGGTATTTTATTCTCTTTGAAGCAATTGTGAATGGGAGTTCACTCATGATTTGGCTCTCTGTTTGTCTGTTGTTGGTGTATAAGAATGCTTGTGATTTTTGTACATTGATTTTGTATCCTGAGACTTTACTGAAGTTGCTTATCAGCTTAAGGAGATTTTGGGCTGAGACAATGGGGTTTTCTAGATATAAAATCATGTCGTCTGCAAACAGGGACAATTTGACTTCCTCTTTTCTTAATCGAATGCCCTTTATTTCCTTCTCCTGCCTAATTGCCCTGGCCAGAACTTCCAACACTATGTTGAATAGGAGTGGTGAGAGAGGGCATCCCTGTCTTGTGCCAGTTTTCAAAGGGAATGCTTCCAGTTTTTGCCCATTCAGGATGATATTGGCTGTGGGTTTGTCATAGATAGCTCTTATTATTTTGAAATACATCCCATCAATACATAATTTATTGAGAGTTTTTAGCATGAAGTGTTGTTGAATTTTTTCAAAGGCTTTTTCTGCATCTATTGAGATAATCATGTGGTTTTTGTCTTTGGCTCTGTTTATATGCTGGATTACATTTATTGATTTGCGTATGTTAAACCAGCCTTGCATCCAGGGATGAAGCCCACTTATCATGGTGGATAAGCTTTTTGATGTGCTGCTGGATTCGCTTTGCCAGTATTTTATTGAGAATTTTTGCATCAATGTTCATCAAGGGTATTGGTCTAAAATTCTCTTTTTTCGTTGTGTCTCTGCCCAGCTTTGGTATCAGAATGATGCTGGCCTCATAAAATGAGTTAGGGAGGATTCCCTCTTTTTCTATTGATTGGAATAGTTTCAGAAGGAATGGTACGATTTGCTCCTTGTACCTCTGGTAGAATTCGGCTGTGAAGCCATCTGGTCCTGGACTCTTTTTAGTTGATAAGCTATTGATTATTGCCACAATTTCAGATCCTGTTATTGGTCTATTCAGAGACTCAACTTCTTCCTGGTTTAGTCTTGGGAGAATGTACGTGTCAAGGAATTTATCCATTTCTTCTAGATTTTCTTGTGGAAATTTCTCAGGGATCTAGAACTAGAAATACCATTTGACCCAGCCATCCCATTACTGGGTATATACCCAAAGGACTATAAATCATGCTGCTATAAAGACACATGCACACATATGTTTATTGTGGCATTATTCACAATAGCAAAGACTTGGAACCAACCCAAATGTCCAACAATGATAGACTGGATTAAGAAAATGTGGCACATATACACCATGGAATACTATGCAGCCATAAAAAATGATGAGTTCATGTCCTTTGTAGGGACATGGATGAAATTGGAAATCATCATTCTCAGTAAACTATCACAAGAACAAAAAACCAAACACCGCATATTCTCACTCATAGGTAGGAATTGAACAATGAGATCACATGGACACAGGAAGGGGAATATCACACTCTGGGGACTGTTGAGGGGTGGGGGGAGGGGGGAGGGATACGATTGGGAGATATACCTAATGCTAGATGACGAGTTAGTGGGTGCAGTGCAACAGCATGGCACATGTATACATATGTAACTAACCTGCATAATGTGAACATGTACCCTAAAACTTAGAGTATAATAATAAACTGTAAAATGGTAAAAAAAAAAAAAGAAACAAAAAGAAAACACAAATATGTTCACATAAAAACTAGAAAGATGCTTTCAGCGAAACTTCTTTGTGATGTGTGCATTCATCTCACAGAGTTCAACCTTTCTTTTGATTGAGCAGTTTGGAAACACTCTCTTTGTAGAATCTGCAAAGGGATTTATTGGAGCCCTTTGAGGACCATGGTGAAAAAGGGAATATCTTCAGATAAAAACCAGAAAGAAGATTTCTCAGAAACTTCTTTGGGATGCGTGTATTCATCTCACACCGTTGAAACTTTCTTTTGATCAGTTTGGAAACAGTCTTTTTGTAGAATCTGAAAAGGGATATTTCTGAGGGGTTTGAAGCCTATGGGGAAAAATGAAATATTTTCACATGAAAACTAGACAGAAGCTTTCTCAGTAACTTCCTTGTGATGTGTGCATTGATTTCACAGAGTTGAAACATTCCTTTGATTGAGCAGTTTGGAAAGCATCTTTTTGTGGAATCTGAAATTGGACATTTCTGAGCATTGTGAGGACTACTGTGAAAAACAAAGTATCTTCACCATCTGCAAAGGGATATTCGGAGTGCTTTGAGGCCTATGGTGAAAATGGAACTATCTTCTCATAAAACTAGACAGAAGCTTTATGAGGAAATTCTGTGTGATGTGTGCATTCATCTCACAGAGTTGAACCTTTCTTTTGATTGAGCAGTTTGGAAGCTGTCTTTTTGTAGAATATGAAAAGGGATATATCTCAGTGATTTGAGGCCTGTGGTGAAAAAGGAAATATCTTCAAATTAAAACTAGACAGAAGATTTCTGAGAAACTTATTTGTGATGTGTGCATTAATCATACAGAGTTCAAACCTTCTTTTGATTGAGCAGCTTGGAAACAGTCTTTTTGAAGAATCTGCAAAGGGATATCTGTGGGTGCTTTGAGGCCTATGACGAAAAAGGAAATATCTTCAGATAAAAACCAGACAGAAGCTTTCTGAGAAACTCCTTTTTGATGCATATATTCATCTCACAGAGGTTAACCATTCTTTTGATTAGAGAAAAAGGGAATATCTTCACATAAAAACTAGAAAGAAGCTTGCTAAGAAATTTCTTTGTGACATGTACATTCATCTAACAGAGTTGAACCTTTCTTTTCATTGAGCAGTTTGGAAACAGTCTTCCTGTAGAATATGCAAAGGGATATTTGGGAGTACTTTGAAGTCCACGTTGAAAAAGGAAATATCTTCACAACAAAACTATACAGAAGCTTTCTGAGAAACTTAATTGTTATGTGTGGATTCATCTCACAATGATGAAACTTTATTTTGACTGAACAGCTTGGAAACAGTTTTTTTATAGAATCTGCAAAGGGACATTTGGGAACCCTTTGAGGCCTACTGTGAAAAAGGAAATATCTTCACACAAAAAATAAAGAGAAGCTTTCTGACAAACTTAGTTGTGATGTGTGCATTCATCTCACAGAATTGAAACTTCCTTTTTATTGAGAAGTTTGGAAACAGTCTTTTTGTAGAATCTGCAAAGGGACATTTGAGGTCACTTTGAGGCTTATGATGAAAAAGGAAATATCTTCACATAAAAACTAGACAGAAGCCTTCTGGGAAACTTCTTTGTCATTTGTGCATTCATCTCACAGACTTGAAACTTTCATTTAATTGAGCAGTTTGGTAACAGTCTTTTTCTAGAATCTGCAAAGGTATATATCTCAGGGTATTGAGGCCTATGGTAAAAAAGGAAATATCCTCACATTAAAACTAGACAGAAGCTTTCTGAGAAACTTCTTTGTCATGCATGCATTCATCCTACAGAGCTGAAACTTTCTTTTGATTCAGCAGTTTGGAAACAGTCTTTTTCTAGAATCTCCAAGGGGATATTTCTGAGTGGTTTGAGGCCTATTGTTAAAAGGGAAATATCTTCACATAAAAACTAGACAGAATCTTTCTGAGAAACTTCTCTGTAATGAGTGCATTCATCTCAAAATTTGAACATTTCTTTTGATTGAGCAGTTTGGAAACAGTCTTATTCTAGAATGTGCAATGGATATTTCGAAGTGGTTTGAGGCCTTTGTTGAAACAGTGAATATCTTCACATAAAAACTAGACCGAAGATTTCTGAGAAACTTGTTTGTGATGCATGCATTCATCTAACAGAGTTGAAATATTCTTTTGATTGAGCAGTTTGGAAACAGACTTTTTGTAGAATCTGCAAAGAGATATTTGGGAGCCCTTTGAGGCCTATTATGTAAAAGGAAATATGTTCACACAAAAGCTAGACAGAGGCTTTCTGAGAAACTACTTTGTGATGCATGCATTCACCTCACAGAGTTGAAACTTTCTTTTGACTGAGCACTTTGGAGACAGTCTTTTTGTAGAATCTGAAAGGGGATATTTGTAATCCCCTTGAGGCCATGCTGAAAAAGGGAATATTTTCACAAAAAAACTACACAGAAGCTTTCTGACAAACTTCTCTGTGATGTGTGCATTCATCTCACAGAGTTGAACCTTTGTTTTGATTGAGCAGTTTGGAAACAATCTTTTTATAGGATCTGCAAAGGGATCTTTCTGAGTGATTTGAGGCCTATGGGGAAAAAGGAAATATCTTCACATAAAAACTAGACAGAAGCTTTCTGAGAAACTTCTTTATGATGTGTGCATTCATCTCACAGAGTTGAAACTTTCTTTTGAATGAGCAGTTTGGACACATTCTTTTTTTAGAATCTGCAAAGGAATATTTGTGAGCACTTTGAGGCCCATGGTGAAAAAGGAAATATCTTCACATAAAAACTACACAGAAGCTTTCTCAGAAACTTCTTCATGATGTGTGCATTCAACACACAGAGTTGAAACTTTCTTTTGATTGAGCAGTTTGGAAAGAGTCTTTTTGTAGAATCTACAAAGGGATATTTGGGAGCCCTTTGAGGGCAATGGTGAAAAAGAAAATATGTTCACATAAAAACTAGACAGAAGCTTTCTGGGAAACTTCTTTGTGTTGTGTGTATTCATCTCACAGAGATGAAAATTTCTTTTGATTGAGAAGCTAAGAAATAGTCTTTTTGTAGAGTCTGCAAAGGGATATTTGGGAGTGATTTGAGGCCTGTGGTGAAAAAGAAAATATGTTCACATAAAAAGTAGACGGAATCTTTCTGACAAAATATTTGAGATGCGTACATTCATCTCACAGAGTTGAACCTTTCTTTTGATTGAGCAGTTTGGAAACTGTCTCTTTGTAGAATCTGCAAAGGTATATTTCTCAGTGGTTTGAGGCCTATGGTGAAAAAGGAAATATCTTCATGTGAAAACTGGACAGAAGCACTTTGCAAAACTTCTTTGTGATGTGTATATTCACCTTACAGAGTTGTACCTTTCTTTTCATTGAGCAGTTTGGATAGTTTCTTTTTGTAGAATCTGCAAAGGGATATTTGGGAGACTTTCAAGGACTACGATGAAAAGAGCAATATCTTCACATAATAACTAGACAGAAGCTCTCTGAGAATCTTCTTTGGGATGTGTGCATTCATGTCACAGAGTTGAACCTTTCTTTTGATTGACCAGTTTTGAAACTGTCTTTTTATAAAATCTGCAAAGGGATATTTGGAATCCGTTTGTGGACTACAGTGAAAAAGCAAATATCATCACATAAAAAATAGACAGAAGCTTTCTGAGAAACTTCTTTGTGATATCTGCATTCATCTCTCAGATTTGAACCTTCCTTTGATTGAGATCTTTGGAAACATTCTTTTTGAGGTATCTGCAAAGGGATATTTCTCAGCGGTTTGAGGCCTATGGTGAAAACATAAATATCTTTATATACAAACTAGACAGAGGCTTTTTGGGAAACTTCTTGGTGATACGTCTATTCACCTGACAGAGTTGTACCTTTCTTTTCATTGAGCAGTTTGGACAGATTCTTTTTGTAGGATCTGCAAAGGGATATTTGGGAGCCCTTCAAAGACTACAGTGAAAAGGGAAATATCTTCACATAAAACCAGACAGAAGCCCTCTGAGAAACTTCTTTGTGATGTGTTCATTCATGTCACAGAGTTGAACCTTTCTTTGGATTGACCAGTTTTGAAACTGTCTTTTTATAAAATCTGCAAAGGGATATTTGGAATCCGTTTGAGGCCTGTGGTGAAAAAGCAAATATCATCACATAAAAAAAAAAGGCAGAATATTTCTGAGAAACTTCTTTGTGATATGTGCATTCATCTCTCTGATTTGAACCTTCCTTTGATTGAGCAGTTTGAAACTCTTTTTGAGGAATCTGCAAAGCGATATTTCTCAGCAGTTTGAGACCTATGGTACAAAAGTAAATATCTTCATGTGAAAACTGGAGGGAAGATTTTGAGAAAATTCTTTGTGATGTACATATTGACCTGACAGAGTTGCACCTTTCTTTTCATTGAGCAGTTTGCACAGATTCTTTTTGTAGAATCTGCAAAGGGATATTTTGGAGCCCTTCAAGGACTATGGTGAAAAGGGAAATGTCTTCACATAAAAACTAGACAGAAGCTCTCTAAGAAACTTCTTTGAGATTTGTGCATTCATGTCACAGAGATGAACCTTTCTTTTGATTGACAGGTTTTGAAACTGTCTTTTTATAAAATCTGCAAAGGGATATTTGGAATCGGTTTGAGGCCTATGGTGAAAAAGGAAGTATCATCACATAAAAACTAGACAGAAGTTTTCTGAGAAACTTCTTTGTGATATGTGCATTCGTCTCTCAGATTTGCAACTTCCTTTGATTGAGCAGTTTGGAAAGATTCTTTTTGAGGAATCTGCAAAGGGATATTTGGGAGCCCTTTGAGGACTATGGTGAAAAAGGAAATATCTTCACATAAAAACTAGACAGAAGCTTTCTCAGAAACACCTTTGTGACGTGTGCATTCATCTCACAGAGTTGAACATTTCTTTTGATTGAGCAGTTTGGAATCCGTCTTTTTCTCGAATCTGCAAAGGGATATTTCGGAGCCCTTCGAGACATATTTTGAAAAAGGAATTATCTTCACATAAAAGCTAGACAGAAATATTCTGATAAACTTTTTTTTGATGTGTGCATTCACCTCACAGAGCTGAAACTTTCTTTTGATTGAGCAGTTTGGAAACAGTCTTTTTCTACAATCTGCAAAGTGATATTTGTGGGTGCTGTCAGGCCTATGCTGAAAAAGGAAATATCTTCACATAAAAACCAGACAGAAGTTTTCTGAGGAACTTCTTTGTGATGTGTGCTTTCATCTCCCAGAGCTGAACCGTTCTTTTCATTGAGCAGTTTGGAAACCGTTTTTTGTGGAATCTACAAAAGGATATTTCTGAGTGATTTGAGGCCAATGGAGAAAAAGGAAATATCTTCAAATGAAAACTAGACAGAAGCTTTCAGAGAAACTTCTTTGTGATGGGTGCATTCACAAAGTTGAACCTTTCTTTTGATTGAGCAGTTTGTAAACTGTCTTTTAGTAGAATCTGCAAAGGGATATCTGGGATCCCTTTGTGGCCAAAGGTGAAAAAGGGAATATCTTCACATAAAAACTAGACAGAAGCTATCTGAGAAATATCTTTGTGATGTGTGCATTCATCTCACAGAGATTAATCTTTCTTTTCACTGAGCAGTCTGGAAACAGTCTTTTTACACAAAGTGCAAAGTTATCTGAGGAAATCTTGTGATTTGAGCTCTCATCTCACAGAACTGAGCCATTGTTTTGATTGAGAAGTTTGGAAACCGTTTTTTGTAGAATCTGAAAAGGGATATTTCTGAGCAATTTGAGGCCAACCGAGAAAAAAAAAGTCTTCAAATGAAAACTAGACAGAAGCATTCTGAGACTTTAAACCAACAAAGATCAAAAGAGACAAAGAAGGCCATTACATAATGGTAAAGGGATAAATTCAAGAAGAAGAGCTAATTATCCTAAGTATATATGCACCCAATACAGGGGCACCAATTCATAAAGTCAGTCCTTAGTGACCTACAAAGAGACTTAGACTACCACACAATAATAATGGGAGACTTTAACACCCCACTGTCAACATTAGACAGATCAATGTGACAGAAAGTTAACAAGGATACCCAGGAATTGAACTCAGCTCTGCACCAAGAAGACCTAATAGACATCTACAGAAATCTCCACCCCAAATCAACAGAATATACATATTTTTCAGCACCACAACACACCTAGTCCAAAATTGACCACATAGCTGGAAGTAAAGCTCTCCTCAGCAAATGTAAAAGAACAGAAATTATAACAAACTGTCTTTCAGATGACAGTGCCATCAAACTAGAACTCAGGACTAAGAAACTCACTCAAAACCACTCAACTACATGGAAACTGAACAACCTGCTCCTGAATGACTACTGGGTACATAACGAAATGAAGGCAGAAATAAAGATGTTCTTTGAAACCAATGAGAACAAAGACACAACATACCAGAATCTCTGGGACACATTCAAAGCAGTGTGTAGAGGGAAATTTATGGCACTAAATGCCCACAAGAGAAAGCAGGAAAGATCCAAAATTGACACCCTAACGTCACAATTAAAAGAACTAGAGAAGCAAGAGCAAACACATTCAAAACTAGCAGAAGACAAGAAATAACTAAAATCAGAGCAGAATTGAAGGAAATAAAGACACCAAAAACCCTTCAAAAATTAATGAATCTAGTAGCTGGCTTCTTGAAAGGATCAATAAAATTGACAGACTGCTAGCAAGAAAAATAAAGTAGAAAAGAGAGAAGAATCAAATAGATGCAATAAATAATGTTAAAGGGGATATCACCACTGATCCCACAGAAAAAAAAACTACCATCAGAGAATACTACATACACCTCTACGCAAATAAACTAGAAAATCTAGAAGAAATGGATAAATTCCTTGACACATAAAACCTCCCAATACTAAACCAGGAAGAAGTTGAGTCTCTGAATAGACCAAAAACAGGATCTGAAATTGTGGCAATAATCAACAGCTTACCAACCAAAAAGAGTCCAGGACCAGATTGATTCACAGCCGAATTCCACCAGAGGTAAAAGGAAGAACTCGTACCATTCCTTCTAAAACTATTCCATTCAATAGAAAAAGAGGGAATCCACCCTAACTCATTTTATGAGGCCAGCATCATCCCGATACCAAAGCCTGGCAGAGACACAACCAAAAAAGAGAATTTTAGACCAATATCCTTGATGAACATTGATGCAAAAATCCTCAATAAAATACTGGCAAACCGAATCCAGCAACACATCAAAAAGCTTATCCACCATGAACAAGTGGGCTTCATCCCTGGGATGCAAGCCTGGTTCAACATATGCAAATCAATAAACATAATCCAGCATATAAACAGAACCAATGACAAAAAACACATGATTATCTCAACAGATGCAGAAAAGGCCTTTGAGAAAATTCAACAACCTTCATGCTAAAAACTCCCCATAAATTAAGTATTGATGAGACGTATCTCAAAATAATAAGAGCTATCTATGACAAACCCACAGCCAATATCATACTGAACGGGCAAAAACTGGAAGCATTCCCTTTGAAAACTGGCACAAGACAGGGATGCCCTCTCTCACCACTCCTATTCAACATAGTGTTGGAAGTTCTGGCCAGGGCAATTGGGCAGGAGAAGGAAATAAATGGTATTCAATTAAGAAAAGAGGAAATCAAATTGTCCCTGTTTGCAGATGACGTGATTGTATATCTAGAAAACCCCATCATCTTAGCCCAAAATCTCCTTAAGCTGATAAGCAACTTCAGCGAAGTCACAGGACACAAAATCAATGTGCAAAAATCACAAGCATTCTTATACACCAATAACAGACAAACAGAAAGCAAAATCATGAGTGAACTCCCATTCACAATTGCTTCAAAGGAAATAAAATACTTAGGAATCCAACTTACAAGGGACAGGAAGGACCTCTTCAAGGAGAACTACAAACCACTGCTCAAGAAAATAAAATACCTAGGAATCCAACTTACAAGGGACAGGAAGGACCTCTTCAAGGAGAACTACAAACCACTGCTCAAGGAAATAAAAGAGGATACAAACAAATGGAAGAAAATTCCATGCTCATGGGTAGGAAGAATCAATATCGTGAAAATGGCCATACAGCACAAGGTAATTCATAGATTCAACACCATCCCCATCAAGCTACCAATGACTTTCTTCACAGAATTGGAAAAAACTACTTTAAAGTTCATATGGAACCAAAAAAGAGCCCACATCGCCAAGTCAATCCTAAGCCAAAAGAACAAAGTTGGAAGCATCACACTACCTGACTTCAAACTATACTATAAGGCTACAGTAACCAAAACAGCATGGTACTGATACCAAAACAGAGATATAGATCAATGGAAGAGAACAGAGCCCTCAGAAATAATGCCACAAATCTACAACAATCTGATCTTTGACAAACCTGACAAAAACAAGCAATGGGGAAAGGATTCCCTATTTAATAAAAGATGCTGGGAAAACTGGCTAGCCATATGGAGAAAGCTGAAACTGAATCCCTTCCTTACACCTTATATAAAAATTAATTCAAGATGGATTAAAGACTTAAATGTTAGACCTAAAACCATAAAACCCTAGAAGAAAACCTAGGTATTACCATTCAGGACATAGATGTCTATGGGCAAGGACTTCATGTCTAAAACACCAAAAGCAATGGCAACGAAAGCCAAAATTGACAAATGGGATCTAACTAAACTAAAGAGCTTCTGCACAGCAAAAGAAACTACCCTCAGAGTGAAAAGGCAACCTAAAAAATGGGAGAAAATTTTTGCAACCTACTCATCTGACAAAGGGCTAATAGCCAGAATCTACAATGAACTCCAACAAATTTACAAGAAAAAAAAAAACCCCATCAAAAAGTGGGTGAAGGATATGAACAGACACTTCTCAAAAGAAGACATTTATGCAGCCAAAAGACACACAAAAAAATGCTCATCATCACTGGCCATCAGAGAAATGCAAATCAAAACCACAATGAGATACTGTCTCACACCAGTTATAATGGTGATCATTAAAAAGTCAGGAAACAACAGGCGCTGGAGAGGATGTGGAGAAATAGGAATACTTTTACATGGTTGGTAGGACTCTAAACTAGTTCAACCATTGTGGAAGTCAAGGTGGCGATTCTGCAGGGTTCTGGAACTAGAAATACCATTTGATCCAGCCATCCCATTACTGGGCATATACCCAAAGGATTATAAATCATGCTGCTATAAAGACACATGCACATGTATGCTTATTGTGGCACTATTCACAATAGCAAAGACTTGGAACCAACCCAAATGTCCAACAATGATAGACTGGATTAAGAAAATGTGGCACATATACACCATGGAATACTATGCAGCCATAAAAAATGAAGAGTTCATGTCCTTTGTAGGGACATGGATGAAACCGGAAACCATCATTCTCAGCAAACTATCGCAAGGACAAAAAGCAAACACCGTATATTCTCACTCATAGGGGGGAATTGAACAATGAGAACACATTGACACAGGAAGAGGAATATCACACACAGGGGCCTGTTGTGGGGTGGGGGGAAGGGGGAGGGATAGCATTAGGAGATATACCTAATGCTAAATGAGGAGTTAATGGGTGCAGCACACCAACATGGCACAGGTATACATATGTAACTAACCTGCACATTGTGCACATGTACCCTAAAACTTCAAGTATAATAAAATTAAATTTAAAAAGATACAAAAAAAATAACTGGGCATTGTGACCCACAACTGTAGTCCTAACTACTTGGGAGGCTGAGGTTGGAGGATTACTTGAGCCGGGAATGTTGAGGCTTCACTGAGCTAAGATCTCACCACTGCCCTTCAGCCTGGGCAAGAGAGGCACATCTCTGGTTTAGAACTGCTTGGTGACAATTTTTTTTCAAGCTCCTATTTCCTTCTCCTATGTGATTACCAATGCTGTTTTATCCTCCTACTGAAATGCTTTCCACATTTTGCTGTTATCTTCAAAACTCCTGTTGTCCTTTCCAGGTCAAGCTCAGAGGCCAAGTCAAGCTCAGAGGCCATCTTTGTTGTTAGCCTTTCATGGTCTTTTCAGAATGAAACTCTTCTGGTTTATTCCTTGTGAGCTTTTCTAGCCTTTCAGTGATAATTATAATATGACCCCTGTGTGGGGATAATTTATACATGCATCCCACTCTTTGGGCCGTAATCACTTTGAATTCAGAAATCATACCTCATACAGAAAAAATGATCAATAAAATTTTGTTGAATAAAAAAACTACAAAAAACAGTCTTTTTGTAGAATCTGAAAAGGGATATTTTGGAGCCCTTCGAGGTCTGTGGTGAAAAAGGAAACACCTTCACATAAAAACTAGACAGAAATTTTCTGAGAAAATCTTCTGTTATGTGGGTATTCATGTCGCAGATTTGAAACTTTCTTTTAATTGAGCAGTTTGGATACAGTCTTTTTGTAGAATCTGCAAAGGGATACTTGGGAGCCCTTCGAGGCCTATGGTGAAAAAGGAAATATCTTCACATAAAAACTAGACAGAAGCTTTTCGAGGAACTTCTGTGTGATGTGTGCATTCATCTCACAGAATTGAAATTTTCTTTTGATTGAGCAGTTTGGAAACAGTCTTTTTGTAGAATCTGCAAAGGGACAATTGAGGTCACCTTGAGGCCTATCGTGAAAAAGGAAATATCTTCACATAAAAACTAGACAGAAGCTTCCTCAGAAACTTCTTTATGATGTGTGTATTCATCTGACACACTTGAACCTTTCTTTGATTGAGGAGTTTGGAAATAGTATTTTTCTAGAATCTGCAAGGGGATATTTCTAAGCCTTTTGAGGCCTGTGGTGAAAAAGGAAATATCTTCACATAAAAACTAGAAAGAAGCTTTCTGAGAAACTTCTTGTGATGTGTGCATTCATCTCACAGTGTTGAAACTTTCTTTTGATTGAGAAGTTTGGAAACAGTGTTTTGTAGAATCTTCAAATGGATATTTGGGAGCCCTTCAATTCCTATCATGGAAAAGGAAATATCTTCATACAAAAAGTAGACAGAAGTTTTCCGAGGAACTTCTTTTTGATGTGTGCATCCATTTCACAGAGTTGAACCCTTCTTTTGATTCAGCAGTTTGGAAACAGTCTTTTTGTAAAATCTGCAAAGGGATATTTGGGATCCCTTTGAGGCCCATGGTAAAAAAGAAAATATCTTCAAATGAAAATTAGACAGAAGCTTTCTGAGAAACGTCTTTGTGATGTGTGCATTCATCTCAGAGAGATGAAAATTTCTTTTGATTGAGCAGTTTGGAAACAATCTTTTTGTAGAGTCTGCAAATGGATATTTCTAAGCCGTTTGAGGCCTATGATGGAAAAGGAAATATCTTCACATAAAAACTAGAAAGAAGTTTTCTGAGAAACTTATTTGTGATGTGTGCATTTATCTCACAGAGTTGAACTTTTCTTTTGATAGAGCAGTTTGGAAACACTCTTTTTGTAGAATCTGTAAAGGGATATTTCTGAGCAGTTTGAGGCCAATGGTGAAAAAGGAAATGTCTTCACATAAAAATTAGATAGAAGCTTTCCGAGAAACTTCTTTGTGATAAGTACATTCGTCTCACAGAGTTGAACTTTTCTTTTGATAGAGCAACTTGGAAAGAGTCCTCTTGTGCAATCTGCAATGGATATCTGGGGGCGCTTGGAGGCCTATGGTGAAAAAGAAAATATCTCCATATAAAAACTAGACAGAAGCTTTCTGAGAAACTTCTATGTGATATGTGCATTCATCCCACAGATTTGAAACTTTCTTTTGAATGAGCAGTTTGGAAACAGTCTTTTTGTATAATCTACAAAGGGATATTTGGGAGCTCTTTGAAGCCTGTGGTGAAAAAGGAATTATCTTTACATAAAAACTAGACAGAAACTTTCTGAGCAACTTTCCTGTGACGTGTGCATTCATCTCACAGAGTTGAACAGTTTGGAAACAGTCTTATCATAGAATCTGCAAAGGGATACTTGAGAGCCCTTCGAGGCCAATGGTGAAAAAGGAAATATCTTCACATAAAAACTAGACAGAAGCTTTCTGAGAAACTTCTTTGTGATGTGTGCATTCATCTCACAGAGTTGAAGGTTCCTTTGGAGTGAGTAGTATGGAAACAATCTTTTTGTAGAATATGCAAAGCGATATTTCTGAGTGGTTTGAGGCCTATGGTGAAAAAGGAATTATCTTCACATAAAAACTAGACAGAAGCTTTCTGAAAAACTTCTTTGTGATGTGTGCATTCATTTCACAGAGTTGAAAATTTCTTTTCCTTGAGCAGCTTGGAAACAGTCTTTTTGTAGAATCTGCAACGTGATATTTCAGGGTGCTTTGAAGACTATCCTGAAAAAGGAAATATGTTCACATAAAAACTAGACAGAAGTTTCCTGAGAAACCCTTTTGTGATGTGTGCAGTCACTTCACATGTTTGAAGCTTTCTTTTGATTGAGCAGTTTAGAAACAGTCCTTTTGTAGAATCTGCAAAGGGATATTTGTAATCCTTTGAGGCCAATGGTGAAAAAGAGAATATCTTCACATAAAAACTAGATAGAAGCTTTCTGAGAAGCTTCTTTGTCATGTGTGCATTCATCTCACAGAGTTGAACATTTCTTTTGATGGTACACTTTGGAAACAGTCTTTTTGTAGAATCTGCAAAGGGATATTTTTGAGCACTTTGAGGCCTATTGTGAAAAAGGAAATATCTTCATATAAAAACTAGTCAGATGCTGTCTGTGAAACTTCTTTATGATGTATGCATTCATCTCACAGAGTTAAAACTTTCTTTTGATTGAGCAGTTTGGAAAGAATCTTTTTGTAGAGTCTACAAAGGGATATTTGGAACCCTTTGAGGTATATGGTGAAAAAGGAAATATCTTCACATAAAAACTAGACAGAAGCTTTCTGAGAAACTACTTTGGATTGTGTGCATTCATTTCACAAAGTTGAACCTTTCTTTTGATTGAGCAGCTTGGAAAAGTCTTTTGTAAAATCTGCAAAGGGATATTTGGGATCCGTTTGAGGCTTATGGTAAAAAAAGAAACATCTTCACATAAAAACTAGACAGAAGCATTCTGAGAAACTTCTTTGT
The DNA here is from genome assembly GCF_000001405.40 of Homo sapiens. Classification (NCBI taxonomy): domain Eukaryota; kingdom Metazoa; phylum Chordata; class Mammalia; order Primates; family Hominidae; genus Homo; species Homo sapiens. The sequence goes on along the minus strand of NC_000011.10, from coordinate 48,758,566 downwards.
GATGCACGCATTCATCTCACAGAATTGAATCTTTCTTTTGATTTACCAGTTTTGAAACAGTCTATATGTAGTATCTGCAAAGGGATATTACGCAGCGGATTCAGGCCTATGGTGAAAAAGGAAATATCTTCACATAAAAACTAGGTAGAAGCTTTCTGAGAAACTAATTTGTGACGTTTCCGTTCATCTCACAGAGTTGAAACTTTCTTTTGATTGAGCAGCTTGGAAACATTCTTTTTGTACAATCTGCAATGGGATATTTTGGAACCCTTGGAGGCCTACTGTGAAAAAGGAAATATCTTCACATAAAAAGTAGACAGAACCTTTCTGAGAATCTTGTTTGTAGTGTGTGCATTCATCTCACAGTGTCAAACCTTTTTTTGATTGAACAGTTTTTGAAACAGTATTTTTCTGGGATCTGCAAAGTGATATTTGAGGGTGCTTTGAGGCCTATGGTGAAAAAGGAAATACCTTCACACAAAAACTAGACAGAAGCTTTCTGAGAAACTGCATTGTGATGCATGCATTCATCTCACAGTGTTGACCTTTTCTTTTGGTTGAGCAGTTAGGAAACATTCTTTTTGCAGAATCTGCAAAGGGGATATTTCTGAGCTGTTTGAGGCCTATGATGAAAAAGTAAATATCTTCATATAAAAACTAGAGAGATGCGTTCTGAGAAACTTCTTTATGATGTGTTCATTCATCTCACAGAGTTGAACATTTCTTTTGATAGAGCAGTTAGGAGACAGTCGTTTTGTAGAATCTGCAAAGTGGTATTTGGGAGCCCTTTGAGATCTATGGTGAAAAAGGAAATATCTTCACATAAAAAGTAGACAGAAGCTTTCTGAGAATCTTCTTTGTGATGTGTGCATTCATCACACAGTGTTGAACCTTTCTTTTGATTGAAAAAGTTGGAAATATTCTTTTTCTAGAATCTGCAAAGGGATATTTGGGACCCCTTTGAGGCCTACTTTGAAAAAGGAGTTATCTTCACTTTAAAACTAGACAGAAATTTTCTGAGATACTCTTTTGTGATATGCGCATTCATCTCGCAGGGATGAATGTTTCTTTTGATTGAACAGTTTGGAAACAGTCTTTTTCTAGAATCCACAAAGAGATATTTCTGAATGGTTTGAGGCTTACAGTGAAAATGGAAATATTTTCACATAAAAACTAGACAGAAGCTTTCTGAGAAACTTCTTTGTGATGATTGCAGTCATCTCACAGTGTTGAAACTTTCTTTTGATTGAACATTTTGGCTACAGTCTTTTGGTAGAATATGCAAAGGGTTACTTCTGAGCAGTCTGAGGCCTATGGTGAAAAAGAAAATATCTTTGCAAAAAACTAGACAGAAAATTTCTGAGAAACTTCTGTCTGATGTGTGCATTCATTTCACAGAGTTGAACCTTTCCTTTTAATTGAGCAGTTTGGAAACAGTCTTTTTGTAGTATCTGCAAAGGATATTTGGGAGCCCTTCGAATCCTGTGGTGAAAAAGGAAATATCTTCACATAAAAACTACAAAGAAGCTTTCTGAGGAACTTCTTTGTGATGTGTGCATTCATCTCACAGAGTTCAATCTTCTTTTTGATTGGGCTGTTTAGAAAGATTCTTTCTGTGGAATTGGTAAAGTGATATTTCAGGGGGCTTTGAGGGCTATGGTGAAAAAGGAAATATCTTCAAATAAAAACTATACAGACACTCTCTGAGAAACTTCTTTGTGATGTCTTCATTCAAATCACAGAGTTGAACTTTTCTTTTGATTGAGCAGTTTGGAAACAGTCTTTTTCAAGAATCTGCAAAGGGATATTAGGGGACCCTTTTAGGCCTACGTTGAAAAAGGGAATATCTTCACATAAAAACTGGACAGAAGCTTTCTGAGAAACTTCTTTGTGATGTGTGCATTCATCTCAAAGAGTTGAACTTTTCTTTTCATTGAGCAGTTTGGAAACAGTCATTTCTAGAATCAGCAATGTGATATTCCGGAGCCCTTTGAGGCCTATTTTGAAAAAGAACTTATCTTCACATAAAAACTAGACAAAATTTTTCTGAGAAACTCTTTTATGATGTGCACATTCATCTCAAAGAGTTGAACCTTTCTTTTGATTGAGCAGTTTGGAAACAGTCTTTTTGTAGAATCTGCAAATTGATAATTGGGAGCCCTTTGAGGCCTATGGTGAAAAAGGAAATACCTTCACATAAAAACTACACAGAAGATTTCTGAGTAACTTCTGTGTGATGTGTGCATTCATCTCACAGAGTTGAACTTTTCTTTTGCTTGATCAGTTTGGAAACAGTCTTTTTGTAGAAACCGCAAGGTGATATTTGGAGCCCTTCTAGGCCTATGGTGAAAAAGGAAATATCTTCACATAGAAACTAGACAGGAGTTTTCTGAAGAACTTCTTTGTGATGTGTGCATTCATCTAACAGAGTTGAACATATATGTTGATTGAGCACTTTTGAAACAGTCTTTTTCTACAATATGCAAAGGGATATTTGGGACCCCTTTTAGGTCCCCATTGAAAAAGGAGTTATCTTCACTTTAAAACTAGACAGAAATTTGCTGAGATGCTCTTTTGTGATGTTTGCATTCATCTTGCAGAGCTGGCCCTTTCTTTCAGTTGAGCAGTTTGGATACAGTCTTTTTCTAGAATCTGCAAAGGGATATTTCTGAGTGGTTTGAGGCATATGGTGAAAAAGGAAATATCTTCACATAAAAACTAGACAGAAGCATTCTGAGAAACTGCTTTCTGATGGGTGCATTCATCTCAGAGTAGAATCTTTTGATTGAGCAGTTTGGAAACAGTCTCTTGGTAGAATCTGCAAAGCGATATTTCTGAGCCATTTGAGGCCTATTGTGAAAAACGAAGTATCTTTGCAAAAAACTAGAAAGAATCTTTCTGAGAATCTTCTTTGTGAAGTGTGCATTCTTCTCACAGAGTTGAAACTTTCTTTTAATTCAGCAATTTGGAAACTGTCTTTTTTTAGAATCTGCAAAGGATATTTGGGAGCCCTTAGAGTCCTATGGTGAAAAAGGAAATATCTTCACATAAAAACTAGACAGAACCTTTCTGAGGAACATCTTTGTGATATGTGCATTCATATCACAGATTTGAACCTTTTTTTTATTGAGTAGTTTGGAAACAGTCTTTTTGTAGAATCTGCAAAAGATATTTGGGAGCCCTTCAAGTCCTATGGTGAAAAAGGAAATAACTATGCATAAAAAATTGACAGAAGTTTTCTGAGAAACTTCTTTGTGATGTGTGCATTCAACTTGCAGAGTTGAAAATTTCTTTTGATTGTGCAGTTTGGAAACCATCTTTTTCTTGAATTTGGAAAGGGATATTAGGGATCCCTTTGAGGCCTACTGTGAAAAACAGACAGAAACCAGACAGAAGCTTTCTGAAAAACATCTTTGTGATATATGAATTCACCTCACAGAGTTTAACCTTTCTTTTGATGGAGCAGTTTTGAAACAGTATTTTTCTAGAATCTGCAAAGGGATATTTGGGAGCCCTTTGAGGCCTATATTGAAAAAGTAATTATCTTCATATAAAAACTAGACAGAAACTTGATGAGAAACTCTTTTGTGATGTGTGAATCCATATCACAGAGTTGAAACTTTCCTTTGATTGAGTGGTTTGGAGACATTCTTTTTGTGGAATTTGCATGGTGATATTAGAGGGATCTTTGAGGCCTATGGTGAAAAAGGAAAGATCTTCACATAAAAACTAGACAGAATCTTTCTGAGAAACTTCTTTGTGATGTGTGCATACATTTCGTGGAATTGACACTTTCTTTTGATGGAGCAGTTTGGACATAGTCTTTTTGTAGAATCTGCAAAGGGATATTTTGGAGCAGTTTGAGGACTATGATGAAACAGGAAATATCTTCACATAAAAACTAGACCAAAGTTTTCTGAGAAACTTCTTTGTGATGTGTGCATTCATCTCACATAGTTGAACCTTTTTTTCATTGAGTACTTTGGAAACATTCTTTTTGTAGAATCTACACAGAGATATTTGGAAGCTCTTTGAGGCCTATGGTGAAAAAAGGAATATCTTCATATAAAAATTAGAATGAAATTTTCTCAGAAACTTCTTTGGGATGTGTGCATTAATCTCACAGATTTGAACATTTCCTTTGATTGAGCTGCTTGGAAACCATCTTTTTGTAGAATCTGCAAATGGATATTTCAGAGCGGATTGTGGCATACTTTGAAAAAGGAAATATCTTCACATAGAAACTAGACAGAAGCTTCCTGAGAAACTTCCCAGTGATGTGAGCATTCATATCACACAGTTGAACCTTTCTTTTCATTGAAAAGTTTGGAAACAGTCTTTTCTGGATAATCTTCAAAGCGATATTTCTGAGTGGTTTGAGGCCTAATGTGAAAAAAAGGATATAGCTTCACATAAAAACTAGACAGAAGCTTTCTGAGAAACTTCTTTGTGATGGGTGCATTCATCTCACACATTTGAACCATTCTTTTGATTGAGCAGTTTGGAAACCGTCTTTTTGTAGAATCTGCAAAGGGATATTTCTGAGTGGATTGAGGCCTATGGTGAAAAAGGAAGTACTTTCACATAAAAACTAGACAAAAGCATTCTGAGTAACTTCTTTGTGATGTGTGCATTCATCTCACAGAGTTGAACCTTTCTTTTCATAGAGCAGTTTGGAAACAGTCTTTTGTAGAATCTGCAAAAGGATATTTAGTATCCCTTTGATGCCTGTGGTGAAAAAGGAAATATCTTCACATAAAAACTAGACAGAAGCATTCTGAGAAACTCCTTGTTAATGTGTGCATTCATCTCACAGAGTTGAACAGATCTTTTGATTGAGCAGTTCAGAAACTATCTTTATGTAGAATCTGCAAAGGGTTATATCTGAGCGATTTGAGGCCTATGGTGAAAAAGGAAATATCTTCAAATGAAAACTTCACAGAAGCTTTCTGAGAAACTTCTTTGTGATGTGTGCATTCATCTCACACAGTTGAATCTTTCTTTCAATAGAGCAGTTTGGAAACAGTCTTTTTGTAGAATCTGCAAAGGAATATTTGGGAGCACTTTGAGGTCTATGGTGAAAATGGAAATATCTTCACATAAAAACCAGACAGATGCTTTCTCAGAAACTTCTTTGAGATGTGTGCATTCATCTCACAGAGTAGAAACTTTCTTTCAATTGAGCAGTTTGGAAACAGTATTTTTGTAGAATCTGCAAAGTGATATTTGGGAGCCCTTTGAGACCTATGGTGAATAAGGAAATATCTTCACTTGAAAACTAGAGAGAAGCTTTCTGAGAAACATTTTTGTGATGCCTGCATTCATCACACATAGTTGAAACTTTCTTTTGATTGAGCAGTTTGGAAACAGTCTTTTTGTAGAATCTGCAGTGGGATATTTGGGAGTCCCTTGAGGCCTACGGTGAAAAAGGAAATATCTTCACATAAAAACTAGACAGAAGCTTTCTCATAAACTTCTTTGTGATGTGAGCTTTCACCTCACAGTGTTAAATATTTCTTTTGATTGGAATAATTTCTTTGCTAGAATCTGCAAAGGGATATTTGGGAGCCCTTTGAGGACTATTTTGAAAAGGATTTATCTTCACATAAAAACTAAACAGAAATTATCTAGGATACCATTTTGTGATGTGTGCATTCTCACAGAGTTGAACCTTTCTTTTGATTGAGCAGGTTGGAAACAATCTTTTGTGGAATCTGCAAAGTGATATTTCACGTTGCTTTGAGGCCTATGGTGAAAAAGGAATTATCTTCATATGAAAACTAGACAGAAGCTTTCCGAAAAACTTCTTTGTGATGCATGCATTCACCTCACAGATTTGAAACTTTCTTCTGATTGAGAAGTTTGGAAACAGTCTTTTTGTAGAATCTGCAAAGGGGTATTTCTGAGCAGTTTTAGGAATATATTGATAAAGGAAATATCTTCACAAAAACCCAGATAGAAGCTTTCTGAGAAACTTCTTTGTGATGCGTGCATTTATCTCACACAGTGTAAACTGTCTTTTGATTAAACAGTTTGGACACAGTCTTTTTGTAGAATCTGCAAAGGGATATGTGGGAGCCCTTTGAGGCCTATGGTGAAAAAGGAAATATCTTCACATAAAAAAACAGATAGAAACATTCTGAGGATCTACTTTTTGATGTGTACATTCATCTCACAGAGTTGAATTTTTCGTTTGATTGAGCAGTTTGGAAACTGTCCTTTTGTAAAATCTGCAAAAGGATATTTGAGAGCTCTTTGAGGCCTATGGTGAAAAAGGAAGTATCTTCACAAAAACATAGACAGAAGCTTTCTGAGAAACTTCTTTCTGATGTGTGCATTCATCTCATGGAGTTGAACCTTTCTTTTGATTGAGCAGTTTGGAAACAGTCTTTTCATAGAATCTGCAAAGGGATATTTGGGAGCCCTTCATGGCCTATGGTGAAAAAGGAAATATCTTCATATAAAAACTAGACAGAAGCTTTCTGAGAAACTTCTTTCTGATGTGTGCATTCATCTCATGGAGTTGAAACTTTCTTTTGATTGAGCAGTTTGGAAACAGTCTTTTCATAGAATCTGCAAAGGGATATTTGGGAGCCCTTCGTGGCCTATGGTGAAAAAGGAAATATCTTCACATAAAAACAAGACAGAAGCTTTCTGAGGAACTTCTTTGTGATGTGTGCATTCAACTCACAGAGGTGAAAGTTTCTTTTGATTGAGCAGTTTGGAAACAGTCTTTTGTAGAAACTGCAAAGAGATATTTGTGAGACCTTTGAAGTTTATGGTAGAAAAGCAAATATCTTCACATGAAAACTAGACAGAAGCTTTCTGAGAAACTTCTTTGTGATGTGTGCATTCATCTCACAGAGTTAAATTTTCTTTCAATTGAACAATTTTGAAAGAGTCTTTTTGTAGAAACTGCAATGTTATATTTCTTAGCAGTTGTGGCCTATGGTGAAAAAAGAAATATCTTCATATAAAAACCAGACAGAAGCTTTCTGAGAAACTTCCTTGTGTTTTGTGCATTGATTTCAAAGAGTTGAACCATTCTTTTGATTGAGCAGTTTGGAAACAGTCTTTTTGTAAAATATGGTAAGGGATATTTTTGAGGCCTTTGAGGCCTATGGTGAATAAGGAAATAACTTCACATAAAAACTAGAAAGAAGCTTTCTGAGAATGTTCTTTGTGATGCATGCATTTAATGCACAGAGCTGAACTTTTCTTAGGATTGAGAAGTTTTGAAACAGTCTTTTTATAGAAACTGCAAAGAGATATTTCTGAGTGATTTGAGGCCTATGGTGAAAAAGAAATATCTTCACATAAATACAAGACAGAAGCTTTCTCAAAAACTTCCTTGTGATGTGTGCATTCAACTCACAGAGTTAAAACTTTCTATCAGTTGAGCAGCTTGGAAACAGTCCTTTTGTGGAAACTACAATGGGATATTTGTGAGCCACTTGAGGCCTATGGTGAAAAAGGAAATAACTTTATATAAATACTAAGCATAAGCTTTCAGAGAAACTTCTTTGTGATGTGTGCATTCATCTCAGAGAACTGAAACTTTCTTTTGACTGAGCAGTTTGGAAATGGTCTTTTTGTAGTATCTGCAAAGGGATATTTGTGAGCAGTTTAATGACTATGGTGAAAAATGACATATCTTCACATAAAAATTAGACAGAAGATTTCTGAAAAACTGTTTTGTGATGTGTGCATTCTTCTCACAGAGTTGAAAATTTCTTTTGATTAAGGAGTTTGGAAGCAGTCTTTTTGTAGAATCTGCAAAGGGATATTTTTGAGTACTTTCAGGCCTATGGTGAAAAAGGAAATGTCTTCACATAAAAACTAGTCAGAAGTGGGGGAGGAGCCAAGATGGCCAAATAGGAACAGCTCTGGTCTACAGCTCCCAGCATAAGCGATGCAGAAGACGGGTGATTTCTGCATTTCCATCTGAGGTACCGGGTTCATCTCACTAGGGAGTGCCAGACAGTGGGTGCAGGTCAGTGGGTGCATGCACCATGCGTGAGCTGAAGCAGGGCAAGGCATTGCCTCACTCAGGAAGTGCAAGGAGTCAGGGAGTTCCCTTTCTGAGTCAAAGAAAGGGGTGACGGATGGCACCTGGAAAATCGGGTCATTCCCACCCAAATACTGTGCTTTTCCAACGGGCTGAAAAAACGGTGCACCACGAGATTATATCCCGCACCTGGCTCAGAGGGTCCTACACCCACGGAGTCTCCCTGATTGCTAACACAGCAGTCTGAGATCAAACCGCAAGGCAGCAGCGAGGCTGGGGGAGGGGCACCCACCACTGCCCAGGCTTGCTTAGGTAAACAAAGCAGCCAGGAATCTCGAACAGGGTGGAGCCCACCACAGCTCAAGGAGGCCTGCCTGCCTCTGTAGGCTCCACCTCTGGGGGCAGGGCACAGACAAACAAAAAGACAGCAGTAAACTCTGCAGACTTAAATGTCCCTGTCTGACAGATTTGAAGAGAGTGGTGGTTCTCCCATCACGCAGCTGGAGATCTGAGAATGAGCAGACTGCCTCCTCAAGTGGGTCCCTGACCCCCGAGCAGCCTAACTGGGAGGCACCCCCAGCAGGGGGACACTGACACCTCACATGGCAGGGTATTCCCACAGACCTGCAGCTGAGGGTCCTGTCCGTTAGAAGGAAAACTAACAAACAGAAAGGACATCCACAGCAAAAACCCATCTGTACATCACCATCATCAAAGACCAAAAGTAGATAAAACCACAAAGATGGGGAAAAAACAGAATAGAAAAACTGGAAACTCTAAAAAGCAGAGCATCTCTCCTCCTCCAAAGGAACGCAGTTCCTCACCAGCAACGGAACAAAGCTGGACAGAGAATGACTTTGACGAGCTGAGAGAAGAAGGCTTCAGACGATCAAATTACTCTGAGCTACGGGAGGACATTCAAACCAAAGGCAAAGAAGTTGAAAACTTTGAAAAAAGTTTAGAAGAATGTATAACTAGAATAACCAATACAGAGAAGTGCTTAAAGGAGCTGATGGAGCTGAAAATCAAGGCACAAGAACCACGTGATGAATGCAGAAGCCTCAGGACCAATGTGATCAACTGGAAGAAAGGGTATCAGCAATGGAAGATGAAATGAATGAAATGAAGTGAGAAGGGAAGTTTAGAGAAAAAAGAATAAAAAGAAATGAGCAAAGCCTCCAAGAAATATGGGACTATGTGAAAAGACCAAATCTACGTCTGATTGGTGTACCTGAAAGTGACGGGGAGAATGGAACCAAGTTGGAAAACACTCTGCAGGATATTATCCAGGAGAACTTCCCCAATCCAGCAAGGCAGGCCAACGTTCAGATTCAGGAAATATAGAGAATGCTACAAAGATACTCCTCGAGAAGAGCAACTCCAAGACATATAATTGTCAGATTCACCAAAGTTGAAATGAAAGAAAAAATGTTAAGGGCAGCCAGAGAGAAAGGTTGGGTTACCCTCAAAGGGAAGCCCATGAGACTAACAGCAGATCTCTCAGCAGAAACCCTACAAGCCAGAAGAGAGTGGGGGCCAATATTCAACATTCTTAAAGAAAAGAATTTTTGACCCAGAATTTCATATCCAGCCAAACTAAGCTTCATAAGTGAAGGAGAAATAAAATACTTTACAGACAAGCAAATGCTGAGAGATTTTGTAACCACCAGGCCTGCCCTAAAAGAGTTCCTGAAGGAAGTGCTAAACATGGAAAGGAACAACCAGTACCAGCCACTGCAAAATCACGCCAAAATGTAAAGACCATCAAGACTAGGAAGAAACTGCATCGACTAACGAGCAAAATAACCAGCTAACATCATAATGACATGATCAAATTCACACATAACAATATTAACTTTAAATGTAAATGGACTAAATGCTCCAATTAAAAGACACAGACTGCCAAATTGGATAAAGAGTCAAGACCCAACAGTGTGCTGTACTGAGGAAACCCATCTCATGTGCAGAGACACACATAGGCTCAAAATAAAGGGATGGAGTAAGATCTACCAAGGAAATGGAAAACAAAAAAACGCAGGGGTTCCAATCCTAGTCTCTGATAAAACAGACTTTAAACCAACAAAGATCAAAAGAGACAAAGAAGGCCATTACATAATGGTAAAGGGATCAATTCAACAAGAAGAGCTAACTATCCTAAATATATATGCACCCAATACAGGAGCACCAAGATTCATAAAGCAAGTCCTGAGTGACCAACAAAGAGAATTAGACTCCCACACATTAATAATGGGAGACTTTAACACCTCACTGTCAACATTAGACAGATCAACGAGACAGAAAGTCAACAAGGATACCCAGGAATTGAACTCAGCTCTGCACCAAGTGGACCTAATACACATCTACAGAACTCTCCACCCTAAATCAAGAGAATATACATTTTTTTCAGCACCACACCACACCTATTCCAAAATTGACCACATACTTGGAAGTAAAGCTCTCCTCAGCAAATGTAAAAGAACAGAAATTATAACAAACTGTCTCTCAGACCACAGTGCAATCAAACTAGAACTCAGAATTAAGAATCTCACTCAAAACTGCTCAACTACATGGAAACTGAACAACCTGCTCCTGAATGACTACTGGGTACATAACGAAATGAAGTCAGAAATAAAGATGTTCTTTGAAACCAATGAGAACAAAGACACAACATACCAGAATCTCTGGGATGCATTCAAAGCAGTGTGTAGAGGGAAATTTATAGCACAAAATGCCCACAAGAGAAAGCAGGAAAGATCCAAAATTGACACCCTAACATCACAATTAAAAGAACTAGAAAAGCAAGAGCAAACACATTCAAAAGCTAGCAGAAGACAAGAAATAACTAAAATCAGAGCAGAACAGAAGGAAATAGAGACACAAAAAACCCTTCAAAAAATTAATGAATCCAGGAGCTGGTTTTTTGAAAGGATCAACAAAATTGATAGACCGCTAGCAAGATTAATAAAGAAAAAAAGAGAGAAGAATCAAATAGATGTAATAAAAAATGATAAAGGGGATATCACCACTGATCCCACAGAAATACAAACTACCATCAGAGAATACTACAAACACCTCTATGCAAATAAACTAGAAAATCTAGAAGAAATGGATAAATTCCTCGACACATACACTCTCACAAGACTAAACCAGGAAGATGTTGAATCTCTGAATAGACCAATAACAGGATCTGAAATTGCGGCAATAATCACTAGCTTATCAACTAAAAAGAGTCCAGGACCAGATGGATTCACAGTGGAATTCTACCAGAGGTACAAGGAGGAACTGGTACCATTCCTTCTGAAACTATTCCAATCAATAGAAAAAGAGGGAATCCTCCCTAACTCTTTTTATGATGCCAGCATCATTCTGATACCAAAGCCGGGCAGAGACACAACGAAAAAAAGAGAATTTTAGACCAATACCTTGATGAACATTGATGCAAAAATCCTCAATAAAATACTGGCAAACCGAATCCAGCAGCACATCAAAAAGCTTATTCACCATGATCAAGTGGGCTTCATCCCTGGGATGCAAGGCTGGTTCAATATACGCAAATCAATAAATGTAATCCAGCATATAAACAGAGCCAAAGACAAAAACCACATGATTATCTCAATAGATGCAGAAAAAGCCTTTGACAAAATTCAACAACAGTTCATGCTAAAAACTCTCAATAAATTAGGTATTGATGGGACGTATCTCAAAATAATAAGAGCTATCCATGACAAACCCACAGCCAATATTATCCTGAATGGGCAAAAACTGGAAACATTCCCTTTGAAAACGGGCACAAGACAGGGATGCCCTCTTTCACCACTCCTATTCAACATAGTGTTGGAAGTTCTGGCCAGGGCAATTAGGCAGGAGAAGGAAATAAAGGGTATTCAATTAGGAAAAGAGGAAGTCAAATTATCCCTGTTTGCAGACGACATGATTGTATATCTAGAAAACCCCATTGTCTCAGCCCAAAATCTCCTTAAGCTGATAAGCAACTTCAGCAAAGTCTCAGGATATAAAATCAATGTACAAAAATCACAAGCATTCTTATACACCAACAACAGACAAACAGAGAGCCAAATCATGAGTGAACTCCCATTCACAATTGCTTCAAAGAGAATAAAATACCTAGGAATCCAATTTACAAGGGATGTGAAGGTCCTCTTCAAGGAGAACTACAAACAACTGCTCAAGGAAATAAAAGAGGATACAAATAAATGGAAGAACATTCCATGCTCATGGGTAGGAAGAATCAATATCGTGAAAATGGCCATACTGTCCAAAGTAATTTACAGATTCAATGCCATCCCCATCAAGCTACCAACGACTTTCTTCACAGAATTGGAAAAAACTACTTTAAAGTTCATATGGAACCAAAAAAGAGCCCACATCGCCAAGTCAATCCTAAGCCAAAAGAACAAAGCTGGAGGCATCACGCTACCTGACTTCAAACTATACTACAAGGCTACAGTAACCAAAACAGCATCATACTGGTACCAAAACAGAGATATAGAACAATGGAACAGAATAGAGCCCTCAGAAATAACACCGCATATCTACAACTATCTGATCTTTGACAAACCTGAGAAAAACAAGCAATGGGGAAAGGATTCCCTATTTAATCAATGGCGCTGGGAAAACTGGCTAGCCATAAGTAGAAAGCTGAAACTGGATCCCTTCCTTACACCTTATATAAAAATAAATTCAAGATGGATTAAAGACTTAAACTTAGACCTAAAACCATAAAAACCCTAGAAGAAAACCTAGGCATTACCATTCAGGACATAGGTATGGGCAAGGACTTCATGTCTAAAACACAAAAAGCAATGGCAACAAAAGCCAAAATTGACAAATGGGATCTAATTAAACTAAAGAGATTCTGCACAGCAAACGAAACTACCATCAGAGTGAACAGGCAACCTACAAAATGGGAGAAAATTTTCGCAACCTACTCATCTGACAAAGGGCTAATATCCAGAATCTACAATGAACTCAAACAAATTTACAAGAAAAAAACAAAAAACCCCATCAAGAAGTGGATAAAGGACATGAACAGACACTTCTCAAAAGAAGACATTTATGCAGCCAAAAAACACATGAAAAAATGCTCATCATCACTGGCCATCAGAGAAATGCAAATCAAAACCACAATGAGATACCATCTCACACCAGTTAGAATGGCCATCAGAGAAATGCAAATCAAAACCACAATGAGATACCATCTCTCACCAGTTAGAATGGCCATCATTAAAAAGTCAGGAAACAACAGGTGCTGGAGAGGATGTGGAGAAATAGGAACACTTTTGCACTGTTGGTGGGACTGTAAACTAGTTCAACCATTGTGAAGTCAGTGTGGCGATTCCTCAGGGATCTAGAACTGGAAATACCATTTGACCCAGCCATCCCATTACTGGGTATATACCCAAAGGACTATAAATCATGCTGCTATAAAGACACAGGCACACGTAAGTTTATTGTGGCATTATTCACAATAGTAAAGACTTGGAACCAACCCAAATGTCCAACAATGATAGACTGGATTAAGAAAATGTGGCACACATACACCATGGAATACTATGCAGCCATAAAAAATGATGAGTTCATGTCCTTTGTAGGGACATGGATGAAATTGGAAATCATCATTCTCAGTAAACTATCACAAGAACAAAAAACCAAACACCGCATATTCTCACTCATAGGTAGGAACTGAACAATGAGATCACATGGACACAGGAAGGGGAATATCGCACTCTGGGGACTGTTGTGGGGTGGGGGGAGGGGGGAGGGATAGCATTGGGAGATATACCTAATGCTGGATGACAAGTTAGTGGGTGCAGCGCACCAGCATGGCACATGTATACATATGTAACTAACCTGCACAATGTGCACATGTACCCTAGAACTTAAAGTATAATTAAAAAAAAAAAAACTAGTCAGAAGCTTTCTGAGAAACTTCTTTGTGATGTTTGCATTCAACTCATGGAGGTAAAACTTTCTTTTGATTGAGCAGTTTGGAAACAGTCCTTTGATAGAATCTGCAAAGGGATATTTCTGAGCCGTTTGAGGCCTATGTTGAAAAAGGTAATATCTCCATCTAAAAACTAGACAGAATCTTTCTGAGAAACTCCTTTGAGACGTGTACATTCATCTCACAGAATTTAAACTTTCTTTTGATTTAGCAGTTTGGAAACAGTCTTTTGTAGAAACAGCAAAGGGATAATTTTGAGCAGTTTCAGGCCTATGGTGAAAAAGGATATAACTTCACATAAAAACTATTCAGAAGCTTTCTGAGACACTTTTTTTGTGACATGTGCATTCATGTCATAGAGGTGAAACATTTTTTTGAATCAGCAGTTTGGAAACAGTCTTTTTATGGAATCCACAAGGGGACATTTGTGAGTGGTTTGAGGCCTATGGTGAAAAAGGAAATATCTTCACATAAAAACCAGACAGAAGATTTCTAGGAAACTTATTTTTGATGTGTGCATTCATCTCACAGAGATGAACCCTTCTTTTGATTGAGCAGTTTGGAAACCTTCCTCTTGTAGCATCTGCAAGGTGATATTTGTGAGGTCTTTGTGGCCTATGGTGAAAAAGGAAATATCTTCCCATGAAACTAGACAGAAGCATTCTGAGAAACCTCTTTGTGATGTGTGTATTCATCTCACAGAGTTGAACCTTTCTTTTGGTTGACCAGTTTGGAAACCGTCCTTTTGTGGTATCTGCAAACGGATATTTGTCAGGCCTTAGAGCCCTATTGTGAAAAAGGAAATATCTTCACATAGAAGCCAGACAGAAGCTTTCTGAGAAACTTCCTTGTGATGTGTGCATTCATCTCACAGAGTTGAAACTTTCTTTTGATTGAGCAGTTTGGAAACAGTCTCTTGGAGAAACTGCAAGGGCTATTTGTGTGCAGTTTTCGGCCTTTGGTGAAAAAGGATATATCTTCACATAAAAACTAGACAGAAGCTTTCTTAGAAACTTCTTTGTGATGTATGCATTCATCTCACACAGTTGAAACTTTCTTTGGATTGAGCAACTTGGAAACAGTTTTTTTGTAGAATCTGCAGAGAGATATTTGTGAGCGCTTTGAGGACTATGTTGAAAAAGCTTATATCTTCACATTAAAACTAGACAGAACGGTCTGAGGCATATGGTGAAAAAGTAAATATCTTCATAAAAAACCTAGACAGAAACTTTCTGAGAAACTTCCTTGTGGTGTGTGCCTTCACCACACAGAGTTGGACATTTGTTTGATTGAACAGTTTGGAAACCATCTTTTTGTAGAATCTGCAAAGTGATATTTGTGATCCCTTTGAGGGCTATGGTGTAAAAGGAGATATCTTCATATAAAAACTAGACAGAAGCTTTCTGAGAAACTTCCTTGTGATGTGTGCATTCATCTCACAGAGCTGAACCTTTCTTTTGATTGAGCAGTTTGGAAACTGTCTTTTTGTAGAATCTGCAAAGGGATACTTTTGAGCCCTTTGAGGCTTATCGTGAAAAAGGAAATATCTTCACATAAAAAAGAGACAGATGCTTTCTGAGAAACTTCTTCGTGTTGAGTGCATTCATCTCACAGAGTTAACCCTTTCTTTTCTTTGACCAGTTTGGAAACGTCTTTTTGTGGAAACTGCAAAGGGATATTTGTGAGCGGTTTAAGTCTTGTGGTGAAAAAGGAAATATCTTCAAATGAAAACAAGACAGAAGCTTTCTGAGAAACTTCCTTTTTATGTGTGCATTCATCTCACAGGGTTGAACCTTGCTTTTGATTGAGCAGTTTTGAAACAGTCTTCTTGTGGAATCTGCAAAGGGATATTTTTGTGAATTTTGAGGCCTATGGTGAAAAAGTAAATATCTTTGCATAAAAACTAGATGGAAGCTTTCTGAGAAACTTCTTTGTGCTGTGTGCATACATCTCAAAGAGCTGAACATTTCTTTTGATTGAGCAGTTTGGAAACAGTCTCTTTGTAGAATCTGCAAGGGGATATGTGTGAGTGGTTTGAGGTCTCCAGTGAAAAAGAAAATATCTTCAAAGAGAAACTAGACAGAAGCTTTCTGTGAAAATTCTTTGTGATGTGTGCATTGATCTTACACGGTTGAACCTTTCTTTTGATTGAGTTGTTTAGAAGCAGTCTTTTAGTAGAGTCTGCTAAGGGATATATATGAGAGCTTTGAGTCCTGTGGTGAAAAAGGAAATATCTTCACATAAAAACTAGACAGAAGCTTTCTAAGAAAGTCCTTTGTGATGTGTACATTCATCTCACAGATTTGAACCTTTCTTTTGATTGAGAAGTTTGGAAACCGTCTTTTTGTAGTGTCTGTAAGGGGATATTTGTGAGCACTTTGATGCCTATGTTTAAAAAGGAAATATCTTCACATAAAAACTAGACAGAAGCTTTCTGAGTATCTTCTTTGTGATGTGTGATTGCATCTCACAGAGTTGAACCTTTCTTTTGATTGAGCAGTTTGGAAACCGTCTTTTTGTAAAATCTGCAAAGGGATATTTGTGAGCACTTTCAGGCCTATGGTGAAGAAGGAAATCTCTTCACATTAAAACTAGACAGAAGCTTTCTGAGAAACTTCTTTGTGATGTGTGCATTCATCTCACAGATTTGAACTTTCTTCTGATTGAGCAGTTTGGAATCAGTCTTTTTGTAGAATCTGAAAAGGGATATTTCTGAGCCCTTTGAGGCCTATGGTGAAAAACGAAATATCTTCGCAATAAAACCAGACAGAAGGTTTCTGAGAAACTGCTTTGTGATGTGTGCATTCATCTCATAGATGTAAACGACTCTTTTCATTGAGCAGATTGGAAACTCTGTTCTTGTAGAATCTGCAAAGGGATATTTTTGAGAGCTTTGAGGCCTATGGTGAAAAAGGAAATATCTTCATATAAAAATAAGATAGAATCTTTTTGAGAAACTTCTTTGTGATGTGTGCATTCATCTCACAGAGTTGAACCTTTCTTTTGATTGAGCAGTTTGGAATCAGTCTTTTTGTAGAATCTGCAAAGGGATATTTGTGAGCCCTTTGAGGCCTATGGTGAAAACGGAAATATCTTCACAATAAAACCAGACAGAAGGTTTCTGAGAAACTGCTTTGTGATGTGTACACTCATCTCATAGAGGTAAATGTCTCTTTTCATTGAGCAGATTGGAAACTCTGTTCTTGTATAATCTGGAAAGGGATATTTGTGAGCACTTTGAGGCCTATGGTGAAAAAGGAAATATCTTCACATGAAAATAAGACAAAATCTTTTTGAGAAACTTCCTTGTGATGTGTGCATTCATCTCATAGAGTTGAACTTTTCTTTTGATTGAGCAGTTTGCAATCAGTCTTTTTGTAGAATGTGCAAAGTGTTATTTCTGAGTGCTTTGAGGCCTATGGTGAAAACGGAAATATCCTCACATAAAAACTAGATAGAAGCTTTCTGAGAAACTTCTTTGTCCTGTGTGCATTCATCTCATGGAGTTCAACCTTCCTTTTGCTTGAGCCATTTGGAAACTGTCTTTTTGTAGAATCTTCAAAGGGATATTTGGGAGCGCTTTGATTCCTATGGTGAAAAAGGAAATATCTTCACATAAAAACTAGAAAGAAGCTTTGTGAGAAATTGCTTTGTGATGTGTGCATTCATGTCACAGAGATAAACGTTTCTTTTCATTGAGCAGGTTGGAAACTCTGTTCTTCTACAGTCCGCAAAGGGATATTTGTGAGCACTTTGAGGCACATGGTGGAAAAGGGTACATCTTAACATAAAAACAAGACAGAAGATTTCTGAGAACTTCTTTGTGATGTATGCGTTCATTTCACCGAGGTAAACGTTTCTTTTCTTTTAGCAGTTTGGAAACTCTGTTCTTGTAGAATCTGCAAAGGGATATTCATGAACACTTTGAGGCCTATGGTGAAAAAGAAAATATCTTTACATGACAACTAGACTGAAGCTTTCTGAGAAACTTCTTTGTCATGTGTGCATTCATCTCACATTTGTAAACTATTCTTTTGACTGACCAGTTTGGAAACTGGTCTTTTTGTAGAATCATCAAAGGGATATTTATTGGCACTTTGAGGCTTATGGTGAAAATGGAACGTCTTCACATAAAAACTGGAAAGAAGCGTTATGAGAAACTGCTTTGTGATGTGTGCTTTCATCTGACAGAGTTGAACCATTCTTTAAGCAGTTTGGAAACAGTCTTTTTGTAGAATCTGCAAAGGGATATTTGGGAGAGCTTTGAGGGCTATGGTGAAAAAGGAAATATTTTCACATAAAAACTACAAAGAAGCTTTGTGAGAAACTGTTTTGTGATGTGAGCATTCATCTCACAGAGGTAAAGGTTTCTTTCCATTGAGTAGTTTAGAAACTCTGTTCCTCTGGAATCTGCAAAGGGATATTTGTGAGCACTTTGAGGCCTATGGTAAAAAAGGAAATATCTTCACATAGAAACTAGACCAAAGCTTTCTGAGAAACTTCTTTGTGTTGCGTGCATTTATCTTACTGAGTTGAGCCATTCTTTTGATTGAGTAGTTTTTTTTTATTTTATTTTATTATTGTTACATTTTAAGTTTTAGGGTACATATGCACAATGTGCAGGTTTGTTACATACTTATACATGTGCCATGTTGGTGTGCTGCACCCATTAACTCATCATTTAAGATTAGGTATATCTCCTAATGCTATCCCTCCACCCTACCCCCACACCATAACAGTCCCTAGTGTGTGATGTTCTCCTTCCTCTGTCCATGTGTTCTCTCTGTTCAATTCCCACCTATGAGTGAGAACATGCGGTGTTTGGTTTTTAGTCCTTATGATAGTTTGCGGAGAATGACAGTTTCCAGCTACATCCATGTCCCTACAATCTGATCATTTTTTATGGCTGCATAGTATTCCATGGTGTATATGTGCCACATTTTCTTAATCCAGAATATCTTTGTTGGACATTTGGGTTTTTTTCCAAGTCTTTGCTATTGTTATTAGTGTCACAATAAACATGTGTGCATGTGTCATTATAGCAGCATGACTTGTAATCCTTTGGGTATA
Source organism: Homo sapiens (assembly GCF_000001405.40). Lineage (NCBI taxonomy): Eukaryota > Metazoa > Chordata > Mammalia > Primates > Hominidae > Homo > Homo sapiens. Next base: position 48,739,523 of record NC_000011.10, on the reverse strand, counting down.
TACCCAGTACGGGGATGGCTGGGTCAAATGGTATTTCTAGTTCTAGATCCCTGAGGAATCGCCACTCTGACTTCCACAATGGCTGAACTAGTTTACAGTCCCACCAACAGTTTAAAAGTGTTCCGATTTCTCCACATCCTCTCCAGCACCTGTTGTTTCCTGACTTTTTAATGATCGGCATTCTAACTGGTGTGAGATGGTATCTCATTGTGGTTTTGATTTTCATTTCCCTGATGGCCAGCGATGATGAGCATTTTTTCATGTGTTTTTTGGCTGCATAAATGTCTTCTTTTGAGAACTGTCTTTTCATGTCCTTTGCCCACTTTTTGATGGGGTTGCTTTTTTCTTGTAAATTTGTTTGAGTTCATTGTAGATTCTGGATATTAGCCCTTTGTCAGATAAGCAGGTTGCAAAAATTTTCTCCCATTTTGTAGGTTGCCTGTTCACTCTGATGGTAGTTTCTTTTGCTGTGCAGAAGCTATTTAGTTTAACTAGATCCCATTTGTCATTTTTGGCTTTTGTTGCCATTGCTGTTGGTGTTTTAGACATCAAGTACTTGCCCATGCCTATGGCCTGAATGGTATTGCCTAGGTTGTCTTCTAGGATTTTTATGGTTTTACTTCTAATATTTAAGTCTTTAATAAATCTTGAATAAATTTTTGTATAAGGTGTGAGGAAGGGATCCAGTTTCAGCTTTCTACATATGGCTAGACAGTTTTCCCGGCACAGTTGATTAAATAGGGAATCCTTTCCTCATTTCTTGTTTTTGTCAACTTTGTCAAAGATCAGATAGTTGTAGCTATGCAGCATTATTTCTGGGGGCTCTGTTGTGTTCCATTGGTCTAAATCTGTTTTGGTACCAGTACCATGCTGTTTTGGTTACTGTACCCTTGTACTATAGTTCAAAGTCAGGTAGCGTGATGCCTCCAACTTTGTTCTTTTGGTTTAGGATTGACTTGATGATGTGGGCTCTTTTTTGGTTCCATATGAACTTTAAAGTAGTTTTTCCAGTTCTGTCAAGAAAGTCATTGGTAGCTTGATGGGGATGGCTGAATCTATAAATTACCTTGGGCAGTATGGCCATTTTCATGATATTGATTCTTCCTACCCATGAGCATGGAATGTTCTTCCAGTTGTTTGTATCCTCTTTTATTTCATTGAGCAGTGGTTTGTAGTTCTCTTGGAAGAGGTCCTTCACATCCCTTGTAAGTTTGATTCCTAGGTATTTTATTCTCTTGGAAGCAATTGTGAATGGGAGTTCACTCATGATTTCACTCTCTGTTTGTCTGTTATTGGTGTCTAAGAATGTTTTTTATTTTTGCACATTGATTTTGTATCCTGAGACTTTGCTGAAGTTGCTTATCAGCTTAAGGAGATTTTGGGCTGAGACGATGGGGTTTTCTAGATATATAATCATGTCATCTGTAAACAGGGACAATTTGACTTCCTCTTTTCCTAATTGAATACCCTTTATTTCCTTCTCCTGCCTGATTTCCCTGGCCAGAACTTCCAACACTATGTTGAATAGGAGTGAACAGAAAGGGCATCCTGTCTTTTGCCAGTTTTCAAAGGGAATGCTTCTAGTTTTTGTTCATTCGTTATCATATTGGCTGTTGGCTTGTCATAGATAGCTCTTATTATTTTGAGTTACATCCCATCAATACCTGATTTATTGAGAATTTTTAGCATGAAGTGTTGAATTTTGTCAATGGGCTTTTCTGCATCTATTGAGATAATCATGTGGTTTTTGTCTTTGGTTCTGTTTATATGCTAGATTACATTTATTGATTTTCGTATGCTGAACCAGCCTTGCAACCCAGGAATGAAGCCTACTTTCTCATGGTGGATAAGCTTTTTGATGTGCTGCTGGATTCGGTTTGCCAGTATTTTATTGAGGATTTTTGAATCAATGTTCATCAAGGATATTGGTCTAAAATTCTCTTTTTTTGTGTGTCTCTACCAGGCTTTGGTATCAGAATGATGGTGGCCTCATAAAATGAGTTAGGGAGGATTCCCTCTTTTTCTATTGATTGGAATAATTTCAGAAGGAATGGTACCAGTTCCTCCTTGTACCTCTGGTAGAATTCCACTGTGAATCCATCAGGTCATGGACTTTTATTGGTTGATAAGCTATTAATTATTGCCTCAACTTCAGAGCCTGTTTATGGTCTATTCAGAGATTCAAATTCTTCCTTGTTTAGACTTGGGAGGGTATATGTGTCGAGGAATTTATCCATTTCTTCTAGATTTTCTAGTTTATTTGCATAGAGGGGTTTATAGTATTCTCTAATGGTAGTTTGTATTTCTGTGGGATTGGTGGTGATATCCCCTTTGTCCTTTTTTATTGCATCTATTTGATTCTTCTCTCTTTTCTTCTTTATTAGTCTTGCTAGAAGTCTGTCAATTTTGTTGATCTTTTCAAAAAACCAGCTCCTGGATTCATTGATTTTTTAAAGCGTTTTCTGTGTCTCTATTTCCTTCAGTTCTGCTCTGATTTTAGTTATTTCTTGCCTTCGGCTAGATTTTGAATGTGTTTGCTCTTGCTTCTCTCGTTCTTTTAATTGTGATTTTAGGGTGTCAAATTTAGATCTTTCCTTCTTTCTCTTGTGGGCATTTAGTGCTAAAAATTTCCCTCTACATTCTGCTTTGAATGTGTCCCAGAGATTCTTGTATGTTGTGTCTTTGTTCTCGTTGGTTTCAAAGAACATCTTTATTTCTGCCTTCATTTCGTTGTGTACCCCATAGTCATTCAGGAGCAGTTTGTTCAGTTTCCACGCAGTTGAGTGGTTTTGAGTGAGTTTCTTAATCCTGAGTTCTAGTTTGATTGCACTGTGGTCTTAGAGATAGTTTGTTATAATTTCTTTTCTTTTACATTTGCTGAGGAGAGCTTTACTTCCAAGTATGTGGTCAATTTTGGAATAGGTGTGGTGTGGTGCTGAAAAGAATGTATACTCTGTTGATTTAGGGTGGAGAGTTCTGTAGATGTCTATTAGATCAGCTTGGTGCAGAGCTGAGTACAATTCCTGGATATACTTGTTAACTTTCTCTCTCATTGATCTGTCTAATGTTGACATTGGGGTGTTAAAGTCTCCCATTATTATTGTGTGGGAGTCTAAGTCTCTTTGTAGGTCACTAAGGACTCGCTTTATCAATCTGGGTGCTCCTGTATTGGGTGCATATATATTTAGGATAGTTAGCTCTTCTTGTTGAATTGATCCCTTTACCATTATGTAATGGCCTTCTTTGTCTCTTTTGATCTTTGTTGGTATAAAGTCTGTTTTATCAGAGACTAGGATTGAATCCCCTGCCTTTTTTTGTTTTCCATATGCTTGGTAGATCTTCCTTCATCCCTTTATTTTGAGCCTATGTGTGTGTCTGCACGTGAGATGGATTTTCTGAATACAGCACACTGATGGGTCTTGACTCTTTATCCAATTTGCCAGTCTGTGTCTTTTAATTGGAGGATTTAGCCCATTTACATTTAAGGTTAATATTTTTATGTGTGAATTTGATCCTGTCATTATGATGTTAGCTGGTTATTTTGCTCGTTAGTTGATGCAGTTTCTTCCTAGCCATCATGGTCTGTACAATTTGGCATGTTTTTGCAGTGGCTGGTACCGGTTTTTCCTTTCCATGTTCAGTGCTTCCTTCAGGAGCTCTTTTAGGAGTGCCTGGTGGTGACAGAATCTCTCAGCATTTGCTTGTCTGTAAAGTATTTTATTTCTCCTTCACTTATGAAGCTTAGTTTGGCTGGATATGAAATTCTGGGTTGAAAATTCTTTTCTTTAAGAATGTTGTATATTGGCCCCCACTCTCTTCTGGCTTGTAGAGTTTCTGCGGAGTGATCAGCTGTTAGTCTGATGGGCTTCCCTTTGTTGGTCATCCTACCTTTCTCTCTGACTGCCCTTAACATTTTTTCTTTCATTTCAACTTTGGTGAATCTGACAATTATGTGTCTTGGAGTTGATCTTCTTGAGGAGTATCTTTGTGACGTTCTCTATATTTTCTGAATTTGAATGTTGGTCTTTCTTGCTGGATTGGGGAAGTTCTCCTGGATAATACCCTGCAGAGTGTTTTCCAACTTGGTTCCATTCTCCCTGTCACTTTCAGGTATACCAATCACTTCATTTCATTCATTTCGTCTTCCATCACTGATATCCTTTCTTCCTGTTGATCGCATTGGCTCCTGAGGCTTCTGCATTCATTGTATAGCTCTTGTGCCTTGGTTTTCAGCTCCATCAAGTCCTTTAAGGACTTCTCTGCATTGGTTATTCTAGTTATCCATTCATCTAATTTTTTTTCAAAGCTTATAACGTCTTTGCCATTGGTTCGAATTTCCTCCTGTAGCTCGTAGTTCTTTGATATTCTGAAACCTTCCTCTCTCAACTCGTCAAAGTCATTCTCCATCCTGTTTTGTTCCATTGCTGGTGAGGAGCTGCATTCCTTTGGAGGAGGAGAGGCACTCTGATTTTTAGAGTTTGCAGTTTTTCTTCTCTGTTTCTTTCCCATCTTTGTGGTTTTATCTACCTTTGGTTTTTGATGATGGTGATGTACAGATGGGTTTTTGGTGTGGATGTCCTTTATGTTTGTTAGTTTTCCTTCTAACAGACAGGACCCTCAGTGCTGGTCTGTTGGAGTTTGCTAGAGGTCCACTCCAGACCCTGTTTTCCTGGGTATCAGCAGTGGTGGCTGCAGAACAGTGGATATTGGTGAACCACAAATGCTGCTGTCTGATCATTCCTCTGGAAGTTTTGTCTGAGAGGAGTACCCGGCCTTGTGAGGTATCAGTCTGCCCCTACTGTGGGGTGCCTCCCAGTTAGGCTACTCGGGGATGAGTACCCACTTGAGGAGGCTGTCTGCCCGTTCTCAGATATCAAACTGCATGCTGTGACAACCACTACTCTCTTCAAAGCTGTCAGACAGGGACATTTAAGTCTGCAGAGGTTACTGTTGTCTTTTTGTTTATCTGTGCCCTGCACTCAGAGGTGGCGCCTACAGAGGCAGGCAGGCCTCCTTGAGCTGTGGTGGGCTCCACCCAGTTTGAGCTTCCTGGCTGCTTTGTTTACCTAATCAATCAACTAACTTGGCAATGGTGGTCACCTCTTCCCCAGCCTCGCTGTTGCCTTGCAGTTTGATCTCTGACTGCTGTGCTAGCAATGAGTGAGATTCTGTGGGTGTAGGACCCTCTGAGCAAGGTACGAGATATAATCTCCTGGTGAGCTCTTTTTTATGCCTGTTGGAAAAGTGCAGTGTTAGGGTGGGAGTGACCCAATTTTCAGGTGCCTTCTGTCACCCCTTTCTTTGACTAGGAAAGGGAATTCCCTGACCCCTTGTGCTTCCTGGTTGAGGTGATTCCTTGCCCTGCATTGGCTCATGCACAGTGTGCTGCACCCACTGTCCTGCACCTACTTTCTGGCACCCCCCAGTGAGATGAACCCGGTTCCTCAGTTGGAAATGCAGAAATCACCTGTCTTCTGCCTTGCTCATGCTTGGAGCTGTAGACCTGAGCTGTTACTATTCAGCCAACTTGGCTCCTCCCAAAGAAGTTTCTAAGAATGCTTCTGTCTAGTTTTTATGTGAAGATATTGCCTTTTCCACCATAGGCTTCAGGGCGCTAAAAAATATCCTTTTCCAGACTCTACAATAACAGAGTTTCCAGACAGAACAAAGAAAAGGAAGTTTCACTCTGTGAGATCAATGCACACATCACATAGCAGTTTCTCAGAAACCTTCTTTATAGTTTATAGGTGAAGATATTTTCTTTATCACCATAGGCCTCAAAGCACTCACAAATATCCCATGGCAGATTTTATGAAAAACGGTTTCCAACTTGCTCAATAAAAAGTATGGTTCAACTGTGTGCGATGAAGACATTCATCATGTAGAAGTTTCTCAGAAAGCTTCTGCCTGGTTTTTATGTGAAGATATTTCCTTTTGCACCATAGGCCTTAAACCGCTCACAAATATCCCTTTGCAGATTTTACAAGAACAGAGTTCCCAATCTGCTCAATGAAAAGAAACGTTTACCTCTGTGAAATGAATGCACACATCACAAAGCAGCTTCTCAGAAACCTTCTATTTAGTTTTTATGTGAAGACTTATCCTTTTTCACCATAGTCCTCAAAGCTCTCCCAAATGTCCCTTTTCAGATTCTCCAAGAGACTGTTTCCAAACTGCTCAATCAAAAGAAACGTTTACCTCTTTGAAATGAATGCACACAGCACAGAGAACTTCTTAGAAAGCTTCTGTCTAGTTTTTATGTTAAGTTGTGTCCTTTTTAACCATGGGCCTCAAAGCACTCACAAATATCCCTTTGCAGATTCTACAAGAACAGAGTTTCCAACCTGCTCAATAAAAAGAAACATTTACCTCTGTGACATAAATGGACACATCACAAAGCAATTTCTCACAAAGCTTCTTTCTAGTCTTTATGTGGAGATATTTCCTTTCCTTTTTCAACATAGGAATCAAAGCACTGCCAAATATCCCTTTGAAGATTCTACACAAAGACTGTTTACAAACGGCTCAAGCAAAAGGAAGGCTGCACTCTGTGACATGAATGCTCACATCATGAAGAAGTTTCTCACAAAGATTCTGTTTATTTTTTATGTGAGGATATTTTCTTTTTCACCATAGGCCTCAAAGTGCTCAGAAATATCCCTTTGCAGATGCTACAAAAAGATGGTTTCCAAACTGATCAATCAAAAGAAAGGTTCAACACTATGAGATGAGTGCACACATCATAAAGAAGTTTCTAAAAAATATTCTGTCTTATTTTTATGTGAAGATATTCCCTTTTTCACCATAGGCCTCAAAGCACTCACAAATATTCCTTTGTGGATTCTACAAGAACAGAGTTTCCAATCTGCTCAATGAAAAGAAATATTTACATCTATGATATGAATGTACTCATCACAAAGCAGTTTCTCAGAAACCTTCTTTCTAGTTTCTATGTGAAGATATTTGCTTTTTCACCATATGCCTCAAAGTGTTCACAAATATGCCTTTGCAGATACTACAAAAAGACTTTTTCTAAACTGCTCAATCAAAAGAAAGGTTCAGCTTTCTGAGATGAATGAACACATCACGAAGTTTCTGAGAAAGCTTCTGTTCAGTTTTTATGTGAAGATGTTTCCTTTTTCACCATAAGCCTCAAGGAGCTCAAAAATGTCCCTTTGCAGTTTCTACAAAAAGACAGTTCCCAAACTGCTCAATCAAAAGAAAAGTTCAACTCTGTGAACTTGAAAGTTGAAAGAAAATTCAACTCTGTGAATGTGTCCCAGAGATTCTGGTATGTTGTATCTTTGTTCTGGTTGATTTCAAAGAACATCTTTATTTCTGCCTTCATTTCATTATGTACCCAGTAGTCATTCAGGAGCAGGTTGTTCAGTTTCCATGTAGTTGAGCAGTTTTGAGTGAGTTTCTTAGTCCTGAGTTCTAGTGTGATTGCACTGTGGTCTGAGAGACAGTTTGTTATAATTTCTGTTCTTTTACATTTGCTGAGGAGTGCTTTACTTCCAACTATGTGGTCAATTTTGGAATAGGTGTGGTGTGGTGCTGAAAAAAATGTATATTCTGTTGATTTCGGGTGGAAAATTCTGTAGATGTCTATTACATCCACTTGGTGTACAGCTGAGTCCAATTCTTGGGTATCCTTGTTAACTTTCTGTCTCATTGATCTGTCTGAAGTTGACAGTGGGGTGTTAAAGTCTCCCATTATTACTGTGTGGGAGTCTAAGTCTCTTTGTAGGTCACTAAGGACTTGCTTTATCAATCTGGGTGCTCCTGTATTGGATGCATATATATTTAGGATAGTTAACTCTTCTTGTTGAATTGATCCCTTTACCATTATGTAATGGCCTTCTTTGTCTCTTTTGATCTTTGTTGGTATAAAGTCTGTTTTATTAGAGACTAGGATTGCAACTCCTACTTTTTTTTTGTTTTCCGTTTGCTTGGTAGATCTTCCTCCATCCCTTTATTTTGAGCTTATGTGTGTCTCTGCACGTGAGATGGGTTTCCTGAATATGGCACACTGATGGATCTTGACTCTTTATCCAATTTGCCAGTCTGTGTCTTTTAATTGGAGCATTTAGCCCATTTACATTTAAAGTTAATATTGTTATGTGTGTATTTATTCCTGTCATAATGACGTTAGCTGGTTATTTTGCTCATTAGTTGATGCAGTTTCTTCCTAGCTTTGATGGTCTCTACATTTTGGCATGATTTTGCAGTGGCTGGTACCCTTTGTTCCTTTCCATGTTTAGTGCTTCCTTCAGGAGCTCTTTTAGGGCAGGTCTGGTGGTGACAAAATCTCTCAGCATTTGCTTTTCTGAAAAGGATTTTACTTCTCCTTTACTTATGAAGCTTAGTTTGGCTGGATATGAAATTCTGGGTTGAAAATTCTTTTCTTTAAGAATGATGAATATTGGCCCCCACTCTTTTCTGGCTTGTAGAGTTTCTGCCGACAGATCCACTGTTAGTCTGATGGGCTTCCCTTTGTGGGTAACCCGACCTTTCTCTCTGGCTGCCCTTAGCATTTTTTCCTTCATTTCAACTTTGGTGAATCTGACAATTATGTGTCTTGGAGTTGCTCTTCTCGAGGAGTATCTTTGTGGTGTTCTCTGTATTTCCTGAATCTGAATGTTGGCCTGCTTTGCTAGATTGGGGAAGTTCTCCTGGATAATATCCTGCAGAGTGTTTTCCAACTTACTTCCATTCTCCCCTTCACTTTCAGGTACACCAGTCAGACATAGATTTGGTCTTTTCACGTAGTCCCATATTTCTTGGAGGCTTTGTTCATTTATTTTTATTCTTTTTTCTCTAAACTTTCCTTCCTGCTTCATTGCATTCATTTCATCTTCCATCACTGATGCCCTTTCTTCCAGTTGATCACATCGGCTCCTGAGGCTTCTGCATTCTTCATGTAGTTCTCAAGCCTTGGCTTTCGGCTCCATCAGCTCCTTTAAGGATTTCTCTGCATTGGTTATTCTAGTTATCCATTCTTCTAATTTTTTTTGAAAGTTTTTAACTTCTTTGCCATTGACTTGAATGTCCTCCTGTGGCTCGGAGTAGTTTGATCATCTGAAGCCTTCTTCTCACAGCTCATCAAAGTCATTCTCCATCCAGCTTTGTTCCATTGCTGGTGAGGAGCTTCATTCTTTTGGAAGAGGAGAGGTGCTCTGCTTTTTAGAGTTTCCAGTTTTTCTGTTCTGTTTTTTCCCCATCTTTGTGGTTTTATCTACTTTTGGTCTTTGATGATGGTGACGTACAGAAGGATTTTTGGTGTGGATGTCCTTTCTGTTTGTTAGTTTTCCTTCTAACAGACAGGACCCTCAGCTGCAGGTCTGTTGGAGTTTGCTAGAGGTCCACTCCAGACCCTGTTTTCCTGGGTATCAGCAGCAGTGGCTGCAGAACAGCGGTGGCTGTAGAACAGCGGATCTTAGTGAACCACAAATGCTGCTACCTGATCATTCCTCTGGAAGTTTTTCCTCAAAGGAGTACCTGGCTTTGTGAGATGTCAGTCTGCCCCTACTGGGGGGTGCCTCCCACTTAGGCCGCTTGGGGGTCAAGGACTCACTTGAGGAGGCAGTCTGTCCATTCTCAGATCTCTAGCTGCATGCTGGGAGAACCACTACTCTGTTCAAAGTTGTCAGAAAGGGACATTTAAGTCTGCAGAGGTTACTGCTGTCTTTTTGTTTGTCTGTACCCTGCCTCCAGAGGTGGAGCCTACAGAGGCAGGCATGACTCCTTGAGCTGTGGTGGGCTCCACCCAGTTTGAGATTCCTGGCTGCTTTGTTTACCTAATCAAGCCTGGGCAATGGCAGGCGCCCCTCCCCCAGGCTCGCTGCTACCTTGCAGTGTGAGCTCAGACTGCTGTGTTAGCAATCAGTGAGACTCCGTGGGCATAGGACCCTCTGAACCAGATGCGGTATATAATCTCCTGGTGTGCTGTTTTTTAATCCCATTGGAAAAAAACAGTATTATGGTGGGAGTGAACCGATTTTCCAGGTGCCATCTGTCACCCCTTTCTTTGACTAGGAAAGGGAACACCCTGACCCCTAGTGCTTCCTGTAGGGGCAGAGCGTAGCAATGCCTCGCCCTGCTATGGTGCACTGCACCCACTGTCTGGCAATCCCTAGTGAGATGAACCCTGTACCTCAGATGGAAATGCACAAATCACCCCTCTTCTGCATCACTCATGCTGGGAGCTGTAGACTGGAGCTGTTCCTACTCGGCCATCTCGGCTCCACCCTTCTGTCTAGTTTTTCTGTGAAGATATTTCTTTTCAACCATAGACCTCAAAGCACTCACAAATATCCCTTTGCAGATTCTACAAGAAGAGAGTTTCCAATGTGTTCAATGAAAAGAAACCTTTACTTCTGTGAGATGAATGCACACACCATAAAGCAGTTTCTCACAAACCTTGTGTGCAGTTTTTATGTGAAGATACTTGCTTTTTCACCATAGGCCTCAAAGGGCTCAAAAATATCCCTTTGTAGATCCTACAAAAAGACTGACCCCAAACTGCTGAATCAAAGGAAAGTTTGAACTCTGTGAGATGAATTCACACATCACAAAGAATTGACTCAGAAAACTTCAGTCTAGTTTTTATGTGATGATATTTTGTTTTTCACCATAGGCCTCAAACCACTTACAAATATCCCTTTACAGATTCTACAAAAAGACAGTTTCCAAACTACTCAATCAAAAGAAATGTTCACCTCTGTGAGATGAATGCATGCATCACAAAGTAGTTTCTCAGAAGGCATCTGTCTAGTTTTTATGTGAAGATATTTCATTTTTCACCATAGGCCTCAAGTTGCTCACAATTATCCCTGTGCAGATTCTACAAGGACAGAGTTTCCAATCTGCTCAGTGAAAAGAAACGTTTACCTCTGTGAGATGAATGCACACATCACAAGGAAGTTTCTCAGAAAGCTTCTGTCTAATTTTATGTCAAGATATTTCCTTTTTCACCATAGGCCTCAAACTGCTGACAAATATCCCTTTGAAGATTCTACAAAAAGACTGTTTCCAAACTGCTCAATGAAAAGAAAATTTCAGTTCTGTGAGATGAATCCACACATCACAAAGAAGTTTCTCAGGAAGCTTCTGTCTACTTTTTATGTGAAGATATTTCCTATTTCACCATATGCCTCAAACTGCTCACAAATATCCATTTGCAGATTCAACAAAAATACTGTTTCCAAATTGCTCAATGAAAAGAAAGTTATAACTGTCTGAGATGAATGCACACATCTCAAAGTAGTGTCTCAAAAGGCTTCTCCATACTTTTTATGTGAAGATATTTCATTTTTCACCATAGGCCTTGAAGCACTCAAAAATATCCCTTTGCATACTCTACAAAAAGACTGTTTCCAAACTGCTCAATCAAAAGAAAGTTGCAACTCTGTGAAATGAATGCACACATAACAAAGAAATTTCTGAGAAAGCTTCTGTCTAGTTTTTATGTGAAGATAATTCCTTTTTCACCATAGGCCTCAAACCGCTCACAAATATGCCTTTGCAGATTCTACAGAAAGACTGTTTCCAAACTGCTCAATCAAAAGAAACTTTCAACTCTGTGAGACGAATGCACGAATCACAAAATAGTTTCTTAGATAGCTTCTGTCTAGTTTTTATGTGAAGGTATTTCTTTTTTCACCTTAGACCTCAAAGTGCTCACAATTATCCCTTTGCAGATTCTACAGGTACAGAGTTTCCATTCTGCTCAATGAAAAGGAAAGTTTACCTCTGTGAGATGAATGTACACATCACAAAGCAGTTTCTCAGAAACCTTCTTTCTAGTTTTTATGTGAAGTTATTTCCTTTTTCACCATATTCCTCAAAGGGCTCACAAATATCCCTTTGCAGTTTGCAAAAAAAAAAAAAAAAAACTGTTTCCAAAGTGCTCAGTCAAAAGAAATCTTCAGCTCTGTGAGATGAATGCACACATCACAAAGATGATTCTCAGGAAGTTTCTGTCTAGTTTTTATGTGAAGATATTTCCTTCTTCACCATAGGCCTCAAACTGCTCTCAAATATTCGTTTCCACATTCTACAGAAAGACTGTTTCCAAACTGCTCAATCAAAAGTGAGGTTCAACTGTGTGAGATGAATGCAGCAATCACAAACAAGTTTCTCACAACTTGTCTAGTTTTTATGTGGAGATATTTCCTTTTTCACCATAGGCCTGAAACCACTCACAAATATCCCTTTGCAGATTCTACAAGAGCAGGGTTTCCTATCTGCTCAATGAAAAGAAACGTTTACCTCTTTGAGATGAATCACACATCACAAAGTAGTTTTTCAGCAACCTTCTGTCTAGTTATGAGAAGATATTTACTTGTTCACCATAGTCCTCAAAGGGCTCACAAATATCCCTTTGCAGATTCTGCAAAAAGACTGTTTCCAAAATGCTCAATCAAAAGAATGTTTCAACTCTGGGGGTTGAATGCACACATCACAAAGCAGTCTCTCATAAAGATTCTGTCTAGTTTTTATGGGAAGATATTTCCTTTTTCACCATAGGCCCCAAAGTGCTCAGAAATGTCCCTTTGCAGATTCTTGAAGGACAGAATTTCCAAACTGCTCAATGAAAGGAAACGTTTACTTCTCTGAGATGAATGGAAACAACACAAAACAGTTTCTCAAAGAGCTTCATTCTAGCTTTTATGTGAAAATATTTCCTTTTTCACCGTAGTCCTCAAAGTGCTCAAAAATATCCCTTTGAAGATTCTAGAAGGACAGAATTTCCAAACTGCTCAATGAAAGGAAATGTTTATTTCTCTGAGATGAATGGACACAATACAAAACAGTTTCTCAGAAAGCTTCTTTCTAGCTTTTATGTGAAGATATTTCCCTTTTCACCATAGGCCTCAAAGCTCTCCCAAATATTCCTATGACAATTGTACAAAAGGACTGTTTCCAAATTGCTCAATCAAAAGTGAGGTTCAACTCTGTGAGATGAATGGACACTTCACAAAGAAGTTTCTGAGAAACCTTCGGTCTAGTTTTTATGTGAAGATATTTCATTTTTCACCATAGGCCTCAAAGCACTCAAAAATATCCCTTTGCAGATGCTACAAGAACACAGTTTCCAAATGGACCAAGGAAAACAAACGTTTACCTCGGTGAGATGAATGCACACATCACAAAGCAGTTTCTCAGAAACCTTCTTTCTCCTTATTATGTGAAGATATTTCCTTTTTCACCATAGACCTCAAAGCGCTCACAAATGTCCCTTTGCAGATACTACAAAAAGACTGTTTCCAAACTGTTGAACCAAAAGAATGGTTCAACACTGTGAGATGAATGCACACATCTAAGAAGTTTCTCAGAAAGTTTCTGTCTAGTTTTTATGAGAAGGTATATCTTTTTTCAACATAGCTCTCAAAGCATTCAGAAATATCCCTTTGCAGGTTCTAGAGAAACAGAGTTTCCAAATTACTCCAAGAAAAGAAATGTTTGCCACTGTGAGATGAATGCACACCTCACAAAGTACTTTCTCAGAAACCTTCTTTCTAATTTTTATGTGAATATACTTCCTTTTTCACCATAGGCCTCAAAGCACTCACTAATATACATTTGCAGATTCTGCAAGAAGGGAGTTTCCAAAGTGCTCAATGAAAAGGAACCTTTACCTCTGTGAGATGTATGCACACATCACAAAACAGTTTCTCAGAAACCTTCTTTCTATTATTTATGTGAAGTCATTTCCCTTTTCACCGTAGGCCTGAAAGCACTCACAAATATCCCTTTGCAGATTCTGCAAAAACAGAGTTTGCAAACTGCTCAATGAAAGGAAACGTTTACCTCTGTGGGATGAATGCACACATCACAAAGAAGTTTCTCAGAAACCTTCTGTCTAGTTTTTATGTGAAGACATTTCCTTTTTCATCATAGGCCTCAAAGTGCTCACAAATATCCCTTTTTGGATTCCACAAAAAGATGTTTCCAAACTGCTCAATCAAGTGAATGGTTCAACTGTTTGAGATGAATGTACACATCTCAAAGTAGCTTCTCAGAAAGCTTCTTTCTAATTTTTTTGTGATGATATTCCCTTTTTCACCATAGGACTCATATCACTCACAAATATTGCTTTGCACATTATAGAAGAACAGAGATTCCAAACTGCTCAAAGAAAAGAAACTTTTACTTCTGTGAGATGAACACAGACATAACAAAGCAGTTTCTCAGAAACCTTCTTTCTAGTTTTTACATGAAGATATTTCTTTTTTCACCATAGGCCTCAAAGCGCTCACAAATATCCCTTTGCAGATTCTAGAAGGACAGACTTTACAAACTGCTATATGAAAGAAAACCTTTATTTTTGTGAGATGAATGGCCACACCACAAAGCAGTTTCTCAGAAAGCTTCTTTCTAGTTTTTATGTGAAGTTATTTCCTTTTTCACAATAGGACTCAAAGTGCTCCCATGTATCCTTTTGCAGATTCTACAAAAAGACTGTCCCCAAAATGCTGAATCAAAAGAATGGTTCGATTCTGTGAGATGAATGTGCACATCACAAAAAAGTTTCTCAGAAAGCCTCTGTCTAGTTTTTATGGGAACATATTTAATTTTTCACCATTGGCCTCAAAGTACTCAAAATATACCTTTGCACATTTTACAAAAACAGAGTTTCCAAATTCCTCAATGAAAATAATGTTTCAACTCTGTGAGGTGAATGCACACATAACAAAGCAGTTTCTCAGAAAGCTTCTTTCTGGTTTTTATTTGAAGATATTTCCTTTTTCACCATAGGCCTCACAGAGCTCAAAAACATGCCTTTGCAGATTTTAGAAGAACAGAGTTTCCAAACTGCTAAATGAAAAAATGGTTCAACTCTGTGAGATGAACACACATATCACAAAGCAGTTTCTCAGAAAGCTTCTTTGTATTTTTTATGTGAAGATATTTCCTTTTTCACCATAGGCCTCAAAGTGCTGCCAAATATCCCTTCATAGATACCACAAAAAGTCTGTTTCCAAACTGCTCAATCAAGAGAATGGTTCAATCCTGTGAGATGAATACACACATAACAGGAGATGTTTCTCAGAAAGTTTCTGTCTAGTTTTTTTAAGAAGATATTTCTTTTCACCATAGGCCTCAAAGCTCTCAAAAATATACCTTTGCAGATTCTACAAAAAGATTTGTTTCCAAACTGCTCCATCAAAAGAATGGTTCAACTCTGTGAGATGAATGCACGCGTGACAAAGAAGTTTCTCAGAAAACTTATATATGGTATTTATGTGAAGATATTTCCATTTTCACCATAGGCCTCAAAGAGCTCCCAAATATCCCTTTGCAGATTCTTCAAGAACAGAGTTCCCAAATTGCTCAATGAAAGGAAACGTTTACTTCTATGAAATGAATGGACACATCACAAAGCAGTTTCTCATAAAGCTTCTGTCCAGTTTCTATGTGAAGACATTTCCTTTTTCACCATATGCTTCAAAGCACTCACAAATATCCCTTTGCAGATTCTACCAGAAAAGAGTTTCAAAACTGCTCAATGAAAAGAATGTTTCAAGACTGTGAGATGAATGCACACATCAGAAAGCAGTCTGCATTAAATCTTCTTTCCAGTTTTTATGTGAAGATATTTCCTTTTTCACCATAGGCCTCAAAGTGCTCATGAATATCTCTTTGCATATTCTACAAAAAGACTGATTCCAAACTGCTCAATCAAAGGAATGTTTCATCCCTGTGAGATGAATGCACACATCCCAAAGATATTTCTCAGAATGGTTCTGTCTAGTTTTTATGAGAAGATATTTCATTTTTTACCATAGTTCTCAAAGTGCTCACAAATATCCGTTTGCAGATTCTAGAAGGACAGAAATTCCAAACTGCTCAATGACAGGAAAATTTACTACTGTGAGATGAATTGACACATCACAAAGCAGTTGCTCAGAAAGCTTCTTTCTACTTTTTATGTGAAGATATTTCCTTTTTCACCATGGGACTCAAAGTGCTCACAAATATCCCTTTGCAGATTCGAGAGGAACTGAGTTTCCAAACTGCTCAATGAAAAGAAACATTTACCTCTTTGAGATGAATGACACATCACAAAGCAGTTTCTCAGAAAACCTCTTTCTAGTTTTTCAGAAACCTTCTTTCTAGTTTTTGTGTGACGATATTTACTTTTTGACCGTAGGCCTCAAAGCACTCACAAATATCCCTTTGCAGATTCTACAAAAACACTGTTTCCATACTAATCAACCAAAAGAATGGTTCATCTCTGTGAGATGAATGCACACATCATAAAGAAGTTCTCAGAATGTTTCTGTCTAATTTTTATGTGAAGATATTTCCTTTTTGACCCTAGGCCTCAATGCATTCATGAGTATCTCTTTGCAGATTCTAGAGAAACAGAGTTTCCAATGTGCTCCATGAATAGAAACGTTTACCTCTGTGAGATGAATACACACATAACTAAGCAGTTTCTCAGAAACCTTATTTCTTTTTTCATGTCAAGGTGTTTCCTTTTTCAACATAGGCCTCAAAGCACTCACAAATATGCCTTTGCAGACACTGCAAAAAGACAGTTTCCAAACTGCTCAATAATTAGAATAGTTCAACTGTGTGGTAGTAATACAAACATCACAAAGAAGTTGCTCACAAACTGCAATCTAGTTATTATGTGAAGATATCAGCTTTTTATCCATAGGCATCAAAGTGCTCACAAATATCCCTTTATAGATCCTAAAAAAGATGTTTTTCAAACTGCTGAATCAAAAAAATGTTTCAACTCTTGAGATGAATGCACATATCACAAAGAAATTTCTCAGAAAGCTTCTGCCTAGTTTTTATGTGAAGGTATTTCCTTTTCCACCATAGGTCTCAAAATGCTCACAAATATCCCTTTTCAGATTCTACAAAAAGAGAGTTTCCAAATTGCTCGATGAAAACAGACATTTACCTCTGTGAGATGAATGCAAACATCACAAAGACGTTTCTCAGAATGCTTCTGTCTAGTTTTAATGTGAAGATATTTCCTTTTTCACCATAGGCCACAAGCTGCTCACAAATATCCCCTTGGAGAATCTACAAAAAGACTGTTTCAAAACTTCTCAATCAAAAGAAAGGTTCAACTCTGTGAAATGAATACACACATCACAAAGAAGTTTCTCAGAAAGCTTCTGCCTCGTTTTTTTTGTGAACATATTTCTTTTTTCACCATAGGCCTCAAACTGCTCACAAATATCTATTTGCAGATTGTACAAAAAGACTGCTTCCAAATTACTCAATCAAAAGTGAGTTTCAACTCTGTGACTTGAATGCACACTTCACAAGAAGTTTCTCAGAAACAGTCTGTCTAGTTTTTATGTGAGGATATTTCCTTTTTCACCATAGGACACAAACTGCTCACAAATATCCCTTTGCAGATTCTACAAAAATACTGTTTTTAAACTGCTCAATCAAAAGAAACTTTAAACTCTGTGAAATGAGTGCCTGCATCACAAAGAAGTTTCTCAGAGAGAATCTGTCTAGTTTTTATGTGAAGATACTTCTTTTTTCACCATAGGCCTCAAATTGCTCACAATTATCCCTTTGCAGATTCTGCAGGAACAGAGTTTCCAATCTGCTCAATGAAAAGAAATGTTTACCTCTGTGAGATGAATATGCACATCATAAAGCAGTTTCTCAGAAACCTTCTTTCTAGTTTTTATATGAAGCTATTTTCTTTTTCACCATAGTCCTCAAAGGGCTCACCAATATCACTTTCCAGATTCTAAAAAAAAAAAAAGTTTCCAAAGTGCTCAATCAAAAGAAAGGTTCAACTCTGTGAGATGAATGCAAAATTCACAAAGAAGATTCTCAGAAAGCTTCTGTCTAGTTTTTATGTGATATTTCCTTTTTCACCCTAGGCCTAAAACAGCTCACAAATATCCCCTTGAAGGTTCTACAAAAAGACCTTTTCCAAACTGCTCAATCAAAAGAAATGTTCAGATCCATGAGATGAATGCACACATCACAAAGAAGTTTCTGAGAAAACTTCTATCTAGTTTTCATGTGAAGATATTTCCTTTTTCACCAGAGGCCTCAAAGCACTCACAAATATCCCTTTGCAGATTCTACAAGAACAGATTTCCCAATCTCCTCCATGAATAGAAACATTTACCTCTGTGAGATGAATGCACACATCACAAAGCAGTTTTTCAGAAACCTTGTGTCTACGTTTTATGTGAAGATATTTCCATTTTCACTGTAGGCCTCAAAGGGCTCACAAATATCACTTTGCAGATTCTACAAAAAGACTGATTCCAAACTGCTCAATCAAAGGACTGGATCAACTCTGTGAGATGAGTGCATACATCATGAAGAAGATTCTCAGAAACCTTCCATATAGTTTTTGTTCAGATATATACTTTTTCAACCTAGGCCTCAAAGCACTCACAAATATCTCTTTGCAGATTCTACAAGAACAGAGTTTCCAATCTGATCAATGCAAAGAAACATTTGCCTCTGTGAGGTGAATGCCCACATCACAAAGCAGTTTCTCAGAAAGCTCCTTGATAGTTTTATGTGAAGATATTTCCTTTATTACCATAGGCCTCAAGGGTTGCACAAATATCCCTTTTCAGATACCACAAAAAGAATGTTTCCAAACTGCTCAATCAAAAGTATGGTTCAACCCTGTGGGATGAATGCACACATCACAAAGAAGTTTCTCAGAAGTTTTTGTCTGGTTTTTATGAGAAGATTATTCCTTTTTCATCATAGGCCTCAAAGCACTCACAAATATCCCTTTGCAGATTCTAGAATTACAGTGTTTCCAAACTGCTCAATGAAAGGAAACGTTTCCTTCTCTGACATGAATGGACACAACACAAAGCAGTTTCTCAGTAAGCTTCTTTCTAGTTTTTATGTGAACATATTTCCTTTTCCACAATAGGACTCAAATCACTCACAAATATCCCTTTGAAGATTCTACAAGAACAGAGTTTCCATACTGCTCAATGAAAAGAAATGTTTACCTCTGTGAGATGATTGCACACTTCACTAAGCAGTTTGATATAAAACTTCTTTATTGTTTTTATATGAAGGCATTTCCTTTCTCACCATGGGCCTCAAAGCACTCAAAAATACCCCATTGCAGATTCTTCAAAAAGACTGTTTCCATACTGCTCAATCAAAAATATTGTCCAACTCTGTGAGATGAATGCACACATCACAAAAAAGTTTCTCAGAAAGCTTCTGTCTAGTTTATATGTGAAGATATTTCCTTTTTCACAAAAGGCCTCAAAGAACTTATGAATATCCCTTTGCAGATTCTACAGAAAGACTGTTTCCAAGCTGCTCAATCAAAAGAATGTTTCAAGTCTGTGACATGAATGCACACATCACAAAGAATTTTCTCAGAAAGCTTCTGTCTTCTTTTTATGTGAAAATACTTCCTTTTTCACCATAGGCCTCAAAGCACTCTAAAATATACTTTCATAGATTATAGAAGAACAGAGTTTCCAAACTGCTGAATGAAAAGAAACGTTTACTTCATTGAGGTGAATGGACACATCACAAGGCAGTTTTTCAGAAAGCTTCTTTCTGGTTTTTATGTGAAGATGTTTCCATTTTCACCATAGGCCTCAAAGCGTTCCACAAATATCCTTTTGCAGATTCTACAAAAAGACTGTTTCCAAACTGCTCAATCAAAAGCATTGTTCATCACTGTGAGTTGAATGCACACATCACAAAGAAGTTTCTCAGAAATCTTCTGTATAGTATTTATGTGAAGATAAATCCTTTTTCACCATGCGACTCAAAGTGCTCACAAATATCCCTTTGCAGGTTCTGCAAGAAGACTGTTTCCAAACTGTTCTATCAAACGAAGAATTCAACTCTGTGAGTTGAATGCACACATCAAAAAGCAGTTTCTCAGAAAGCTTCTTTCTCGGATTGATGTGAAGATACTTCCATTTTCTCCATAGGCCACTAAGCGTCCAAAAATATCCCTTTGCAGATCCTACAAAAAGACTGTTTTCAAACTGCTGAATCAGAAGAATGGTTCAACTCTGTGAGATGAATGCCCTCATCACCAAGTAGTTTCTCAGAAACCTTCTTTCTAGTTTTTATGTGAAGACATTTTATTTTTCACCATAGGCCTCAAAGTGCTTACAAATATACCTTTGCAGGTTCTACAAAAACAGTGTTTCCAAACTGTTCAATTAAAAGAATGTTTCAACTCTCTGTGATGAATGCACACATTACAAAGTAGTTTCTCAGACAGCTTCTGCCTAGTTTTTACATGAAGATATTTCCTTTTTCACCATGGGCCTCCAAGTGCTCACAAATATTTGTTTGCAGGTTCTACAAGAACAGAGTTCCCAAACTGCACAATCAAAAGAATGGTTCAACACTGTCAGATGAATGCACAGACCACAAAGCAGTTTTGAGAAAGCTTCTGTCTAGTTTTTATGTGGAGATAATACCTTTTTCACCATAAGCCTCAAAGGGCTCACAAATATCCCCTAGGACATTCTACAAAAAGACTGTTTCCAAACTGCTCAATCAAAAGAAAGGTTCAAATCTGTGAGATGAATGCACACATCACAAAGCAGTTTCTCAGAAAGAATCTGTCTAGTTTTTATGTGAAGATATTTCCATTTTCTCCATAGGCCTCAAAGCGTTTACAAATATCCCTTTGCAGATACTACAAAAAGATTGTTTCCAAACTGCTCAATCAAAATAATGGTTCAAATCTGTGAAATTAAGGCACACATTAGAAAGCAGTTTTTCAGAAACATTCTGTCTAGTTTTTATGTGAAGATATTTCATTTTTCACCATAGGCCTCAAAGCGATCACAAATATCCCTTTGCAGATTCTACAAAAAGAATGTTTCCACACTGCTCAATCAAAATAATCATTCCACTCTGTGACATGAAGGCACACATTACAAAGCAGTTTCTCAGAAAACTTCTGGCTAGTTTTTATGTGGAGATATTTCCTTTTTCAGCATAAGCCTCAAATGACTCAAAAATATCCCTTTGCAGATTCTACAAAAAGACGCCTTCCAAAGTGCTCAATTGAAAGAATGTTTCAACACTGTGAGATGAATGCATACATCACAAAGAACTTTCTCAGAAAGCTTCTGTGTAATTTTTATGTGAAGATATTTCCTTTTTCACCATAGGCATCAAAGCGCTCACAAATATCTCTTTGCAGATACTGGAAGAACAGAGTTTCCAAAGTGCTTAATGAAAAGAAACATTTAACTCTGTTAGATGAATGCACACATCACAAACCAGTCTCTCAGAAAGCTTCTGCCTGGTTTTTATGTGAAGATATTTCCTTTTTCACCATAGGCATTAAAGCACTCAGAAATATCCCTTTGCACATTCTACAAGAACAGATTTTCCAAACTGCTCAATGAAAAAAAAGTATATCTCTGTGAGATGAATGCAAACACGCAAAGCAGTATCTCAGCAACCTTCTTTCTAGTTTTTATGTGAAGATATTTCCTTTTTCACCATAGGACTCAAAGTGCTCACAAATATGCCTTTGCAGATTCTACCAAAAGATGGTTTCCAAATTGCTCAATCAAAGTGATTGTTCAACTCTGTGACATGAATGCACACATCACAAAGTTTCTCAGAAAGCTTCTGTCTAGATTTTATGTGAAGATATTTCCTCTTTCACCATAGACCTCAAAGTGCTCACAAATATCCCTTTGCAGATCCTAGAGGAACATAGTTTCCAAACTGCTCACTGAAAACTAATGTTTACCTCTGTGAGATGAATGGACACATCATGAAGCAGTTTCTCAGAAAGCTTCTTTCTACTTTTAATGTGAAGATACTTACTTTTTCACCTTAGGCCTCCAAGCACTCCCCAATATCTCTTAGCAGACTCTACAAAAAGACTGTTTAGGAACTGCTCAATCAAAAGAACGGTTCAAGCCTGTGAGAAGAACACACACATCACAAAGAAGTTTCTCAGAAACCTTGTGTCTAGTTTTTCTATGAGGATCTATCCTTAATCACTGTAGGCCTAAAAGTGCTCACAAAAATTGCTTTGAAACTTGTGGTGAAAAAGGAAACATCTTCACATAAAAACTAGAAGGAAGCTTTCTGAGAAACTGCTTTGTGGTGTGTCCATTCATGGCACAGAAGTAAACACATGATTTCATGAGCACTTTGGAAACTTTGTCCTCCTAAAACCTGTAAAGGGATATTGGGAAGCACTTTGAGGTCTATGGTGAAAACGGAAATATCTTCACATAAAAACTAGATAAAAGCTTTCTGAGAAATTGTTTTGTGATGTGTCCATTCATCTCATAGAAGTAAACGTTACTTTTCATTGAGCAGTTTGGAAACTCTGTCCTTCTAGAAGCTGCAAATGGATATTTGTGAGTGCTTTGAGACCAAAGGTGAAAAAGGAAATAACTTCACATAAAAACTAGACAGACTTTCTGAGAAACTTCTTTGTGATGTGTGCATTCATTTCACAGAGTTGAATGATTCTCTTGATTTAGCAGTTTAGAAAGAGTCTTTTTGTAGAATCTGCAAAGGGATATTTGTGAGTGCTTTGAGGTTTACAGTGAAAAGGGAAATATCTTCACATAAAAACTAGACAGAAGCTTTCTGAGAAACTTCTTTGTGATATGTGCATTCATCTCACAGTGCTGAACCATTCTTTTGAATGAGCAGATTGTAAACAGTCTTTTTGTAGAATCTGCAAAGTGATAACTGGGAGCACTTTAAGGCCTATGGTGAAAAAGGAAATATCTTCACATAAAAAGTAGACAGAAGCTTTCTGAGAAACTTCTTTGTGTTGTGTGCTTTCATCTGACAGAGTAGAACTTTCTTTTGATTGAGAAGTTTGGAAACAGTCGTTTTGTGAAATCTGCAAAGGGATATTTGGGAATGCTTTGAGGCCTATGGTGGAAAAGGAAATATCTTCACATAAAAACTAGACAGAAGCATTCTGAGAAACTTCTTTGTGATGTGTGCATTCATCTCACAGAGTTGAACCTTTCTTTTGATTGAGCAGTTTTGCAACACTCTTTCTGTGAAATCTGCAAAGGGGTATTTGGGAATGCTTTGAGGCCTATGGTGAAAAGGGAAAGTCTTCACTTAAAAAATGGAAATAACCTTTCTGAGAAACTGATTTATGATGTGTGCATTCATCTCACAGTGGTAAATTTCTTTTCATTGAGTAGTTTGGAAACTCTGTTCTTGTAGAATCTACAAACGTTTGTTTGTGAGTCCTTTGAGGCCTATGGTGAAAAAGGAAATATCTTCACATAAAAACTAGACAGAAGGTTTCTGAGAAACGTCTTTGTGATATATACATTCATCTCACAGAGTTGAACCACTCTTTTGATTGAGCAATTTTGATACAGTCTTTTTGTAGAATCTACAAAGGGATATTTGGGAGTGCTCAGTGGTCTATGGTGAAAAAGGAAATATCTTCACATAGAAACTAGATAGAGGCTTGATGAGAAACTTCTTTATGATGTTTGCATTCATCTCACAGCGTCAAACCATCCTTTTCATTGAGCAGTTTAGAAACAGTTTTTTTTTAGAAACTGCAAAAGGAGGCTTGCTTGTGAGGGCTTTGTGTCCTATGGTGAAAATGGAAATATCTTCCCATAAAGACTCCAAAGAAGCTTTCTGAGAAAGTGCTCTGTCATTTGTGCATTCATCTCACAGAGGTAAAAGTTTCTTCTCATTCAACACTTTGGAAACTCTGTTCTTCTAGAATCTTCAAAGGGATATTAGTGAGTGCTTTGAGGCCTATGTTGAAAAAGGAAATATCTAGACAATCTTTCTGAGAAACTTCTTTGTGATGTGTGCATTCATCTCAAAGAGCTGAAAAATTTTTTTGATTGAGCAGTTTGGAAAATGCCTTTTTGTGGAATTTGCAAATGTATATTTGTGAGCATTTTGAGGCCTAAGGTGTAAAAGGAAATATCTTCACATAAAAATTAGATGGAAGTTTTCTGAGAAACTTGTTTGTGATGTGTGCATTCATGTCATAGAGTTCAACCATTCTTTTGATTGAGCAGTTTGGAAACAGTGTTTTGTTAGAATCTGCAGAGGGATATTTTGTAGGGCTTTGAGGCCTATGGTGAAAAAGGAAATATCTTCAAATAAAAACTAGAAAGAAGCTTTCTGAGAATCTGATTTGTGATGTGTGCATTCATCTCACAGATGTAAACATTTCTTTTCATTGAGCAGTTTGGATATTCTGTCCTTGTACAATCTGCAAAGGGATATTTGTGAGGGCTCTGAAGCTTATGGTGAAAAAGAAATATCTTCAGCTAAAATCTAAACAAAACTTTCTGAAAACATCTTTGTGATGTGTGCATTCATCTCATAAAGTTGAACCATTCTTTTTATTGAGACTTTTGGCAAGTATTTTTATAGAATCTGCAAAGGGATATTTGGGGGCTCTATGAGGCCTATGGTGAAAACTGAACTATCTTCACATAAAAACTAGACAGAAGCTTTCTGAGAAACTGCTTTGTGATGGGTGCATTCATCTCACAGAGGTAAGCGTTTCTTTTTATTGAGTAGTTTGGAAACTCTGTTCTTGGAGATTCTGCAAAGGGACGTTTGTGAGTGTTTCTAGGCTGATGGTGATAAAGGAAATATCTTCACATAAAAAAAGATTTCTGGGAAACTCCTTTGTGAGTTTTGCATTCGTCTCACAGAGGTAAATGTTTCTTATCATTGAGCAGTTTGGAAACTCTGTTCTTCTAGAATCTGCAAAGGGATATTGTGAGCACTTTGAGGTCATTGGTGAAGAAGTAAATATCTTTACATAAAAACTAGACAAAAGCTTTCTCAGAAACCTCTATATAATGTGTGCATTCATCTCACAGAGGTGAAAAATTCTTTTGATTGAGCAGTTTGGAAACAGTCTTTTTGTGGGATCTGCAAAAGGATATTATGAGCGCTTTGATGCCTATGCTGAAAAAGGAAATATCTTCACACAAAAAGTAGGCAGAAGATTTCTGAGAAACTTCTTTGTGATGTGTGCATTCATCTCACAGAGTTGAACCATTCTTTTGATTGAGCAGTTTGGAAACAGTCTTTTTGTGGGATCTGCAAAGGGATATTATGAGCGCTTTGATGCCTATGCTGAAAAAGGAAATATCTTCACACAAAAAGTAGGCAGAAGATTTCTGAGAAACTTCTTTGTGATGTGTGCATTCATCTCACAGAGTTGAACCATTCTTTTGATTGAGCAGTTTGGAAACAGTCTTTTCGTAGAATCAGCAAAAGGAATTTGGGGAGAGGTTAAAGGCCAGTGGAGAAAAAGTAAATATCTTCACATAAAAACTAGAAAGAAGTTTTGTGAGGAACCACTTTGTGATGTGTACATTCTCCTCACAGAGTTGAACCATTCTTTTGATTAAGCCGTTTGGAATCCATCTTTTTGTAGAATCTGCAGAGGGACATTTCTGAGTGCTTTGAGGCCTATGGTCAAAAAGGAAATATCTTCACAAAAACTAAAGAGAAGCTTTCTGAGAAACTGCTTTGTGATGTGTGCATTCATTTCACAGAGTTGAGCCATTCTTTTCATTGAGCAGTCTGGAACCACTCCTTTTTAGAACCGGCTAAAGTATATTACGGAGCATTTTGAGACCTATGGTGAAAAAAGAAATATGTTCATACGAAAACTAGACAGAAGCTTCCTGAGAAACTTATTTGTGATGTGTGCATACATATCACAGGGTAGAAACATTGTTTTCATTGAGCAGTTTGACAACCGTCTTTTCATAGAATCAGCAAAGGGATATTTGGGATCGTAATGAGTCCTACGATGAAAAAGGAAATATCTTCACTTACAAACTAGACAGAAGGTTTCTGAGAAACTTCTTTGTGAGGTGTGCACTCACTACACAGAGTTGAAGCTTTCTTTTGTTTGAGCTGTTTGGAAACTACCTTTGTGTAGAATCTGCAAAGGGATATTTTCATGCGCTTTTAGGCATATGGTGAAAACAAAATATGTTCACATAAAAACTAGACAGAAGCTTTCTGAGAAACTTCTTTGTGATGTGTGCATTCAACTCACAGTGGTAAATGTTTCTTGTCATTGAGCTGTTTGGAAACTCTATTCTTCCAGAATCTGCAAAGGGATATTTGTGAGCAATTTGAGACCTTTGGTTAAAAAGGAAATATCTTCATTTAAAAACAAGACAGACGCTTTCTGAGAAACTTCGCTGTGATGTGTGCATTCAACTAACAGAGTTGAACCATTCATTTGATTGAGCAGTTTCAAAACAGTATTTTTGTAGAATCTGCAAAGGGATATTTGGGAGTGCTTTGAGGCCGGTGGTAAAAAAGGAAATATCTTCACATAAAAACTAGAAAGAAGCTTTCTGAGAAACTGCTTTGTAATGTGTATATTCATCTCAAAGAGGTAAAAGTTTCTGTTCGTTGAGCAGTTTGGAAACTCTGTTCTTCCAGTATCTGCAAAGGGATATTTCTGAGCACTTTTAGGCCTATGGTGAAATAGGAAATATCTTCATATAAAAACTGGACAGAAGCTTTCTGAGAAACTTCTTCATAATGTGTGCATGCATCTCACAGAGTTGAAGCATTGTTTTGATTGAGCAGTTTGGGAACTGTCATTTTGTAGACTCTGAAAAGGCATACTTGTGTGCGCTTGAGGCCTATGGTGAAAAACTGATATATCTTCACATAAAAACTAGAAAGAAGCTGTCTGTGAAACTGCTTTGTGATGTGTGTATTCATCTCACAGAGTTGAACCATTCTTTTGATTGAGAATTTTGGAAACAGTTTTTTGTAGAATCTGCAAAGGGATATTTGGGAGTGTTTTGAGGCCAGTGGTGAAAAAGGAAATATTGTCACATAAAAACTAGAAAGAAGCTTTTGGAGAAACTATTTTGTAATGTGTGCATTCAACTCACAGAGGTAAAAGTTTCCGTTCATTGAGCAGTTTGGAAACTCTGTTCTTCTAGTATCTGCAAAGGGATATTTGTGAGCACTTTTAAGCCTATGGTGAAATAGGAAATATCTTCATATAAAAACTGGACAGAAGCTTTCTGAGAAACTTCTTCATAAAGTGTGCATGCATCTCACAGAGTTGAAGCATTGCTTTGATTGAGCAGTTTGGAAACTGTCGTTTTGTAGAATCTGCAAAGGCATATTTGTGTGCGCTTGAGGCCTACAGTGAAAAAATGATATATCTTCACATAAAAACTAGAAAGAAATTGTCTGTGAAACTGCTTTGTGATGCGTGTATTCATCTCACAGAGTTGAACCACGCTTTTGATTGAGCAGTTTGGAACAGTCTTTTTGTAGAATCTGCAAAGGGATATTTGGGAGTGCTTTTTGGCCTATGATGAAAAAGGAAACATCTTCACATAAAAACTAGAAAGAAGGTTTCTGAGACACTTCTTTCTGATGTGTGCATTCATCTCACAGAGGTAAATGTTTCTTTTCATTAAGCAGTTTGGAAACTCTGTTCTTTCAGAATCTACAAGGGGATATTTGTGAGTGTTTTGAGGCCTTTGTTGAAAAATGAAATATCTTCACATAAAAACTAACCAGTAGCTTTCTGAGAAACTTCTTTGTGATGTGTGCATTCATCCCACAGAGGTAAACGTATCTTGTCATTGAGCTGTTTGGAAACTCTAATCTTCCAGAATCTGCAAAGGGATATTTGTGAGCACTTTGAGACCTTTGGTTAAAAAGGAAATATCTTCACTTAAAAACTAGACAGAAGCTTTCTGAGAAACTTCCCTCTGATGTGTGCATTCATCTAACAGAGGTGAACCATTCGTTTGATTGAGCAGTTTCAAAACAGTATTTTTGTAGAATCTGCAAAGGGATATTTGGGAGTGCTTTGAGGCCGGTGGTAAAAAAGGAAATATCTTCACATAAAAACTAGAAAGAAGCTTTCTGAGAAACTGCTTTGTAATGTGTACATTCATCTCACAGAGGTAAAAGTTTCTGTTCATTGAGCAGTTTGGAAACTCTGTTCTTCTAGTATCTGCAAAGGGATATTTCTGAGCACTTTTAGGCCTATGGTGAAATAGGAAATATCTTCACATAAAAACTGGACAGAAGCTTTCTGAGAAACTTCTTCATAATGTGTGCATGCATGTCACATAGTTGAAGCATTGCTTTGATGGAACAGTTTGGGAACTGTCATTTTGTAGATTCTGAAAAGGCATATTTGTGTGCACTTGAGGCCTGTATAAAAAAATGATGTATCTTCACATAAAAACTAGAAAGAAGCTGTCTGTGAAACTGCTTTGTGATGTGTGTATTCATCTCACAGAGTTGAACCATTCTTTTGATTGAGCATTTTGGAAACAGTCTTTTTGTAGAATCTGCAAAGGGATATTAGGAAGCGCTTTTTGGCCTATGGTGAAAAAGGAAATATCTTCACATAAAATCTAGAAAGAAGGTTTCTGAGAAACTTCTTTGGATGTGTGCATTCATCTCACAGAGGTAAACGTTTCTTTTCATTAAGCAGTTTGGAAACTCTGTTCTTACAGAATCTGCAAGGGGATATTTGTGAGTGTTTTGAGTCCTTTGGTGAAAAACGAAATATCTTCACATAAAAACTAGACAGAAGCTATCTGAGAAACTTCCTTGTGATGTGTGCGTTCATCTAACAGAGTTGAACCATTCTTTTGATTGAGCAATTTGGAAACAGTATTTTTGTAGAATCTGTGAAGGGATATTTGGGAGTACTTTGAGTCTTATGGTGAAAAAGGAAATATCTTCACACTAAACTAGACAGAAGCTTTCTGAGACACTTCTTTGTGATGTTTGCTTTCATCTCACAGAGTTGAATCTTTCTTTCTATTGAGCAGTTTGGAAACAGTCTTTTTGTAGAATCTGCAAAGGGATATTTGTGAGCAGTTTGAGCCCTATGGTGAAAAAGGAAATATCTTGACATAAAAACTACACAGACACTTTCTGAGAAACTTCTTCATAATGTGTGCATACATATCACACATTTGAACCATTGTTTTGATTGAGCAGTTTGGAAACAGTCTTTTTGTAGAATCTGCAAAGGGACACTTGGGAGCTCTTTGAGGCCTAAGGTGAAAAAGTGAATATCTTTACATACAAACTAGAAACAGGTTTTCTGAGAAACTGCTTAGTGATGTTTGCATTCATCTCACAGAGGTAAATGTTTCTTTTCATTGAGCAGTTTGGAAACTCTGTTCTTCTATAATCTGCAAAGGGATATTTGTGAGACCTTTGATTCCTATGGTGAAGAAGGAAATATCTTCACATAAAAACTAGACAGAATCTTTCTCTGAGACTTCTTTGTGAAGTGTACATTCATTTCACAGAGTTGAAGTATTCTTTTGATTGCCCAGTTTGTAGACAGTCTTTTTGTAGAATTTGCAAAGGGATATTTGGGAGCACTTTAAGGCCTATGGTGAAAAATGAAATATGTTCACATAAAAACTAGACAGAAGCTTTCTGAGAAAATTCCTTTTGATTTGGGGATACATCTCACAGAGTTGAAGCATTGTTTTGATTGAGCAGTTTGAAAACCATCTTTTTGTAGAATCTGCAAAGGAGTATTTGGTAGCACTTTGAGGCCTATGGCTAAAATAGAAATATCTTCTCATGAGAACTAGAATGAAGCTTTCTGAGAAACTGCTTTGTGATGTGTGCATTCACATCATATGGATAAAACTTTCTTTTCACTTAGCAGTCTGGAAAAACTATTTTGGCAGAATCCCCAAAGGGATGTTTTGGAGCACACTGAGACCTGTGGTGTAAAGGAACTATCTTCAGATAAAAGTTAGAAAGAAGCTCTCTGAGAAACAGCTCTGTGATGTGTGCATTCATCTCACACTGTTAAACCTCTCTTTGGATTCATCAGTTTTAAAAAACTGTTGTTGTGGATTCTGTGATGGGATATTTGGGAGCTCACTGAGGCCAATGGCAGTAAAGCAAATATTCCAGGGGAAAAAAAAACTAGAAGAAATTAATCTGAGAAACCTCTTGGTGATGTGTTCATTCATCTCACAGAGTTAAACATTTCTTGTCATTCAGCAAGTTGGAAACACTGTTTTTGTAGAACCTGTGAAGAGATATCTGGAGTGCATTGAGGCCTATGGTGAAAAAGGAAATATCTTCTGATAAAAACTAGAAAGAAGTTTTCACAGAAACTGCTTTGTGATGTGTGCATTCATCTTGCAGAGTTAAACCTTTATTTAGATTCAGCAGTTTGAAAACCCCGTTGTTGTAGAATCTGCAAACGGATATTTGGGAGCTCCTTGAGACCAATGATGAGGAAGACAACATCCCAGGATAGAAACTAGAAGAAAGCTATCTGAGATACTACTTTGTGATGTGTGCATTCATCTCAAAGAGTTAAAACTGTCCTTTCATTCTGCAATCTGTAAACACTGTTTTGGAAGAATTCATGAAGGGATATTGGGGAGCACATTGAGGTCTGTGGTGAAAAAAACTTCAGATAAAAATTAAAAGAAGTTTCTGAGAAACAGCTTTGAGATGTGTGCGTTCACCTCACAGAGTTAAACCTTTCTTTGGATTCAGCAGTTTGGAAACACTGTTGTTGTAGAATCTGTGAAGGGAAATTTGGGAGCTAAATTAGGCAAAAGGGGAAAAACCAACTATCCCAGGATAAAAACTAGAAGGAAGCTATTTGAGAAACCACTTTGTGATGTGTGCATTCCTCTCACAGAGTTAAACCTTTCTTTTCATTCAGCAGTTTGGAAACACTGTTTTCGTAGAATCTGCGAAGTGATATCTGGGAGCGCATTGAGGCTTATGGTGAAAAAGGAAATATCTTCAGATAAAAAGTGGAAAGAGGCTTCCTGAGAAACTGCTTTGTGATTTGTGCATTCATCTCACTGTGTTAAACCTTTCTGTGGATTCAGAAGATTGCAAATACTGTTTTTGTCCATTCTGCAAATGTATATTGGGGAGCTCATTCAGGCCAATGACGAAAAAGTGAATATCCCCAAATAAAAACTAGAAGAATACTATTTGAGAAATCACTTTCTTAAGTGTGCATTCACCTCACAGAGATAAAAAGTTCTTTTCACTCAGCAGTCTGAAAACACTGTTTTGGCAGATTCTGCAAAGTTATATTTGGGAGCTCATTGAGGCCTATGTTGAAAAAGGAAATATGTTCAAATGAAAATTAGAAAGAAGCTTTCTCAGAAACTGCTCTGTGATGTGTGCATTCATCTCATAGAGTTAACTTTTGATTCAGCAGTTTGAAAACACTGTTAATTTAGAATATGCAAATGGATATTCAGGAGCTCATTTAGGCCAATGGCAAAAAAGAAAATATACTAGAAACAAATAGAAGAAAGCAATCTGAAAAACCACTTTGTGATGTGTGCATTCATTTCACAGAGTTAAACATTTCTTTTGTTCAGCAGGTTGGAAACACTGTTATCATAGAATCTGTGAAAGGATATCTTGGAGTGCTTTGAGGCCTATGGTGAAAAAGGAAATATCTTTTTTTTTTTTTTTAGTATTTATTAATCATTCTTTGGTGTTTCTCAGAGAGGGGGATGTGGCAGGGCCATAGGATAATAGTGGAGAGAAGGTCAGCAGATAAACATGTGAACAAAGTTCTCTGGTTTTCATAGGCAGAGGTCCCTGCGGCCTTCCACAATGTTTGTGTCCCTGGGTACTTGAGATTAGGGAGTGGTGATGACTCTTAACGAGCATGCTGCCTTCAAGCATCTGTTTAACAAAGCACATCTTGCAGCACCCTTAATCCATTTAACCCTGAGTTGACACAGCAAATGTTTCAGAGAGCACGGGGTTGGGGGTAAGGTTATAGATTAACAGCATCCCAAGGCAAAAGAATTTTTCTTAGTACAGAACAAAATGGTGTCTCCTATGTCTACTTCTTTCTACACAGACACAGTAACAATCTGATCTCTCTTTCTTTTCCCCATATTTCCCCCTTTTCTTTTTGACAAAACCGCCATCATCATCTGCGAAGGTATGTATAGGAGGGCTTTGAGGCCTATGGTGAAAAAGAAAATATCTTCAGATAAAAACTAGAAAGAAGCTTTCTGAGAAACTGCTCTGTGATGTGTGCATTCATCTCACAGGTTTCAACTTTTCTTTGGATTCAGCAGTTTACAAACACTGTTTTTGTCCCTTCTGCTAATGGACATTTGGGAGCTCATTTAGTCCAAAGGTGAAAAAGTGAATATCCAAGGATAAAAACTACAAAGGAGCTATCTGAGAAAAAGCTTTGTGATGTGTGCATTCACCTTACAGAGTTAATACTTTCTTTTCATACACTAGTTTGGAATACTGCACTGGCAGAATCCACAAATGGATGTTTGAGAGCACATTGAGGCCTATGGTGAGAAAGGAAATACTTTCAGGTAAAAACTAGAAAGAAGCTTTCATAAAAACTGCTTTATGAGGTGTGCATTCATCTCAAAGGGGTAAACCTTTCTTTGGATTCAGTAGTTTTGAAACACTGTTGTGGAATTGTCTGCAAAGGGATATTTGGAGCTTAATGAAATGAAAGGAATGAAACCGTACTTCCCAGGAAGAGAACTAGAAGAAAGCTATCTGAGAAATGGCTTTGTGATGTGTACATTCATCTCTCAGAGTTAAACATTTCTTTTCATTTAGCAGTTTGGAAACACTGTTTTTCTGCAAAGTTATATTTGGGAGCACATTGGGTCCTATGGTGAAAAAGGAAATATCTTCAGATAAAAACAAGGAATGAGCTTTCTGAGAAACTCCTTTGTGAAGTGTGCATTCATCTCACAGAATTAAGCCTTTTTTTCATTCAGCAATTTGGAAACACTGTTTATGTAGAAAATATGCAGTGATATCTGGAGCACATTAAGGCCTATGGTGAAAAAGGAAATAACTTCAGATTAAAACTAGAAAGAAGCTTTCTGAGAAACTTCTTTGAGATATGTGCATTCACCTCACAGAGCTTTCCCTGGATACAGCAGTTTGGAAACACTATTGTAGAATCTGCAAAGGGATATTTGGGAGCTCATTGAGGCCCACGATGAAAAAGTGAACATTCCAGGATTAAAACTAGAAGGAAGCTATTTTTGAAACCGCTTTGTGATATGTGCATTCACTTCATAGAGATAAACCTTTCTTTTCATTCAGCCGTTTGGAAACACTGTTTTGGTAGAATCTGTGATGCAATATCTGGGAACGCATTGAGGCCTATGATGAAAAAGGAAATATCTTCAGATAAAAACTAGAAAGAAGTTTTCTGAGAAACTGATTTGTGATGTGTGCATTCACTTCACAGAGTTAAATCTTTCTGTGGATTCAGCAGTTTGCAAACACTGATTTTGTCCATTCTGTCAATGGACATTTGAGAGCTCATTGAGGCTGATGGCGAAAAAGTGAATATCCCAGGACAAAAACTAGAATGAAGCTAACTGAGAAACAGCTTTGTGATGTGTGCATTCACCTAGAACATTTAAAACCTTTTCATTCAGCAGTCTGGAGACACTACTTTGGCATAATCCACAATGGGATATTTGGGAGCGCACTGTGGCCTAAGGTGAAAAAGGAAATATCTTCAGATAAAAACTATAAAGAAGCTTACTGAGAAAATGCTTTATGATGTGTGTATTCATTTCACAGAGTTAAACCTTTCTTTGAATTGAGCATTTTGGAAAAACGGTTGTTGTAGAATCTGTGAAGGGAAATTTGGGAGCTATTGAGGCCAATGGCGACAAAGGGAATATCCCAGGAAAAAAAACTAGAAGGAAGCTATTTGAGAAACTGCTTTGTGATGTGTGCATTCATCTCACAGAGATAAACCTTTCATCTCATTCAGCAGTTTGGAAACACTGTTTTTGTAGAATCTTTGAAGGGATAACTGGGAGCACATTGAGGCCTATGCTGAAAAAGGAATTATTTTCAGATAAAAACTAGAAAGAAACTTTCTGAGAAACTGCTTTGTGATGTGTGCATTCACTTCACAGAGTTCAACATTTCTGTGGATTCAGTCATTTGCAAATACTGTTTTTGTCCATTTTGCGAATGAACCTTTGGGAGTTCATTGAGGCCAAAGGCCAAAAAGCTAATATCCCAGCATAAAAACTGGATAAAAAGTTATCTGAGAATCTGGTTTGTGATGTGTACATTCAGCTCGCAGTAATAAACATTTCTTTTCATTCAGCAGTCTGGAAACACTCTTTTGGCACGTATCTGACAAACTGCCTTGTGAGGTCTACCTTCATCTATCAGAGTTAAACCTTTATTTTCATTCAGCAGTTTCAAAACACTGTTTTGGTATAACCTGTGCTCCCAAATATATGGGAGTACCTTGAGTCCTATGATGAAAAAGGAAATATCTTCAGATAAAAGCTAGACAAAAGCTTTCTGAAAAACTGCTTTGTAATATGTGCATTCTTCTCACACGGTTAAAACTTTCCTTGCGTTCAGCAGTTTGGAAACACCGTTTTTGTAGAATCTGTGAACAGATATTTTGGAGCTCATTGAGGCCATTGGCAAAAAAGCAAACATCCCAGGATTGAAACTAGAAGGAAGCTATTTGAAAAACCACTTTGTGATGTGTGCATTCATCTCACAGAGATAAAACTTTCTTTTCATTCAGCAGTTTAAAAATACTGTTTTTGTAGTATCTAAGAAGGGATATTTTGGAGCAAATTAAGGCCTATTGTGAAAGGGGAAATATCTTCAGATAAAAACCAGAGGGAATCTTTCTGAGAAACTGCTTTGTGATGAGTGCATTTATCTCAGAGTTAAAAGTTTCCTTAGAATCAACAGTTTGGAAACACTGTTTTTGTCCATTCTATGAAAGGACATTTCAGATCTCATTGAGGCCAAAGCAGAAAAGCCAATATCCCCAGATAAATACTAGAAGAAATCTATCTGACAATCAGCTTTGTGCTGTGTGATTTCAGCTCACAGTGTTAAACCTTTCTTTTCATTCAGCAGTTTGGAAAAACTGTTTTCAAAGAATCTGCAAAGGGATATTTGGGAGCTCAAGGAGGCCTACAATGAAAAAGGAAATATCTTCAGATAAAAACTACATGGAAGCTTTCTGAAAATCTACATTGTGATGTGTGCATTCATCTCACAGAGTTAAACCTTTCTTTGGATTCAGCAGTTTGGAAACACTCTTTTTGTCCATTCTGTGAATGGACATTTGGGAGGTCATTGAGTTCAAAGGTGAAAAAGAGAATATCCCAGAATTAAAACTAGAAGAAAGCTATCTGAGAAACCGCTTTGTGATGTGTGCATTCATCTTGCAAAGTTAAACTTTCTTTTCATTCAGCATTGTGGAAACACTATTTTCATAGAAACTTCAAAGGGATATCTGGAAGTGCATTGAGGCCTATGGTGAAAAAGGAAATATACTCAGATAAAATCTAGAAAGAAGTTCTCTGAGAAACTGCTTTGTGAAGTGTTCATTCAGCTCACAGAGATAATTCTTTCAGTGAAATCAGCATTTTGCCAACACTGTTTTCACCCATTCTGCAAAAGGACATTTGATAGTTCATTAACAACAATGGTGAAAAAGCAAATATCACAGGAGAAAAACTTGAAGAAAGCTATCTGAGAAACTGCTTTGTGATGTGTGCATTCATCTGGGAGAGTTAAAACTTTCTTTTCATGCAGCAGTTTGGAAACAGTACTTTGGCAGAATCCGTGAATGAACATTTGGAATTGCATAGAGGACTATGGTGATAAAGGAAATATCTTCAGAAAAAACAAGATAGAAGATTTACGAGAAAGTGCTTTGTGATGTCTGCATTCATCTCTAAGAGTTGAACCATTCTTTGGATTCAGCAGTGTAGAAACACTGTTTTTGTCCATTCTATGAATGGACATTTGGGAGCTCATTGAGGCCAAGGTGAAAAAGTGAATATCCAAGGATAAAACTTAGAAGAAAGGTATCTGAGAAACCGCTTTGTGATGTGTGCATTTAAATCTCAGAATCGTCTTGGTAGAATGGAAACATCATCTTGGTAGAATCTGTAAAGGGATATTTGGGAGCGCATTTAGGTCTATGGTGAAAAAGGAAATATCTTCAGATAAAAAGCAGAAAGAAGTTTTATGAGAAATTGCTTTGTGATGTGTGCATTCATCTACCAGAGTTAAACAGTTTTTGGATTCAGCAGTTTTCAAACAATGTTTTTGTAGAATCCGCGAAGGGATATTAGAGAGCTCATTGAAGCCAAAGGCCAAAAAGTAAATATGCCATGAAAAAAATTAGAAGGAATCTATCTGAAAAACCGCTTTGTGATGTGAGCATTCATCTCACAGAGTTAAACCTTTATTTTCATTCAACAGGTTGGAAACACTCTTTTTGTAGAAACTGTGAAGGGATATTTGGGAGTGCATTTAGGCTTATGGTAAAAAGGAAATATCTTCTGTTGAAAACTAGAAAGAAGCTTTCTGAGAAACTGCTTTGTGATGTATGCATTCATATCACAGAGTAAAACCTTTCTTTGGATTCACCAGTTTGGAAACACTGTTATTGTAGAATGTGCAAAGGGATATTTGGCAGCTCATTGTGGCCATCTGAGAAAAAGTGAATATCCCAGTATAAAGACTAGAAAGAAACTACTTGAGAAACCACTTTGTAATGTGTGCATTCACTTCGCAGAGTTAAAACTTTCTTTTCATTCAGCAGTTTGGAACCACTGTTTTCATAGAATCTGTGAAAGTATATATAGGAGGGCTTTGAGGCCTATGGTGAAAAAGAAAATAACTTCAGATCAAAACTAGAAGGAAGCTTTCTGAGAAACTGCTTTGTGATGCGTGCATTCATCTGACAGATTTCAACATTTCCTTGGATTCAACAGTTTGTAAACACTGTTTTAGTAGAATCTGCCAAGGGATATTTCATAGCTCATTGAGGCCATAGGTGAAAAAGTGAAAATCCCCGGATAAAAACTAGAAGGAAGCTATCTGAGAAACCACTTTGTGATGTATCCATTCATCTAGCAGAGTTAAACCTTTCTTTTCATTCAGCATTGTGGAAACACTGTTTGCATAGAATATGCAAAGAGAAATTTCAAATCACTTTTAGGGCTATGGTAAATGAAATTGTGGCAATAATAAATAGCTTACCAACCAAAAAGAGTCCAGGACCAGATGGATTCACAGCCGAATCCTACCAGAGGTACAAGGAGGAGCTGGTACCATTCCTTCTGAAACTATTCCAATCAATAGAAAAAGAGGGAATCCTTCCTAACTCTTTTAATGAGGCCAGCATCATCCTGATACCAAAACCGGGCAGAGACACAACCAAAAAGAGAATTTTAGACCAATATCCTTGATGAACATTGATGCAAATATCCTCAATAAAATACTGGCAAACTGAATCCAGCAGCACATCAAAAAGCTTATCCACCATGATCAAGTGGGCTTCATCCCTGGGATGCAAGGCTGGTTCAATATATGCAAAACAATAAATGTAATCCAGCATATAAACAGAATCAAAGACAAAAACCACATGATTATCTCAATAGATGCAGAAAAGGCCTTTGACAAAATTCAACAACACTTCATGCTAAAAACTCTCAATAAATTAGGTATTGATGGGTTGTATCTCAAAATAATAAGAGCTATCTATGACAAACCCACAGCCAATATCATCCTGAATGGGCAAAAACTGGAAGCATTCCTTTTGAAAACTGCCACAAGACAGGGATGCCCTCTCTCACCACTCCTATTCAACATAGTGTTGGAAGTTCTAGCCAGGGCAATTAGGCAGGAGAAGGAAATAAAGGGTATTCAATTAGGAAAAGAGGAAGGCGAATTGTCCCTGTTTGCAGACGACATGATTGTATCTCTAGAAAACCCATTGTCTCAGCCCAAAATCTCCTTAAGCTGATAAGCAACTTCAGCAAAGTCTCAGGATACAAAATCAATGTAAAGAAATCACAAGCATTCTTATACACCAACAACAGACAAACAGAGAGACAAATCATGAGTGAACTTCCATTCACAATTGCTTCAAAGAGAATAAAATACCTAGGAATCCAACTTACAAGGGATGTGAAGGACCTCTTCAAGGAGAACTACAAACCACTGCTCAAGGAAATAAAGAGGATACAAACAAATGGAAGAACATTCCATGCTCATAGGTAGGAAGAATCAATATTGTGAAAATGGCCATACTGCACAAGGTAATTTACAGATTCAATGCCATCCCCATCAAGCTACCAGTGACTTTCTTCACAGAATTGGAAAAAACTACTTTGAAGTTCATATGGAACCAAAAAAGAGCCCGCATTGCCAAGTCAATCCTAAGCCAAAAGAACAAAGCTGGAGGCATCACGCTACCTGACTTCAAACTATACTACAAGGCTACAGTAACCAAAACAGCATGGTACTGGTACCAAAACAGAGATATAGATCAACGGAACAGAACAGAGCCCTCAGAAATAATGCCACATATCTACAACTGTCTGATCTTTGACAAACCTGAGAAAAGCAATGGGGAAAGGGTTCCCTATTTAATAAATGGTGCTGGGAAAACTGGCTAGCCATATGTAGAAAGCTGAAACTGGATCCCTTCCTTACACCTTATACAAAAATTAATTCAAGATGGATTAAAGACTTAAACATTAGACCTAAAACCATCAAAACCCTAGAAGAAAACCTAGGCGTTACCATTCAGGACATGGGCATGGGCAAATACTTCAT
The DNA here is from genome assembly GCF_000001405.40 of Homo sapiens. NCBI lineage: Eukaryota > Metazoa > Chordata > Mammalia > Primates > Hominidae > Homo > Homo sapiens. The sequence continues at coordinate 48,700,895 of NC_000011.10, read as the reverse complement.
GTCTAAAACACCAAAAGCAATGGCAACAAAAGCTAAAATTGACAAATGGGATCTAATTAAACTAAAGAGCTTCTGCACAGCAAAAGAAACTACCATCAGAATGAACAGGCAACCTACAACATGGGAGAAAATTTTCGCAACCTACTCATCTGACAAAGGGCTAATATCCAGAATCTACAATGAACTCAAACAAATTTACAAGAAAAAAAAACAAGCAACCCCATCAAAAAGTGGGCAAAGGACATGAACAGACACTTCTCAAAAGAAGACATTTATGCAGCCAAAAAACACATGAAAAAATGCTCATCATCACTGGCCATCAGAGAAATGCAAATCAAAACCACAATGAGATACCATCTCACACCAGTTAGAATGACAATCATTAAAAAGTCAGGAAACAACAGGTGCTGGAGAGGATGTGGAGAAATAGGAACACTTTGACACTGTTGGTGGGACTGTAAACTAGTTCAACCATTGTGGAAGTTAGTGTGGCGATTCCTCAGGGATCTAGAACTAGAAATACCATTTGACCCAGCCATCCCATTACTGGGTATATACCCAAAGGACTATAAATCATGCTGCTATAAAGACACATGCACACGTATATTTATTGTGGCATTATTCACAATAGCAAAGACTTGAACCAACCCAAATGTGCAACAATGATAGACTGGATTAAGAAATTGTGTCATATATACACCATGGAATACTATGCAGCCATAAAAAATGATGAGTTCATGTCCTTTGTAGGGACATGGATGAAACTGGAAATCATCATTCTCAGTAAACTATCACAAGAACAAAAAACCAAACACTGCATATTCTCACTCATAGGTGGGAATTGAACAATGAGATGACATGGACACAGGAAGGGGAATATCACACTCTGGGGACTGTTGTGCGGTGGGGGGAGGGGAGAGGGATAGGATTGGGAGATATACCTAATGCTAGATGACGAGTTAGTGGGTGCAGCACACCTGCATGGCACATGTATACATATGTAACTAACCTACACATTGTGAACATGTACCCTAAAACTTAAAGTATAATAATAATAAATGAATTAATTAATAAATAAATAAATAAAAGAAAAAAGAAAAAAAAGGAAATATTGTCAGATAAAAAGTAGAAAAAATCTTTCTGAGAAACTGCTTTGTGATGTGTGCATTCATCTCATAGAGATAAACATTTCTTTTACTTCGTCAGTTGGGAAACACTGTTTTTGTCCATTCTGCGAATGGATATTTGGGAGCTCATTCAGGCCAAAGGTGAAAAAGTGGTATTTCAGATAACTCCCTTCTAGTTTTTACCCTGGGATATTCGCATTTTTGCCATCGTCCTCAATGAGCTCCCAAATGTCCATTTGCAGAAAGAACAAAAACAGTGTTTCCAAACTGCAGAATCAAAAGTAATGTATATATCTCTGTGAGATGAATGCACCTTTCAAAAGCAGTTTGTCAGAAAGCTTCTTTGTAGTTTTTATCTGAGGATATTTCTTTTTCACCATACTCCACAATGCACAATGAAATATAACCTTGCAGATCCTACAAAACGGCATTTCCAAACTGCTGAATGTTAAGAAAATTTTAACTTTTGGAGATCAAGACACACATCTCAGAGAGGTTTCTCAGATACTTTCCTTCTGTTTTTATGCTAGAATATTCACTTTTTTGCCTTTGGCCTCAATGACCTGCCAAATATCCCTTCGCAGATTCTACAAAAACAGTGTTTCCAAACTGGTGAATACAAAGAAGGTTTTAACTCTGTGAGTGGAATACACACACAACAAAGCTGTTTCTCAGAAACCTTCTTTCTAGTTTGCATCTGAAGATAGTTCCTTTTTCACTATAGGACTCAAAGCATTCCCATATATCCATTCACAGATTTTAAAATACAATGTTTCCAAACTGCTGAATGAAAATAAAGGTTTAACTCTGTGAGATGAATGCACACATAACAAAGCGATCTCAGATAGTTTCCTTCTAGTTTTTATCCAAGGATATTTGCTTTTTTGCCATTGGCCTCAATGTGCTCCCAAATGTCCATTGACAGAATGGACAAAAACATTGTCTCTAAACTGCTGAATCCAAAGAAAGGTTTAACTCTGTGTGATGAATGCACTCATCTCAAAGAAGTTTCTCAGAAAGCTTCTTTCTAGTTTCTATCTGAACATATTTCATTTTTCACCATAGGCCTCAATGGTCTCCCAAATACCCCTTTGCAGATTTTACAAAACAGTGTTTCCAAACTGCTGAATTAAAAGAAAGTTTAACTCTGTGAAGTGAATGCACATATAACCAAGTGGTTTCTCAGATAGTTTCCTTCTGGTTTGTATCCTGGGATATTTGCTTTTTTGCCTTTGGCCTCAATGAGCTCCTAAATACCCCTTTACAAATTCTACAAAAATAGCGTTTCCATACTGCTGAATCCAAAGAAATGTTTAACTCTGTGTGCTGAATGTACACATCACAAAGCAGTTTCTCAGAAAGTTTCTTTCTAGTTTTTTACTGAAAATACTTTCTTTTTCAACATAGGCATGAATGCGTGCCCCAATATCCCTTTGCAGATTCTACAAAAACAGTGTTTCAAAACTGCTGAATGAAAAGGAAGGTTTAACTCTGTGAGATGAATGCACACATCACAATGCAGTTACTCAGAGAGGTTCTTTCAAGTTTTTATCCTGAGATATTCACTTTTTCACCATTGGCCTCAATGAGCTGCCAAATGTCCATTGGTAGAATGGACAGAAACAGTGTTTCCCAAATGCCGTATCCAAAGACATGTTTAACTCTGTGACATGAAAGCACACATCACAAAGCAATTTGTCAGAATGCTTCTTTCTAGTATTTATATGAAGATATTTCTTTTTCACCATAGGCCTCAATGCACCCCCATATATCCTTTTGCAGATTCTACCAAAATATGTTTCAAACTACTGAATGAAAAGAAACGTTTAACTCTGTCAGATGAAGGCACACATCACAAAGCAATTTGTCAGAATGCTTCTTTCTAGTATTTATATGAAGATATTTCTTTTTCACCATAGGCCTCAATGCACCCCCATATATCCTTTTGCAGATTCTACCAAAATATGTTTCAAACTACTGAATGAAAAGAAACGTTTAACTCTGTCAGATGAATGCACACATCACAAAGAATATTCTCAGATAGCTTATTCTAGTTTTTATCGTGGGATATCTGCTTTTCCACCTTTGGCTCCAATGAGCTCCCAAATATCCCTTCACAGATTCTACAAAAACAGTGTTTCAAAACTGCTGAATGAAAAACAAGTTAACTCTGAGAGATGAATGCACACATCCCAAAGTGGTTTGTCAGATATCTTTCTTCTACTTTTTATCCTGTGATGTTCACTTTTTCACCATTGGTTTCAATGGTCTCCCAATTGTCCATTCTGTGAAAGGGACAAAAACACTGTTTCCAAAATGATGACTCAAAAGAAAGGTTTAACTCTGTGAGATGAATGCACACATTACAAAGAAGTTTGTCTGAATGCTTTTTTCTAGTTTTCATCTAAAGATAGATCCTTTTTCACCGTAGGCCTCAATGCACTCCAAAATATCCCATCGCAGATTCCACCAAAACAGTGTTTCCAAACTGCTGAATGAAAAGAAAGGTTTAACTGTGAGATGAATGCACACATAACTAAGTGGTTTCACATATAGCTTCCTTCTAGTTTTTATCCCAGGCTGTTCCCTTTTTTGCATTTGGCCTCAATGAGCTCCCAAATGTCCCTTTGCAGACTCTACAAAACAGTGTTTCCTAACTGCTGAATAAAAAGAAAGGTTTAACTCTTCAGGATGAATGCACACATAACCCAGTGGTTTCTCAGATAGCTTCCTTCTAGTTTTTATCCCAGGGTATTCACTTTTTCACCTTTGGCCTCAATGCGCTCCCAACTACCTCTTCACAGATTCGACAAAAACAGTGCTTCCATAGTCCTGAATCCAAAGAAACATTTGAGTCTGTGAGATGAAGGCACACATCTCAAAGCAGTTTCTCAGAATGCTTCTTTCTACTTTTTAACTGAAGATATTTTCTTTTTCACCATAGGCCTCAATGCACCCCCTCAATATCCCTTTGCAGTTTCTATGAAAACAGTGTTTTCAAACTGCTGAATTAAAAGGAAGGTTTAACTCTGTGAGATGAATGCACACATCACAGAGCAGTTACTCAGATAGCTTCCTTCAAGTTTTTATCCTGGGATAATCACTTTTTCAACATTGTCATCAATGAGCTGCAAAAAGTCCAAATGTTTCCAAAATGCTGAATCCAAACAAAGGTTTAAATCTGTGTCATGAAAGCACACATCACCAAGCAGTTTCTCAGAAAGATTCTTTCTGGTTTTTATCTGAAGATATTTCCTTTTTGACCATAGGCCTCAATGCACCCCCACATACCCCTTCACAGATTGTACTAAGGTGTGTTTCCAAACTGCTGAATTAAAAGAAACGTTTAACTCTGTGAGATGGATGCACACGTAACAAGACTGTTTCTCAGATAGCTTCCTTCTGGTTTTTATCCTGGAATATTCACTTTTTTGCCTTTGGCCTCAATGAGCTCCAAAATATCCCTTTTTGTATTCTACAAAACAGTGTTACCAAACTGCTGAATCAAAAAAACGTTTAAGTCTGTGAGATGAATGCACACATCACAAAGCAGTTTCTCAGAAAGCTTCTTTCTAATTTTTTTCTGAAGATATTTCTTTTTTCACCATAGGCCTCAATGCACAACCAAATATCTCTTTGCAGATTCTACAAAGACAGTGTTTCCAAACTGCTGAATGAAAAGAAATGTTTAACTCTGCTAGATGGATGCACACATAACAAAACTGTTTCTCAGATTGTTCCTTCTTGTTTTTATCCTGGGATATTTGTTTTTTTACCATTGGCCTCAATGAGCCCACAAATATCCAGTTCCAGAATGGTTAAAACAGTGTTTCCAAACTGCTGAATCCAAAGAAAGGTCTTACTCTCTGAGATGAATGCACACATCCCAAGCAAGTTTCTCATTAAGCTTCTCTCTGGTTTTTGTCATGGGATATTCACTTTCTCACCTTTTGCCTCATTAAGTTCCCAAATATTTCTTCCCAGATTCTACAAGAACAGTGTTATCAAACAGATCAATCCAAAGAAAGGTTTAACTCTGTAAGTTGAATGCACACATCACAAAGCAGTTTCTCAGAAAGTTTCTTTCTAGTTTTTTTCTGAAGATATTTCCTTTTTCATCATAAGCCTCAATGCCCTCCAAAATATCCCTTCACAGATTCTGCCAAAACAGTGTTTCCAGAATGCTGTATTAAAGGAAAGTTTTAACTCTCCTAGGTGAAAGCACACTTCAGAAAGCAGTTTCTCAGATAGCTCCACTCTAGTTTTTATCTGAGGATATTTGCAGTTTCACCATTGGCCTTAATGAGTTTCCAAATGTCCATTTGCAGAATGGACAAAAATAGTGTTTGCAAACTACTGAATCCACAGAAAGTTTAAACACTCTGAGAAGAATTCACTTATCACAAAGCAATTTCTCATAAAGCTTCTTTCTAGTTTTTATCTGAAGATATTTCCTTTCTCATCTTAGACCTCCATGCGCTCCAAGATATCACTTTGCAGATTCTACAAAAACAGTGTTTCCAAGCTGCTGAATGAAAAGAAAGTTTTAACTCTGTGAGGTGAATGCACACATCACAAAGCAGTGTCTCAGATAGCTTCCAGCTAGTTTTTTTCCTGGGATATTTGCTTTTTTGCCATTGGCCTCATTAAGCTCCAATATATCCCTTCGCAGATTCTTCAACAACAGTGTTTCCAAACTGCTGAATCCACAGAAAGGTTTAACTCTGTGAGATGAATGCACACATCACAAAGCAGTTTCTCAGAAAGCTTCTTTCTAGTTTTTATCTGAAGGTATTTCCTTTTTCACCATAGTCTTCTATGCATTCCCAGATATCACTTACTATATTTTACAAAAACAGTTTTTCCAAACTATTGAATGAAAACAAAGTTTTAACTCTGTGACATGAATGTGCATATCACAAAGCAGTTTCTCAGGTAGCTTCCTTCTAGTTTTTATTCTGGGATATTTGTTTTTTCACCATTGGCCTCTATGAACTCCCAAATGTCCTTTCACAGAATGGAGAAAAACAGTGTTAGCAAATGGCTGAATCCACAGAAAAGCTTAACTCTGTGAGGTGAATGCTCATATGACAAATCAGCTTCTCACAAAGCTTCTTTCTTGATTTATCTAATGATATTTCATTTTTCACCATGGACCTCAATGTGCTCCCAGGTATAACTTTACAGATTCTATGAAAACAGTGTTTCCAAACTGCTAAATAAAAGCAAGGTCTAACTCTGAGATGTGAATGCACACATCACAAAGCAGTTTCTACTTTTTTTTCCTGGGATATTTGCTTTTTTGCCATTGGCATCATTAAGATCCCAGATATCGCATTGCAGATTCTACAACAACAGTGTTTCCAAAATGCTGAATCCAAAGAAAGGCTTAACTCTGTGAGATGAATGCACATATCACAAAGCAGTTTCTCAGAAAGCTAGTTTCCAGCTTTTATCTGATGATATTTACTTTTTCACCTTAAGACTCAATGTGCTCCCAAATATCCCTTTGTGGATTCTGCCAAAGCAGTGTTTCCAGACTGCTGCATGAAAAGAAAGTTTTAACTCTGTGAGGTGAATGCTCCATTCATGAAGCGGTGTCTCAGGTAGTTTTTATTAGTTTTTATCCTGGAATATTTGGTTTTTTTGCCATTGGCCTCAATGAGCTCCCAAATGTCTATTCACAGAATGGATCAAAACAATGTTTGCAAACTGCTGAATCCACAGAAATATTGAACTCTGTGTGATGAATTCACACATCACAAAGCAGTTTCTCAGAAAGCTTCTTTGTAATTTTTATGTGAAGATATTCCCTTTTTCACAACTGACCTCTTTGTGCTCCCAAATATCCCTTAGCTGATTCTGCCAAAACAGTGTTTCCATACTGCTGAATGAAAGGAAATATTTATCTCTGCCAGGTGAATGCCCACATCACAAAGCGATTTCTCATATAGCTTCCTTCTAGTTTTTATCCTGGGATATTCACTTTTTTTCCATTGGCCACAAAGGGCTCCCAAATGTCCATTGGCAGAATGGACAAAAACAGTGTTTGCAAACTGCTGAATCCACAGAAGGTATCAATCTGTGAGATGAATGCACACATCACAAAGCAGTCTTTCAGAAAACTTCTTTCTAGTTTTTACCTGAAGGTTTTTTTTTTTACAGTAGACCACAATGCGCTCCCAGATATCCATTCACAGATTATATGTAACAGTGATTCCAAACTGCTGAATGAAAAGAAAGGTTTAACTCTGTGAGATGAATGCACACATCACAAAGTGGTTTCTCAGATATCTTCCTTCTAGTTATTATCCTGGGATATTCACTTTTTCTCCTTTGGCCCCAACTAGCAGCAAATCTGCATTCATGGAATAAACAAAAGCAGTGTTTACAGACTGCTGAATCCACAGAAAGGTTTAACTCTGTGAGATGAATGCTCAAAACACCGAGCAGTTTCTCATACAGCTTCTTTCTAGTTTTAAATTGAATGCATTTCCTTTTTCACCATAGATCTCAAAGTACTCCAAGATATCACTTTGCAGATACTATGAAAACAGTGTTTCCAAATTGCTGAATGGAAAGAAAGGTTTAAATCTGCAAGAGTAATGCACACATCAGAAAGAGTTTTCTCAAAGAGCTTCCTTCTAGTTTTTATCCTGGGATATCCGTTTTTTGCATTTGCCTCATTAAGCTCCCAAATATCCCTTCCCAGTTTCTAAAAAAAACGTGTTTCTAAACTGCTGAATCCACAGAAAGGTTTAACTTTGTGAGAGGAAGGCACACATCACAAAGCATTTCTAAGAAAGCTTCTTTCTAGTTTTTATCTGAACATGTTTTCTTTTTCACCATAGGCCTCTAGGTGCTCCCAAATATCCCTTCTCAGATTCTGCCAAAACAGTGTTTCCAGACTGCTGAATGAAAAGAAAAGTTTAAATCTGTGAAGTGAATGTACACATCACAAAGCAGTTTCTCAGATAGCTTCATTTTATTTTTTTTCCTGGGATGTTCTCTTTTTGGCCATTGGCCCCAGTGAGCTCCCAAATGTCCATTTGCCGTATGGACAAAAACAGTGTTTGCAAACTGATGAATCTACAGAAAGTTTTAACTCTTTGATATGAATGCACACATCACAAATCATTTTCTCAGATAGCTTCTTTCTAGTTTTTATCTGAAGATAATTCCTTTTTCACCATAGGCCTCAGTGCGCTCCCAAATTTCCCTTCATGGATTCTGCCAAAAGAGTATTTCCAGGCTGCAGAATGAAAAGAAAGGTTTTCTCTGCGAGGTGATGCACACATCACAAAACAGTTCCTCAGATAGCATGTTTCTTTTTTTTATACTGGGATATTCGCTTTTTGGCCATAGGCTTCATTGCGCTGACTAACGTCCAATCACAGAGTGGGCAAAAACAGCGTTTGCAAACTACTGAATCCACAGAAAGGTTTAACTCTGTGAGATGAATGCACACATCACAAGGCAGTTTTTCAGAATGCTTCTTTCTGGTTTTATCTGAAGATATCTCCTTTTTCACCATAGGACTCAATGTGCTCCCAGATATCCCTTCACAGATTCTATGAAAACTGTGTTTCCAAACTGCTGAATGAAAAGAAAGATTTTAACTCTGTGAGATTAATGCACACATCATAAAGCAGTTTCTCAGATAGCTTCCTTCTAGTTTTTCCCTGGGGCTATTCGCTTTTTCACCTTCAGCCTCAATGAGCTTCAAAGTATCCCTTCAAAGATTCTAGAACAGTGTTTCCAAACTGCTGAATCCAAAGAAATGTTTAACTTTGTGAGATGAATGCACACATCGCAAATCAGTTTCTTAGAAAGCTTCTTTCTAGTTTTTATGTGAAGATATTTCTTTTTTCACCATAGGCTCAATGTGCTCCCAAATATCCTTTTGCAGATTCTGTCAAAACAGTGTTTCCAGACTGCTGTATGAAAAGAAAGTTTTAACTCTGTGAGGTAAATGCACACTTCACAAAGCAGTTTCTCAGATATCTTCCTTCTAGTTTTCTTCCTCAGATATTTGCTTTCTAGCCTTTGGCATCATTAAGCTCACAAATATCCCTTCACAGGGTCTGCAACAACAATGTTTCCAAACTGCTGAATCCACAGAAAGGTTTAACTCTTTGAGACGAATGCACACATCACAAAGCAGTTTCTCAGAAAACTTCTTTCTAGTTTTTATCTGAATATATTTCCTTTTTCACCATAGGCCTCAATGCACTCTCAAACAACCCTTCATGGATTCTGCCAAAACGGTGTATCCAGACTGCTGAATGAAAATAAAAGTTTACCTAGGGAAGGTGAATGCAAAAATCACAAAGCGGTTTCTCAGGTAGCTGACTTCAACATTTTATCCTGGGATATTCACTTTTTCACCATTGGCCTCAATGAGTTCCCATATGTCCATTCACAGAATGGACAAAAACAGTGTTTGCAATTTGCTGAATTCATAGAAAGGTTTAACTCTGTAAGATAAATGCACACATAAAAAAGCATTTTATCAGAAATCTTCTTTTTAGTTTTTATCTGAAGATATTTCCTTTTTCACCATAGGCCTCTATGCATTCCCAAATATAACTTCACAGATTCTACAAAAACAGTGTTTCCAAAGTGTTGAATGGAAAGGATGTTTTACCTCTGAGAGATGAATACACACATCAAAAAGCGGTTTCTCAGATAACTTCCTTCTTGTTTTTATCCTGGGATATTCTGTTTTTCCACTTTGGCCTCATTAAGCTTCCAAATATCCCTTCACAGACTCTACAACAACAGTGTTTCCAAACTGCTGAATGAAAAGAAAGGTTTAACTCTGTGAGATGAATGCACACATCACAGAGCAGTTTCTCAGAAAGCTTCTTTCTAATTTTTATCTGAAGATATTTCCTTTTTCACTCTTGGCCTCAATGTACTCCCAAATATCCCTTTGCAGATTCTGTCAAAACAGTGTTCCCAGACTACTGCATGAAAAGAAAAGTTTATCTCTGTGAGGTGAATGCACACATCCCAAAGTGGTTTCTTAGGTTGATTCCTTCTAGTTGTTATACTGGGATGTTGTCTTTTTCACTATGGCATCAATGATCTCCCACACATCCCTTCGCAGATTCTACAACTACAATGTTTACAAACTGCTGAATCTAATGAAAGGTTTAACTCTGTGAGATGAATGCACACATCACAAAGCAGTTTCTCAGAAAGCTTCTTTCTAGTTTTTATCACAAGATGTTTCCTTTTTCACCACAGGCCTCGATGTGCTCCCAAATATCCCTTTGCAGATTCTGCCAAAAGAGTGTTTCCAGACTGCTGAATGAAAAGAAAGTTTTAACTCTGTGAGATGAATGCATACATCATGGTGCAGATTTTCAGATTGCTTCCTTGTAGTTTTTCCATGGGATGTTGACTTTTTCACCATTCACCTTAATGAGCTCCCAAATATCCTTTTGCAGATTATAAAACAACAGTGTTTCCAAACTGCTAAACCCAAAGAAAGGTTTGACTCTGTGACATGAATGAAAAGAAAGTTTTAACTCTGTAAGGTGAGTGCATACATCACTAAGTGGTTTTTCAGATAGGTTCTTTTTAGTTTTTATCCTGTGGTATTTTCTTTCTCACCATCAGCCTCAATGTGCTCCCAAATGTCCATTTGTAGAATGGACAAAAATAGTGTTTGCAAATGGCTGATGCCACAGAAAGGTTTAACTCTGTGAGATGAATGCGCACATCACAAAGCAGTTTTTCAGAAAGCTTCTTTCTAGTTTTTATCTGAAGATATTTCCTTTTACCCTATAGGCCTAAATGCGTTCCAAAATATCCCTTCATGTATTCTTGTCAAAATATTGTTTCCAGACTGCTGAATGTAAAGAAAAGTTTCTCTCTGGGAGGTGAATGCACACATCACAAAGCAGTTTCTCAGATAGCTTCCTTCTAGTTTCTATCTATCCTGTGATACTCATTTTTTCTCGATTGGCCTCAATTTGCTCACAAATGTCCATTCCCAGAATGGACAAAAATAGTGTTTGCAAATCCACAGAAAGGTTTAACACTATAAGGTGAAAGCAAGCAACACAAAGCAGTTTCTCAGAAAGCTTCTTTCTAGTTTTTATCTGAAGAGATTTCCTCTTTTGCCATAGGCCTCAATGGGCTCCCAGATATCCCATCACATATTCTATGAAAAAAGTGTTTCCATACTGCTGAATGAAAAGAGAAGTTTAATTCTGTAGGATGAATGCACACATAACCAAGTAGTTTCTCAAATAGGTTCCTTCTGGTTTTTATTCTGGGATATTCGTGTTTTCATCATTGGCCTCAATGAGCACTGAAATATCCCTTCGCAGATTCTGCAACAGTGTTTCCAAACTCCTGAATCCAAAGAAAGTTTTAACCCTGTGAGATGAATGTACACACCACAAAGAAGTTTCTCAGAAAGATTTCTTCTAGTTTTTATCAGAAGATATTTCCTTTTTCACCATAGGAATCAATGCACTCCAAAACATCGACACACGGATTTTGCCAAAACAATGTTTACAGACTGCTGAATGAAAAGAGAGTTTTAACTCTGCGAGGTGAATGCATGCATCACACAGCGTTTTTCAGATAGCTTCTTTTAGTTTTTCTTTTTATTATTATTATACTTTAAGTTTTAGGGTATATGTGCACAACTTGAAGGTTTGTTACATATGTATACATGTGGCATGTTGATGTGCTGCACCCATTAACTCGTCATTTACATTAGGCATATCTCGTAATGCTATCCCTCCCCCATTCCCCCTATACCACAAGAGGCCACAGTATGTGATGTTCCCCTTCCTTTGTCCAAGTGTTCTCATTGTCCACTTCCCACCAATGAGTGAGAACATGCAGTGTTTGGTTTTTTCTCCTTGCAAGAGTTTGCTAAGAATGATGGTTTCCAGCTTCATCCATGTCCCTACAAAGGACATGAACTCATCACTTTTTATGGCTACATAGTATTCCATTGTGTATATGTGCCACATTTTCTTAATAAAGTCTATCATTGTTGGACATTTGGGTTGGTTCCAAGTCTCTGCTATTGTGAATAGTGCCACAATAAACATACATGTGCATGTGTCTTTATAGTAACATGATTTATAATCCTTTGGGTATATACCCAGTAATGGGATGGCTGGGTCAAATGGTATTTCTAGCTCTAGATCCCTGAGGAATCGCAACACTGACTTCCTCAATGGTTGAACTAGTTTACAGTCCCACCAACAGTGTAAAAGTGTTCCTATTTCTCCACATCCTCTCCAGCACCTATTGTTTCCTGACTTTTTAATGATCTCCATTCCAACTGGTATGAGATGTTATCCCCTTGTGGTTTTGATTTCCATTTCTCTGATGGCCAGAGATGATGACCATTTTTTCATGTGTCTTTTGGCTGCATAAATGTCTTCTTTTGAGAAGTGTCTGTTCATATCTTTCACCCAATTCTTGATGGGGTTGTTTGTTTTTTTTCTTGTAAATTTGTTTGAGTTCATTGTAGATTCTGGATATTAGCCTTCTGTCAGATGAGTAGATTGCAGAAATGTTCTCCCATTTTGTAGGTTGTCTATTCACACTGATGGTAGTCTATTTGGCTGTGCAGAAGCTCTTTAGTTTAATTAGATCCCTTTTGTTAATTTTGGCTTTTGTTGCCATTGCTTTTGGTGTTTTAGACATGAAGTCCTTCCCCATTCCTACGTACTGAATGGTATTGCCTAGGTTTTCATCTAGGGTTTTAATGGTTTTAGGTCTAACATGTAAGCCTTTTATCCATCTTGAATTAATTTTTGTACAAGGTGTAAGGAAGGAATCCAGTTTCAGCTTTCTAGATATGGCTAGCCAGTTTTCCCAGCACCATTTACTAAATAGGGAGTCCTTTCCCCATTGCTTGTTTTTCTCAGGTTTGTCAAAGATCAGATAGTTGTAGATATGCAGTATTATTTCTGAGGGCTCCATTCTGTTCCATTGGTCTATATCTTTGTTTTGGTACCAGTACCAAGCTGTTTTGGTTACTGTAGCCTTGTAGTATAGTGTGAAGTCAGGTATCGTGATGCCTCCAGCTTTGTTCTTTTGGCTTAGGATTGACTTGGCGATGTGAGCTCTTTTTTGGTTCCATATGAATTTTAGAGCAGGCTTTTCCAATTCTGTGAAGAAAGTCATTGGTAGCTTGATGTGGTTGGCATTGAATCTATAAATTACCTTGGGCAGTATGGCCATTTTCATGATATTGATTCTTCCTACCCATGGGCATGGAATGTTCTTCCATTTGTTTGTATCCTCTTTTATTTCTTTGAGTAGTGGTTTGTATTTCTCCTTGAAGAAGTCCTTCACATCCCTTGTAAGTTGTATTCCTAGGTATTTTATTGTCTTTGAAGCAATTGTGAATGGGAATTCACTCATGATTTGGCTCTCTGTTTGTCTGTTATTGGTGTATAGGAATGCTTCTGATTTTTGCACATTGATTTTGTATCCTGAGACTTTGCTGAAGTTGCTTATCAGCTTAAGGAGATTTTGGGCTGAGATAATGGGGTTTTCTAGACCTACAATCATGTCATCTGCAAAGAGGGACAACTTGACTTCCTCTTTTCCTAATTGAAAAACATTTATTTCCTTCTGCTGCCTAATTGCCCTTGCCAGAACTTCCAACACTATGTTGAATAGGAGTGGTGAGAGAGTTCATCCCTGTCTTTTGCCAGTTTTCAAAAGGAATGCTTCCAGTTTTTGCCCATTCAGTATGACATTGGCTGTGTGTTTGTCATAGACAGCTCTTATTATTTTGAGAGACATCCCATGAATACCCAATTTATTGAGTTTTTAGCATGAAGGTTGTTGAATTTTGTGAAAGGCCTTTTCTGCATCTACTGAGATAATCATGTGGTTTTGTCTTTGCTGGATTACATTTATTGATTTGCATATGTTGAATCAGCCTTGCATCCCAGGGATGAAGACCACTTGATCAGGGTAGATAAGCTTTTTGATGTGTTGCTGGATTTGGTTTGCCAGTATTTTATTGAGGATTTTTGCATCGATGTTCATCCAGGATATTGGTCTAAAATTCTCTTTTTTTGTTGTGTCTCTACCAGGCTTTGGTATCGGGATGATGCTGACCTCATGAAATGAGTTAGGGAGGATTCTCTCGTTTTCTATTGATTGGAATAGTTTCAAAAGGAATGGTACCAGCTCCTCCTTGTACCTCTGGTAGAATTCAGTGGTGAGTCCTTCTGGTCCTGGACTTTTTTTTGGTGGTAAACTATTAATGATTGCCTCAACGTCAGAGCCTGTTATTGGTCTATTCAGAGATTCAACTTCTTCCTGGTTTAGTCTTGGGGGGTGTATTTGTCGAGGAATTTATCCGTTTCCTCTAGATTTTGTAGTTTATTTGCAGAGAGGTGTTTATAGTATTCTCTGATGGTAGTTTCTATTTCTGTGAGATCGGTGGTGATATCTCCTTTATCTTTTTTTATTGTGCCTATTTGATTTTTCTCTCTTTTCTTCTTTATTAGCCTTGCTAGCAGTCTATCAATTTTGTTGATCTTTTCAAAAAACCAGCTCCTGCATTCATTGATTTTTTGAAGGGTTTTTTGTGTCTCTATTTCCTTCAGTTCTGCTCTGATCTTAGTTATTTCTTGCCTTCTGCTAGCTTTTGAATGTGTTTGCTCTTGTTTCTCTAGTTCTTTTATTTGTGATGTTAGGGTATCAATTTTAGAGCTTTCCTGCTTTCTCTTGTGGGCATTTAGTGCTATAAATTTCCCTCTACACACTGCTTTGAATGTGTTCCAGAGATTCTGGTATGTTGTGTCTCTGTTCTCGTTGGTTTCAAAGAACATCTTTATTTCTGCCTTCATTTTGTTAGGGACCCAGTAGTCATTTAGGAGCAGGTTGTTCAGTTTCCATGTTGTTGAGTGGTTTTGAGTGAGTTTTTTAATCCTGAGTGGTAGTTTGATTGCTCTGTGGTCTGAGAGATAGTTTGTTATAATTTCTGTTCTTTTACATTTGCTGAGGAGTGCTGTACTTCCAACTATGTGGTCAATTTTGGAATAAGTGCGGTGTGATGCTGAAAAGAAAGTATATTCTGCTGATTTTGGGTGTAGAGTTCTGTAGATGTCTATTGGGTCCGCTTGGTGAAGAGCTGAGTTCAATTCCTGGATATCCTTGTTAACATTCTGTCTCGGTGATCTGTCTATATTGAGAGTGTGGTGTCAAAATCTCCCATTATTATTGTGTGGGAGTCTAAATCTCTTTCGACATCTCTAAGGACTTGGTATATGAATCTGTGTGTTCCTGTAGTGGATGCATATATATTTATGATACTTAGCTCTTCTTGTTGAATTGATCCCTTTACCATTATGTAATGGCCTTCTTTGTCTCTTTTGATCTTTGTTGGTTTAAATTCTGTTTTATCAGAGACTAGGATTCCAACCCCTGCCTCTTTTGGTTTTCCATTTGCTTGGTAGATCTTCCTCCATCCCTTTATTTTGAGCCTATGTGTGTCTCTGCATGTGAGATAGGTTTCCTGAACACAGCACACTGATGGGTCTTGACTCTTTATCCAATTTGCTACTCTGTGTCCTTTAATTGGAGCATTTAGCCCATTTACATTTAAGGTTAATATTGTTATGTGTGAATTTGATCCTGTCATTATGATGTTAGCTGGTTATTTCGCTCATTAGTTCATGCAGTTTCTTCCTAGCTTCAATGGTCTTCACAATTTGGTGTGTTTTTGCAGTGGCCGGTACCAATTGTTCCTTTCCATGTTTAGTGCTTCCTTCATGAGCTCTTGTAGGGGAGGCCTGGTGGTGACAAATTATCTCAGCATTTGCTTGTCTGTAAAGTATTTTATTTCTCCTTCACTTACGAAGCTTAGTTTTGTTGGATGTGAGGTTCTGGTTTGAAAATTCTTTTCTTTAAGAATGTTGAATATTGGCCCCCACTCTCTTTAGGCTTGTGGAGTTTCTGTCAAGAGATCCACTGTTAGTCTGATGGTCTTCCCTTTGTGGTTAACCCAACATTCCTTTCACTGCCCTTAACATTTTTTCCTTCATTTCAACTTTGGTGAATCTGACAATTATGTGTCTTGGAGTTGCTCTTCTCGAGGAGTATCTTTTTGGCATTCTCTGTATTTCCAGAATTTGAATGTTGGCCTGACTTGATAGATTGGGGAAGTTCTCCTGGATAATATCCTACAGTGTGTTTTCCAACTTGGTTCCATTCTCCCTGTCTATTTCAGGGACACCTATCAGACGTAGATTTGGTCTTTTCACATAGTCCCATATTTCTTGGAGGCTTTTTTCATTTCTTTTTATTCTTTTTTCTCTAAACTTCTCTTCTCTCTTCATTTCATTCATTTGATCTTCAATCACTGATACCCTTTCTTCCAGTTTATCAAACCAGCTACTAAAGCTTGTGCAATTGGCACATAGTTCTCGAGCCTTGGTTTTCAGCTCCATCAGATCCTTTACAGCCTTCTCTACATTGGTTAACCTAGTTAGTGCTTCATTTAATCTTTTTTCAAGGTTTTTAACTTCTTTGCCATAGGTTCCAACTTCCTCCTTTAGCTCGGAGAAGTTTGATCATCTGAAACCTTCTTCTCTCAACTCATCAAAGTCTTTCTCTGTCCAGCTTTGTTCCATTGCTGGTGAGGAGCTGCATTCCTTTGGAGGAGGAGAGGTGCTCTGACTTTTAGAATTTTCAGTTTTTCTGCTCTGCTTTTTCCCCATCTTTGTGGTTTTATCTACCTTTGGTCTTTGATGATGGTGATGTATAGATGGGGTTTTGGTGTGGATGTGTTTTCTGTTTGTTAGTTTTCCTTCTAACAGGACCCTCAGCTGCAGGTCTGTTAGAGTCTGCCAAAGGTCCACTCCAGATCCTATTTGCCTGGGTATCAGCAGCAGAGGCTCCAGAACAGCAAATATTTGTGAACAGGAATTGTTGCTGCCTGATTGTTCCTCTGGAAGTTTTGTCTCAGAGGGTTTCCCAGCCGTGTGAGGTGTCAGTCTGCCCCTACTGGGGGTTGCCTCCCAGTTCAGCTACTCTGGGGTTGGGGCCCACTTGAGGAGGCAGTCTGTCCATTATCAGATCTGAAGCTGTGTCCTGGGAGAACCACTATTGCCTTCCAATTTGTCAGATGGGGATATTTAAATATGCAGAGGTTTCTCCTGCCTTTTGTTTGGCCTCACCCTGCCCCGAGAGGTGGAGTCTACAGAGCATCCAGGCCTCCTTGAGCTGCAGTGGGCTCCACCCAGTTCAAGCTTCCCAGTCATTTTGTTTACCCGCTCAAGCCTCAGCAATGGCAGGCACCCCTCCCTCAGCCTCACTACCACTTTGCAGTTTGATCTCAGACTGCTGTGCTAGCAGAGAGTGAGACTCCATGGGTGTAGAACCCTCCAAGTCAGGTGCAGAATATAAACTCCGGGTGTGCCGTTTGCTAAGACCATCAGAAAAGCACGGCATTAGGGCAGGAGTGACCTGATTTTTCAGGAGCTGCCTATCACCCCTTTCCTTGGATAGGAAAGGGAATTCCCTGCCCCCTTGTGCTTCCGAGGTGAGGCTATGCCTCCCCCTGCTTCAGCTAATGCTCAGTGAACTGCAACCACTGTCCTGCACCCAGTGTCCAACAATCTCCAGTGAGATGAACCCAGTATCTCAACTGGAAGTGCAGAAATCTTCCACCCTCTGCATCACTCACACTGAGAGCTGTAGACTGGAGCTGTTCTTATGCAGTGATCTTGGAACCTTCTTTTATTTTTTATCCTGGGATATTTGCTTTTTCACCATTGGCCTCAATGAGATCCCAAATGTCCCTTCACACAATGCACAAAAACAGTATTTGCAAACCGCTGAATCCACAGAAAGTTTTAAATCTGTGAGCTGAATGCACACTTCACTAAACAGTTTCTCAAAAGGATTCTTTCAAGTTTTTATCTGAAGATATTTGCTTTTTCACCACAGGCCTGAAGGCACTCCCAGATGTCCCTTCACAGATTCTACGAAAACAGTATTTCCAAACTGTTGAATGAAAGAAAGTTTTAATTCTGTGAGATGAATGCACACAACACAAAGCTGTTTCTCAAATAGTTTGCTTCTAGTTTTTATCCTGGGATATTCTCATTTACGAAATTTGTCTCAATGAGCTCCCAAATATCCCTTCGCAGATTGTACAACAACGATGTTTCCAAATGGCTGAATCAGAAGAAAGGTTGAACTCTGTGAGATGAATGCACACATCATGAAGCAGTTTCTTAGGAGGCTTCTTTCTACTTTTTATCTGAAGTTATTTTCTTTTTCAGCATAGTCCTCTATGCACTCCCAAATATAACTTCACAGATTCTAAAAAACAGTGTCTCCAAACCACTGAATGAAAAGAATGTTTTAACTCTGAGAGATGAATGCACACGTCACAAAGCAGTTTCTCAGATAGCTTCCTTCTAGATTTTTCCTAGGATATTTGCTTTTTCCCCTTTGGCCTCATTAAGCTCTCAAATTTCAATTTGCAGGTTCTACAACTGCAGTGTTTCCAAATTGCTGAATGAAAAGAAAGATTTGACTCTGTGAGATGAATGCACACATCACAAAGCAGTTTCTCATAGAGCTTCCTTCCAGTTTTTATAATGGGATATTCGCTTTTTCACCATTAGCCTCAATGAGCTCCCAAATATCCCTTCACAGATTCTACAACAACAGTGTTTCCAAATAGCTGAGTCCAAAGAATGGTTTAACTCTGAGGGATGAACGCACACATCACAAAGCAGTTTCTCAGAATGCTCCATTCAAGTTTTTATCTGAAGATATTTCCTTTTACACCATAGGCCTCAATGCACTTCCAGATATCACTTTGCAGATTCTACAAAAAATGTGTCTCCAAACTGCTGAATGAAATGAAAGTTTTAATTCTGCAAGATGAATGTACACATGACAAAACAGTTTCTCAGATGGCTT
The DNA here is from genome assembly GCF_000001405.40 of Homo sapiens. Classification (NCBI taxonomy): domain Eukaryota; kingdom Metazoa; phylum Chordata; class Mammalia; order Primates; family Hominidae; genus Homo; species Homo sapiens. Next base: position 48,681,825 of record NC_000011.10, on the reverse strand, counting down.
CTTTCTAGTTTTTTTCCTAGGATATTCTCTTTTTTGCCCTTTGCCTTAAGGAGCTCCAAAATTTCCCTTCACAGATTCTATAACTACATTGTTTCTAAACAGTGAGTCCAAAGAAAGGTTTAACTCTGTGAAATGAATGCACACATCACAAAGCAGTTTCCCAGGAACATTCTTTCTAATTTTTATGTGAAGATATTTCCTTTTTCAGCATAGGCTTCAATACCCTCCCAAATATCCCCTCACAGAATGGACAAAAACAGTGTTTGCAAAAGGCTGAATCCCCAGAAATGTTTAACTCTGTGAGGGGAATGCACACATCACAAAGTAGTTTCTCAGAAACCTTCCTTCTAGTTTTGTTGTTGTTGTTGTTATTTTATTTTATTTTATTATTATTAAACTTTAAGTTTTAAGGTATATGTGCACAACGTGCAGTTTTGTTACATATGTATACATGTCCCATGTTGGTGTGCTGCACCCATTACCTCGTCATTTAGCATTAGGTATATCTCCTAATGCTATCCCTCCCCCCTTCCCCCACCCCACAACAATACCCAGCACGTGATGTTCCCCTTCCTGTGTCCATGTGTTCTCATTGTTCAATTCCCACCTATGAGTGAGAACATGCAGTGTCTGGTTTTTTGTCCTTGTGATAGTATGCTGAGAATGATGAATTCCAGCTTCATCCATGTCCTACAGAGGACATGAACTCATCATTTTTTATGGCTGCATAGTATTCCATGGTGTATATGTGCCACATTTTCTTAATCCAGTCTATCATTCTTGGACATTTGGGTTGGTTCCAAATCTTTGCTATAGTGAATAGTACCACAATAAACATATGTGTGCATGTGTCCTTATAGCGGTATGATTTATAATCCTTTGTGTGTATACCCAGTAATGGCATGGCTGGGTCAAATGGTATTTCTAGTTCTAGAACCCTGAGGAATCACCACACTGACTTCCACAATGGTTGAACTAGTTTACAGTACCAGCAACAGTGTAAAAGTGCTCCTATTTCTCCACACCCTGTCCAGTGCCTGTTGTTTCCTAACTTTTTAATGATCGCCATTCTAAATGGTGTGAGATGGTATCTCATTGTGGTTTTGATTTGCATTTCTCTGATGGCCAGTGCTGATGAGCATTTTTTCATGTGTCTTTTGGCTGCATAAGTGTCTTCTTTTGGAGAAGTGTCTGTTCATAACATTTGCCCACTTGTTGATGGGGTTGTTTTTTTTTTTTTCTTGTAAACTTGTTTGAGTAAATTGTAGATTCTGGATATTAGCCTTTAGTCACATGAGTAGCTTGCAAAAATTGTCTCCCATTCTGTAGGTTGCCTGTTCACTCTGATGATAGTTTCTTTTGCTGTGCAGAAGCTCCTTAGTTTAATTAGATGCCATTTGTCAATTTTGGTTTTTGTTGCCATTGCTAGTGGTGTTTTAGACATGAAGTCCTTGCCCATGCCTATGTCCTGAACAGTATTGCCTAGGTTTTCTTCCAGGGTTTTGATGGTTTTAGGTCTAACATTTAAGTCTTTAATCCATCTTGAATTAATTATTATATAAGGTGTAAGGAAGGGATCCAGTTTCAGCTTTCTACATATTTCTAGCCAGTTTACCCAGCACTATTTATTAAATAGGGAATCCTTTCCTCATTGCTTGATTTTGTCAGGTTTGTCAAAGATCAGATAGTTGTAGATATGAGTCATTATTTCTGAGGGCTCTGTTCTGTTCCATTGGTCTACATCTCTGTTTTGGTAGTACTACCATGCTGTTTTGGTTACTGTAACCTTGTAGTATAGTTTGAAGTCCGGTAGAGTGATGCCTCCAGCTTTGTGCTTTTGGCTTAGGATTGACTTGGCAATGCAGGCTCTTTTTTGGTTCCTTATGGAGGAAATAGAAACACAAAAAGCCCTTAAAAAATCAGTGAAACAAGGAGCTGGTTTTTCAAAAAGATCAACAAAATTGATAGACCACTAACGGACTAATAAAGAATAAAAGAGAGAAGAATCAAATAGATGCAATAAAAAATGATAAAGGGGATATCACCACAAATCCCACAGAAATGCAAACTGCCATCAGAGAATACTATAAACCCCTCTATGCAAATAAACTAGAAAATCTAGAAGAAATGGATAAATTCCTTGACACATACACCCTCCCAAGACTAAAGCAGGAAGAAGTTGAATCTCTGAATGGACCAATAACAGGCTCTGAAATTGAGGCAATAATTAGTAGCTTACTAACGAAAAACAGTCCAGGACCAGATGGACTCACAGCCAAATTCTACCACAGGTACAAAGAGGAGCTGGTACCATTCCTTCTGAAACTATTCCAAACAATGGAAAAAGAGGGAATCCTCCCTAACTCATTTTATGAGGCCAGCATCATCCTGATACCAAAGCCGGGCAGAGACACAACAAAAAAAAGAGAATTTTAGATCAATATCCTTGATGAACATTGATGCAAAAATCCTCTATAAAATACTGGCAAACCGAATCCAGCAGCACATCAAAAAGCTTATCCATCATGATCAAGTGGGCTTCATCCCTGGGATGTAAGGCTGGTTCAACATATGCAAATCAATAAATGTAATCCAGCATATAAACAGAACCAAAGACAAAAACCACATGATTATCTCCATAGATGCAGAAAAGGCCTTTGACAAAATTCAACAACTCTTCATGCTAAAAACTCAATAAATTAGGTATTGATGGGACATATCTCAAAATAATAAGAGCTATCTATGACAAACACACAGCCAATATCACAATGAATGGGCAAAAACTGGAAGAATTTCCTTTCAAAACTGGCACAAGACACGGATGCCCTCTCTCACCACTCCTATTCAACATAGTGTTGGAAGTTCTGGCCAGGGCAATTAGGCAGGAGAAGGAAATAAAGGGCATTCGATTAGGAAAACAGGAAGTCAAATTGTCCCTGTTTGCAGATGACATGATTGTAAATCTAGAAAACCCCATTGTCTCAGCCCAAAATCTCCTTAAGCTGATAAGCAACTTCAGCAGTCTCAGGATACAAAATCAATGTGCAAAAATCACAAGCATTCTTATACACCAATAACAGACAAACAGAGAGCCAAATCATGAGTGAACTCCCATTCACAATTGCTTCAAAGAGAATAAAATACCTAGGAATCCAACTTACAAGGGACGTGAAGGACCTCTTCAAGGAGAACTACAAACCACTGCTCAATGAAATAAGAGAGGATACAAACAAATGGAAGAACATTCCATGCCCATGGGCAGGAAGAATCAATATCATGAAAATGGCCATACTGCCCTAGATACTTTATAGATTCAATGCCATCCCCATCAAGCTACCAATGACTTTCTTCAGAGAATTGGAAAAAACTACTTTAAAGTTCATATGGAACCAAAAAAGAGCCCGCATCACAAAATCAATCCTAAGCCAAAAGAACAAAGTTGGAGGCATCACGCTACCTGACTTCAAACTATACTACAAGGCTACAGTAACCAAAACAGCATCGTACTGGTACCAAAACAGAGATATAGATCAATGGAACAGAACAGAGCCCTCAGAAATAACGCTGCATACCTACAACTATCTGATCTTTGACAAACCTGACAAAAACAAGCAATGGGGAAAGGATTCCCTATTTAATAAATGGTGCTGGGAAAACTGGCTAGCCATATGTAGAAAGCTGAAACTGGATCCCTTCCTTACATCTTATACAAAAATTAATTCAAGATGGATTAAACACTTAAACGTTAGACCTAAAACCATAAAAACCCTAGAAGAAAACCTAGGCATTACCATTCAGGACATAGGCATGGGCAAGGACTTCATGTCTAAAACACCAAAAGCAATGGCAACAAAAGCCAAAATTGACAAATGGGATCTAATTAAACTAAAAAGCTTCTGCACAGCAAAAGAAACTACCATCAGAGTGAACAGGCAACTTACAAAATAGTTTTTATCTGAATATATTTTCTTTTTCACCATAGACCTCAAGGAGCTTCCAAATATCCCCTCATGGATTCTGCCAGAACAGTGTTTCCAAACTGCTGTATAAAAAGAACTTTTTAACTCTGTGAGGTGAATGCACACATTACAAAGTTGTTTCTCAGATAGACTCTTTCTAGTTTTTATACTGGGATTTTCAATTTTTGGCTATTGGCCTCAATGAGCTCCCACATGTCCATTCACACAATCGAAATAAACAGTGTTTTGAAACTGCTCAATGAAAGGAAAAGTTTAACTCTGTGAGATGAATGCACACATCACAAAGCAATTTCTCACAAAGCTTCTTTCTAGTTTTTGTCTGAAGTTATTTCCTTTTTCAGTATAGGCCTCAATGCGCTTCCAGATACTCCTTCACAGATTCTACAAAAACAGTGTTTCCAAACTGCAGAGTGAAAATAAAGGTTTAAATCTTTGTGATGAATGCACACATCACAAAACGGTTTCTCAAGTAGCTTTCATCTAGTTTTTATCCCAGGATATTTGCTTTTTCCATTTTGGCCTCAAGGATCTCCCCAATAGCCCATTGCAGATTCTACAACCAGAGGGTTTGCAAAATGATGAATCCACAGAAATGTTTAACTCTGTGAGATGAATGCCCACATTGCAAAACAGTTTCGCAGAAAGCTTCCTTTTAGTTTTTATGTGAAGATATTTCCTTTTCCAGCAGAGGCCTCCATGCGATCCCAAAGATAACGTCACAGATTCTACAAAAACAGTGTTTCCATACTGCTGAATGTAAAGAATGTTTTAACTCTGAGAGGTGAATGCACACATGACAATGCAGTTTCTCAGACAACTTCCTTTTAGTTTTTATCCTGGGATATTCTCTTTTTTGCCATTGGCCTCAATGAGCTCCAAAAATATCCCATCACAGATTCTAAAACAACAGTGTTTCCAAACTGCTGAATCCAAAGAAAGGTTTAATTTTGTGTTATGAATGCACACATCACAAAGCAGTATCTCAGAAGTTTCTTTCTAGTTTTTATCTGAAGATATTTCCTTTTTCATCATAGGCCTTGATGCGCTCCCAGATAACCCTTCACCGATACTATGAGAACAGCGTTTCCAAACTGCTGAATGAGAAGAAAAGTTTAACTCTGTGAGTTGAATACACACATCACAAAGCAGTTTCTCAAATAGCTTCCTTCTATTTTTTATCCTGGGGTATTCACATTTTCACCATTGGCCTCAATGAGCTCCCAGATATCCCTTCACAGATTCTTCGAAAACAGTGTTTCCAAACTGCTGAATGTTTAACATTTTTGCCATTGGCCTCAATGAGCTCCCAGATGTCCATTCACAGAATGGACAAAAACAGTGTTTCCAAACTGCTTAATCCAAAGAAAGGTTGAATTATGTGAGATGAATTCTCACAGCACAAAGAAGTTTCTCCAAAAACCTCTTTCTACTTTTTATCTGAAGATATTTCCTTTGCCTGCAGAGGCTTCTATGAACTCCAAAATATAACTTCGCAGATTTTACAAAAACAGTGCTTCCAGACTCCTGTACGAAAAGAAAGTTTTTACTCTGGGAGGTGAAGGCACATATCAAAAAGTTATTTATCAGGTAGCTTCTTTCTGGTTTTTATCCTGGCATATTTGCTTTTTCACCATGTGCCTCAATGCACTCCCAAATGTCCATTCACAGAATAGACAAAGACAGTTTTCCCAAACTGCTGATTCAACAGATATTTACTTTTTCACCATAGTCCTCAATGTGCTCCCAAATATCCCATCATGGATTCTGCCAAAACAGTGTTTCTGGACTGCTGAATGAAAAAAATGGTTTAACTCTTTGAGGTGAATGCACAGATAACAAAGTGGTTTCTCAGATCGCTTCCTTATACTTTTTACCCTGGGATATTGGCTTTTTCGCCATGGGCCTTAATGAGGTCCCAAATATACCTTCGCAGATTCTACAACAACAGTGTTTCCAAACTGTTGAATACAAAGAAATGTTTAACTCTGTGAGATGAATGCACATATCACAAAGCAGTTTCTCAGAAAGCTTCTTTCTAGTTTTATTCTGCAGATATTTACTTTTTCACCATAGGCCTCAATGCGCTCCCTAATATCCCTTCACGGACTCTGCAAAAACAGTGTTTCCACACTACTGTATGGAAAGGAAGGTTTATCTGTGTGAGGTTCATGCACACATCACAAAGCAGTTTCTCAGATAGCTTCCTTCTAGTTTATATCCTTGGATATTCACTTTTTTGCCATTGCCCTCAATGAGTTCCCAAATGCCCATTCGCTGAATGGACAAAAACCACGTTTGCAAAATGCAGAATCCATAGAACGGTTTAACTCTGTGAAAAGAATGCACACATCACAAAGCAGATTCTCAAAAAGCTTCTTTCTAGTTTTTATCTGAAGATATTTCCTTTTTCATCATAGGCCTCCATGTGGTTATAAATATCACTTTGTGGATCATGCCAAAATAGTGTTTCCAGACTGCTGAATGAAAAGAAAGATTTATCTCTGTAAGATGAATGTACACATCACAAAATGGTTTCTCAGATAGCTTCCTTCCAGTTTTTGTAATGGGATATTCGCTTCTTCCCCTTTGACCTCAATAAGCTCCCAAATATCCCTTCACAGATTCTAAAACAACAGTGTTTCCAAACAGGTGAATCCAAAGAATGGTTTAACTCTGTGAGATGAATGCAAACATCACAAAGCAGTTTCTCAGGATGCTTATTTCTAGTTTTTATCTGAAGATATTTTCTTTTTCACCATAGGCCTTAATGCACTTCCAGATATCACTTCACAGATTCAACGAAAGCAGTGTTTCCAAACTGTTGAATGAAAAGAAAGTTTTAACTCTGTGTGATGAATGTACACATCACAAAGCGGTTTCTTGGATTGCTTCCTTCTAGTGTTTTTCCTCCAATATTTGCTTGTTCACCATTCCTCTTAATGAGCTCCCAAATATGCCTTCGCAGATTCTATAACTACAGTGTTTCCAAATTGCTGAGTCCAAAAAATGGTTTAACTGTGTGAGATGAATGCACACATCACAAAGCAGTTTCTCAGAAACATTCTTTCTAATTTTTATGTGAAGATATTTTCTTTTTCACCATAGGCCATAATGCATTCCCAAATATCCCTTTGCAGAATGGACAAAAACGCGTTTGCAAATGGCTGAATCCACAGAAAGTTTTAACTCTGTGAGGTGAATGCACACATCACAAAGTAGTTTCTCAGAAAGCTTACTTCTAGTTTTTATCTGAAGATATTTTCTTTTTCACAATAGGCCTCAATGCACTCCCAAATATCCCTTCATGGATTCTGCCAAAACAGTGTTTACAGACTTCTGAAAGAAAAGAAGGTTTTAACTCTGTGAGGTGAATGTACACATGACAAAGATGTTCCTCAGATAGCTTCCTTCTAGTTTTTATCCTTGGATATTCCCTTTTTCTTTTCTGGCCTCAATAAGCTCCCAAATGTCCATTTACAGTATGGAAAAATAAAAACAGTGTTTGCAAACTGATGAATCTACAGAAAAGTTTAACTGTGTGAGATGAATGCACACATCACAAAGCAGTTTCTCAGAAAACTTCTTCCTAGTTTTTATCTGAAGGTGTTTCCTTTTTCACCATAGGCCTTAATGCGATCCCAGATATCACTGTGCAGATTCTACAGACACAGTATTTCTAAACTGCTGAATCCAAAGAAAGGTTTAACTCTGCAAGATGAACACACACATAACAAAGCAGTTTCTAAAAAAGCATCTTTCTAGGTTTTATCCGAATGTATTTTCTTTTTCACCGTAGACATCAATGCTCTACCAAATATCCCTTTGTAGATTCTACCAAAATAGGATTTCCAAACTGCTGAATGAAAAGAAAGGTTTAACTCTGTGAGATGAATGCACACATCACAAAGCCATTTCTCAGATAGCTGCCTTCTAGTTTTTACCCTGGGATATTGGCTTTTACGGCATTGACCTCAATGAGCTCCCAAATATCACTTCACAGGTCCCACAACAACAGTGTCTCCAAACTGCTAAATCCAAATAAAGGTTTACCTCTCAGAGATGAGTGCACACATCACAAAGCAGTTTCTGAGATAATTTCCTTCACGGTTTTTTGCTGGGATATTCAATTTTTCCCCACTGGCCCCATTAAGCTCTCAAATATCCCTTCACAGATTCTACAACAACAGTGTCTCCAAAATGCTGAATCCAAAGAAAGGCTTAATTCTGGGAGATGAATGCACACATCACAAAGCAATTTCTCAGAAGGTTTCTTTCTAGTTTTTATCTTAAGATACTTCCTTTTTCACGTTAGGCCTCAATACACTCCCACATATCCCTTCTTGGATACTGCCAAAGCAGTGTTTCCAGGCTGCTGAATGAAAAAGAAAGGTTTAATTCTGTAAGATGAATGCACAGGTCAGAAAGCGGTTTCTCAAAGAGCTTCCTTCTAGTTTTTATCCTAAGATAGTTGCTTTTTCCCCATTGGCCTTATTGAGCTCCAAAATATCTATTTGCAGAATGGGAAATAACATGGGTCTCATACCGCTGAATCCACAGTCATGTTTAATTTTGTGAGATGAATGCACACGTCACTAAGCACTTTCTCAGAAAGCTACTTTCAATTTTTTCTCTGAAGAGATTTCCTTTTAAACAGAGTCCCTAATGCACTCTAAAATTTAACTATGCTGATTCTACAAAACAGTGTTTCCAAACTGCTAAATGGAAAGAAAGGTTTAGCTTTGCATGGTGAATGCACACATCACAAAGCAGTCTCTCAGATAGCTTCCTTCTAGCTTTTTTTTTTTCCCAGGATATTCACTTTTTTGGCCTTTGGCCTCAATGAGCTCCCAAATGTCCATTTGCAGATTGGGCAAAACTGCCGAATCCACACAAATATTTAACTCTGTGAGATGAATGCACAGATGAATAAGCACTTTCTCAGAAAGCTTCTTTCTAGTTTTTATCTGTGGATATTTCCTTCTTAACCATAGTGCTCAATGCGCTCCCAAATATCCCTTCACAGATCCTTCCAAAACAGGGTTTCTTGACTGCTGAATGAAAAGAAAGGTTTATCTCTGTGAGGTGAATGCACACATCACAAAGAAGTTGCTCAGATTGCTTCTTTCTTGTTTTTATCCTGGTATATTTGCTTTTTCATATTTGCCTCATTGAGCTCCCAAATGTCCACTCACAGAATGTACAAAAACTGTATTTGCAAACTACTGAATCCACAGAAATGTTTAACTCTGTGAGATGAATGCACACATCAAAAAGCAGTTTCCCAGAAAGCTTCTTTCTAGTTTTTATCTGAAAATATTTCCTTTTTCACCATAGACCTCCATGCGGTCCCAGATATCACTTCGCAGATTCTACAAAAACAGTGTTTCCAAACTGCTGAATGAAAAGAAAGATTTATCTCAGAGAGATGAATGTACTCATCACAAAGCAGTTTCTCAGATGGTGTCCATCTAGTTTGCATCATGGGATATTCACTTTTTCGCCTTTGGCCTCAATGAGCTCCCAAATATCACTTTGCAGATTCTACAGCATTTTCCAAACTGCTGAATAGAAAGGAAAATTTAACTCTGGGTGATGAATGCACATATCACAAAACAGTTTCTCAGAAAGCTACTTTCTTGTTTTTATCTGAAGATATTTCCCTTTTAGCATAGGCCTCAATGGGCTCCCAAACATCCCTTCGTGGATCCTGCCAAAACAGTGTTTCCAGACGGATGAATGAAAACAAAGTTTTAACTCTGCGAGGTGAATGCACACATCACAAAGTGGTTTCTCAGAGAGCTTCTTTCTTGATTTCTTTCCTTGGATATTCACTTTCTCACCTGGGCCTCATTAAGCTCCCAAATATCTCTTCACAGATTCTACCAAAACAGTGCTTCCAAGCTGCTGAATGTAAAGAAAGGTTTATCTCTGCAAGATGAATGCACACATCACAAAGCAGTTTCTCAGATAGCTTCCTTCTAGTTTTTATCCTGGGATATTCACTCTTTTGCCTTTGGCCTCAATAGCTCCGAAAGTCCATTCGCAGAATGGGCAAAAACAGTGTTTGCCAACTGCTGAATCCACAGAAAGTTTTAACTCTTTAAGATGAATGTGCACATCAGAAAGCCTTTTCTCAGAATGCTTCTTTCTAGTTTTTATCTGAAGTTATTTTCTTTTTCACAATAGGCCTCAATGCACTTCAAATATCCCCTCACAGATTCTGCCAAAACAGTGTTTCCAGACTGCTGTATACAAAGAAACTGTTAACTCTGCAAGGTGAACGCACACATCACAAAGTGGTTTCTCAGATAGACTCTTTCTAGTTGTTATCCTGGGATTTTTACTTTTTGGCCATTGGCCTCAATGAACTCCAAAATGTCCATTCACAGAATGGAAAAAAAAAAGTGTTTCCAAACTGCTGAATGGAAAGAAAATTTTAACTCTGAGAGATGAATGCACGCATTAGAAATTAGTTTCTCAGAAATCTTCTTTCTAGTTTTTATCTGAAGGTATTTCCTTTTTCACCATAGGCCTCTATGCATTCCCAAATATCCCTTTGCTGATTGTGCCAAAACAGTGTTTCCAGACTGCTGAATGAAAGAAAGGCTTATCTCTGTGAGGTGAATGCACACATCACAAAGCATTTTGTCATATAACTTCCTTCTAGTTTTTATCCTGTGATATTCACTTTTGTGCCATTGGCCTCAAAGAACTCCCAAATGTCCACTCACAGAATGGACGAAACAGTTTTGCAAGTGGCTGAATCCATGGAAAGTTTTAATCCTGTGAGGTGAATGCACACATCACAAAGCAGTTTGTCAGAAAGCTTCTTTCTAGTTTTTATCTGAAGATGTTCCTTTTTCAACATAGGCCTCAATGTGCTCCCAGATATCCCATTGCAGAATCTATGAAAACAGTGTTTTTAAACTCATGAAGGAAAAGAACTGTTTAACTCTGTGAGATGAATGCACCCATCACAAAGCAGTTTGTCAAGTAGCTTCCTTCTACTTTTTATTCTGGGATATTCTCTTTTTCCCCATTAACCTCAAAGAGCTCCCAAATGTCCATTCACAGAAAGGACAAAAACAGTGTTTGCAAACTACTGAATGCACAGAAAGGTTGAACTCTCTGAGACGAATGCACACATCACAAAGCAGTTTATCAAAAAGCTTCTTTCTAGTTCTTATCTGAAGTTATTTTCTTTTTCAGTATCGGCCTCAATGTGCTTCCAGATATCCCTTCACAGATTCTGTGAAAGCAGTGTTTCCAAACTGCAGAATGAAAAGAAACGTTTACCTCTGTGAGTTGAATGCGCGCATCACAAAGCAATTTCTCAAATAGCTTCTTTCTAGTTTTTATCCTGGGATATTCACTTTTTTGCAATTGGCCTCAATTAGCTCCCAAATGTTCTTCTGAAGAATGGACAAAAAGAGTATTTGCAAACTGCTTAATCCATAGAAAGGATTAACTCTGTGAGATGAATGCACACACCCAAAGTTGTTTCTCAGAAAGATTCTCTCTAGTTTCTTTTTTTATTATTATACTTTAAGTTTTAGGGTACATGTGCACAATGTGCAGGTTTCTATTTGAAGATACTTCGTTTTTCAACATAGGCCTCCATGCGATCCCAATTATAACTTTGCAGATCCTACAAAAATAGTGTTTCCATACTGTTGAATGTAAAGAATCTTTTAACTCTGAGAGATGCATGCACACATCACAAAGCAGTTTCTCAGATAGCTTCCTTCTAGTTTTTTTTTCTTGTGATATCTGGTTTTTCCCCTTTGGCCTCATTAGACTCCCAAATATCCCATCACAGATTCTAGGACAACAGTATTTCCATACTGCTGAATCCAAAGAAATGTTTAACTCTGTGAGAAGAATGCACCCATCAGAAAGCAGTTTCTCAGAAAGCTTCTTTCTAGATTTTATCAGAAGTTATTTCCTTTTTCACCATATGCCTCAATGCATTCCCAGATATCACTTCACAGACTGTACAAAAACAGTGTTTCCAAACTGCTGAATGAGGAAAAATTTTAACTCTGAGAGGTGAATGCCCACATCACAAAGGGGTTTCTTAGATAGCTTCCTACTAGTTTTTTTCCTGGGATAATCAGTTTTTTGCCATTGGCCTCATTAAGCTCCCAAATATCCCTTCACAAATTCTACAATAACCATGTTTCCAAAATGCTGTATCCAAAGATAGGTTTTACTCTGTGAGATGAATGTATGCTTCACAAAGCAGTTACTCATAAAACTCCTATCTAGTTTTTTAAAAAACTAGTTTTAAAAAAATATATTTTAAAAAAATATTGTTTCCAAACTGCTGAAAGAAAAGAAAGTTTTAAATCTGTGAGATGAATGCATAAATTGCAAAGCTGTTTCTCAGATAGCTTCCATTTTTTATCCTGGGATATTTGCTTTTTTGCCATTGGCCTCAATGATCTCCCAAATATTCCATTGCAGATTCTACAACAACAGTGTTTGCAAACTGCTGAATCTGCAGAAAGTTTTAACTCTGTGAGTAGAATGCACTCATCACAAAGCAGTTTCTCTGAAAGCTAATTTATGGTTTTTATCTGAAGAAATTTCCTTTTACGCCATAGGATTCCATGTCCTCCCAGATATCACTTCACAGATTCTACAAAAACAGTGCTTCCAAGCTGCTGAATGAAAAGAAAGATTTAACTCTGTGAGATGAATGCCCACATCACGAGGCTATTTCTCAAAAACTTCATTCTAGTTTTTATCCTGGGATATTCACTTTTTTGCCATTGGCCTCAATGAGCTCCCAAATATCCATTTGCAGAATGGGCAAAAACAGTGTTTGCACACTGCTGAATCCACAGAAACGATTAACTCGGTGAGATGAATGCTCAGATCACTAAGCACTTTCTCAGAAAGTTTCTTTCTAGTTTTTATCTGAAAACATTTCCTTTTTAACCATAGTCCTCAATACGTTCATAAATATAACTTTGCAGATTCTACAAAAAACAGTGTTTCCAAACTGCTAAATGAAAACAATGGTTTGTCTCTGCGAGTTGAATGCACACAGCACAAAGCAGTTTCTCAGATAGCTTCTTTCTAGTTTTTGTCCAGGGAATTTCACTATTTTGCCCTTGGCCTCAATGAGCTCCCAAATGTCCATTCACAGAATGGACAAAAACAGAATTTGCAAACTGCAGAATCCACAGAAATTTTAACTCTGTGAGATGAATGCACACATGACAAAGCAGTTTCTCAGAAAGCTTCTTTCTAGTTTTTGTCTGGTATTTCCTTTTTCACCCCAGGCCTCAGTGAGCTCCCAAATTTCCCTGTGCAGATTCTATGAAAACAGTGCTTCCAAACTGCTGAATGAAAAGAAAGGTTTAGCCGTTCAAGATGAATGCACACATCGCAATGCAGTTTCTCACAGGGCTTCCTTCTAGTTTTTATCCTGGGATAGTCCCTTGTTTGCCATTGGCCTCAATGAGCTCCCAAATATCCATTTGCAGAATGGACAAAAACATTGATTGTAAACTGCTGAATTCACAGAAAGAATTAACTCTGTGAAAGGAATGCACACATCACAAAGCAGGTTCTCTGAAAGCTTGTTTCTAGTTTTTATCCAAAGATATTATCTTTTTCACCATAGGCCTCAATGCACTCCCAGATATCCCTTTGTGGATACTTCCAAAACAGTGTTTGCAGACGACTGAATGAACCGAAAGGTTTATTGCTGTGAGGCAAATGCACACATCCAAAGCAGTTTCTCAGATAGCTTCCTTCCAGTTTTTATCCTGGGATATTCACTTTTTTGCCATGGGCTTCAATGAGGTCCCAAATGTCCATTTGCAGAATGGACAAAAACAGTGTTTGCAATCTGCTGAATCCACAGAAATTTTAACTCCATAAGATGAATGCGCACATCAGAAAGCAGTTTCTCAGTTAGCTTCTTTCTTGTTTTTATCTGAAGATATTTCCTTTTTCACCATAGGCCTCAATGCACTCCCAGATATCCCTTCGCAGACCCTACAAAAACAGTGTTTCCAAACTGCATAATGAAAAGAAAGTTTTGACTCTGAAATGTGAATTCACACATCACAAAGTTGTTTCTCAGATAGCTTCCTACTATATTTTTTTCTGGGTTATTCTCTTTTTTGCCATTTGCCTCATTAAGCTCCCAAATACCACTTTGCAGATTCTACAACAACTGTGTTTACAAACTGCTGAATCCAAAGAAAGCTTTGACTCTGTGAGATGAATGCACACAGCACAAAGCAGTTTATCAGAAAGTTTATTTCTAGTTTTTATCTGAAGATATTTCCTTTTTCACCATATGCCTCATTTAGCTCCCAAATATCCCTTCACAGATTCTGACAAAACAGTGTTTCCAGACTGCTGAATGAAAAGAAAGGCTTAACTCTGTGAGATGAATGCACACATCATGAAGCGGTTTCTCAGATAGCTTCCTTCTAGTTTTTTTCCTGGGATATTGGCTTTTTCACCATTGGCTTCAATGAGCTCCCAAATGTCCATTCACAGAAGGGGCAAAAACAGTGTTTTCAATCTGCTAAATCCACAGAAAGGATTACCTCTGTGAGATGAAGGTACACATCACAAAGCAGTTTCTCGTAAAATGCACTCCCAAGTATAAACTCAAAGATTCTACAAACACAGTGTTTCCAAACTGTGGAGTGAAGTCATAGAGATGAATTCACACATCACAAAACGGGTTTCTCAGGTAGCTTCCTTTTAGTTTTTTTCCTGGGATATTCATTTTTTTGCCATTGGCATCAATGAGCTCCCAAATGTCCATTTGCAGAATGGGGAAACAGTGTTTGCAAACTTCTGAGTCTACAGAAAGGCTTAACTCTGTGCGATGAATGGACAGATGACTAAGCACTTTCTCAGAAAGCTTATTTCTAGTTTTTATCTGAAGATATTTCCATTTTAACCATAGTCCTCAATACCCTCCCAAATATCACTTCACAAATCCTTCCAAAATAGTGATTCCAGACTGCTGAATGAAAAGAAATGTTTATTGCTGTGAGGTGAATGCACATATCACAAAGCAGTTTCTCAGATATTTTTCTTCCAGTTTTTATCCTGGGATACTTGGTTTTTTGCCATTGCCTTCAATGAGCTCCCAAACGTCCATTTGCAGAATGGACAAAAACAGTGTTTGCAAGCTGCTGAATCTGCAGAAAGTTTAACTCCATGAGATGAATGCACACATGAAAAAGCAGTTTCTCATTTGCTGAATGGACATTTGCTGAAAAGCATTTGCTGAATGGACAACAGTGTTTTCAAAATGTTGTTTAAAACGAAAGGTTTAAATCTGTGAGATGAATGCACACATCTCAAAGCAGTTTTTCAGCAAGTTTCTTTCTAGTTTTAAGCTGAGGTTATTTCCTTTTTCACCTCAATGAAATGGTAGGCCTCAATGTGCTACCAGATATCACTTCACAGATTTTATTAAAACAGTGTGTCCAAACTGTTGAATTATAAGAAAGGTTGAACTCCACCAGATGAATGCACACATCACAAATCAGTTTCTCTGAAAGCTTCTTTTTTGTCTTTATCTGAAGATATTTCCTTTTTCACCATAGGCCTCAATGTGCTCCCAAATATCCCATCGTGGTTTCTGCCAAAAGAGTATTTCCAAACTGCTGAATGAAAAGAAAGGTTTATCTCTGTGAGGTGAATGCACCCATCATAAGGTGTTTTCTCAGATAGATTCCTTCTTGTTTTTATCCTGGGATATTTGCTTTTTTGTGATTAGTCTCAATGAGCTCCCAAATGTCCCTTCACAGATTCTACAACAAAAGTGTTTTCCAATTGCTGAAACCAAAGAAAGGTTTCTCTTTGTGAGATGAATGCACACATCACAAAGCAGTTTCTCAGAAGGACTCTTTCTAGTTTTATCAGAAGATATTTCCTTTTTCACCATAGGCCTAGGTGCACTCTGGGGATATATCCCTTTGGGGATTCTTCCAGAACAGTGTTTCCAGATTGCTGAATGAAAAGTAAGTTTTACTTCTGTGAAGTGAATGCACACATCACAGTGCATTTTCTCAGATAGCTTCCTTCTAGTTTTTATCCTGGGATACTGTCTTTTTTGCCATTGGCCTCAAGGGCTCCCAAATATTCCTTCACAGATTCTACAACAACATTGTTTTCAAACTGCTGAATCCACAGAATGGTTTAACTCTGTGACGTGAATGCAAGCATCACAAAGCAGTTTCTCAGAAAGCTTCTTTCTAGCTTTTTTCTGAAGATACTTCCTTTTTCACCATAGACCTCAAAGCGCTCCCAAATGACACTTCACAGATTCTAGGAAAGCAGTGTTCAAAAACTGCTCAAAGAAAAGGAAAATTTAACTCTGTGAGATGAATGCACACATCACAAACCAGTTTCACAAAGAGCTTTCTTCTACTTTTTATCCTGGGATACTCATTTCTTCACCATAGGCCTCAATGAGCTCCCATATATCCCTTCACAGATTCTACAACAACAGTGTTTCCAAAATGCTGAATGCAAACAAGGGTTTAGTTCTTTGAGATGGATGCACATATCACAAAGCCATTTCTCAGAGTGCTTCTTTATAGTTTTTATCTGAAGATATTTCCTTTTTCACCATAGGCCTCAATGGGCTCCCAAATATCATTTCAGAGATTCTGCAAGAACAGTGTTTCCAGATTGCTGAATGAAAAGTATGTTTTACTTCTATGAGATGAATGCACACATCACAAAGTGGTTTCTCAGATAGCTTCTCTCTACTTTTTATCCTGGGATATTCACTTTTTCACCTTTGGCCTCAATGAGCTCCCAAATGTCCATTCACAGAATGGACAAAAACAGTGTTTCCAAACTGCCCATTCCACAGAAATGGTTATCTCTGTGAGATGAATGCACACATCACAAAGCTGTTTCTCAAATAACTTCCTTCTAGTGTTCATCCTGGGATATTTGCTTCTTTGCCATTGACATCAATGAGCTCCCAAATGTCCATTTGCAGAAAGTACAAAAACAGTGTTTGCAAACTGCTGAATCCACAGAAAGGTTTAACTGTGTGAGATGAGTGCACACATCAGAAAACAGTTTCTCAGAAAACTTCTCTCTAGTTTTATCTGAAGATATTTCCTTTATCACCATTGGCCTCAGTGCGCTCCCAAATATCCCTTTGTGGATTCTGTCAAAACAGTGTTTCCAGACAGCTGTAGGAAACAAAAGTTTTAACTCCATGAGGTGAATGCACACATCAGAAAGTGGTTTCTCAGATGGCTTCTTTCTAGTTTTTATCCTGGGATATTTGCTTTTTTGACTTTGGCCTCAATGAGACCCCAAATGTCCATTCGCAGAATGGACAAACACAGTGTTTCCAAACTGCTGATTCCACAGAAAAGGTTAACTCTCTGAGATGAATGCACACAATCACAAACCTGTTTCTCAAATAACTTCCTTCTAGTTTCTATCCTGGGATACTCCTTTTTTGTCACTGACACCAATGAGCTCCCAAATGTCCATTTGCAGAAAGTACAAAAACAGTGTTTGCAAACTGGTGAATACACAGAAAGATTTAACTCTGTGAGATCAATGCATACATTACAAAGCAGTTTCTCAGAAAGCTTCTTTCTAGTTTTTAATCTGAAGTTATTTCCTTTTTCACCATAGTCCTCATTGCACTCCCAAATATCCCTTCGGGGATTCTGTCAGAACTGTGTTTCCAGATTGCTGAATGTAAAGTAAGTTTTACTCTGTGAGGTGAATGCACACATCAGAAAGCTATTTCTCATATGGCTACCTTGTAATTTTTATCCTTGGATCCTGGCTTTTTGGCTATTGTTCTCAAAGAGTGCCCAAATATTCCTTTGCAGATTCTACAACAACAGTGTTTTGAAACTGCTAAATCCACAGAATGGTTTAACTCTGTGAGGTGAATGCACACATCCAAAGCAGTTTCTCAGAAAGCTTCTTTCTAGTTTTTTTCTGAAGATATTTCCTTTTTCACCATAGGCCACAAAGCTCCCCCACATATCACTTTGCAGATTCTAGGAAAACAGGGTTCATAAACTGCTGAATGAGAAGAATGGTTTAATTTTGCTAGGTGAATGCAAACATCACAAAGCTGTTTCTCAAATATCTTCATTCTAGTTTTTATATTGGGATATTTGTTTTTTCACCATTGATCCCCTAGAGCTCCAAAATATCATTTAGCAGATGCTACAGCAACAGTGTTTCCAAACTGCTGAATCCTAAGAAACGTTTCACTCTGTGAAATGAATGCACACATCAGAAAGCAGTTTTTCAGAAAGCTTCTTTCTAGTTTTTATCTGAAGACATTTCCTTTTTCACCACAGGCTTCAATGCATTCCCAGATATCCCTTCGCAGATTCTATGAAAACAGTGTTTCCAGACTGCTCTATGAAAGAAAGGTTTAACTCTGTGAGATGAATTCACACATCACAAAGCGGTTTCTCACATGGGTTCCTCTAGTTTTTAACCTGAGATATTCACCTTTTTGCCATTGAACTCAAAGAGCTCCCAAATGTCCATTTACAGATTCTACAA
Source organism: Homo sapiens (assembly GCF_000001405.40). Taxonomy (NCBI): domain Eukaryota; kingdom Metazoa; phylum Chordata; class Mammalia; order Primates; family Hominidae; genus Homo; species Homo sapiens. The sequence goes on along the minus strand of NC_000011.10, from coordinate 48,663,292 downwards.
CCACAGTGTTTCCAAATTGCTGAATCCAAAAAAAGATCTGTGAGATGAATGCACACATCACAAAGCTGTTTCTAAAAATGTTTCTTTCCAGTTTTTATCTGAAGATATTTAATTTTTCACCATAGGCTTCAACACGCTGCCAAGTATCCTTTTGAAGTTTCTACAAAAACAGTGTTTCCAAACTGCTTAATGAAACGAAAGGATTAACTCTGCTTTAAGAATGCACAATTCACAAAGTCATTTCTCAGACAAATTCCTTCTAGTTTTAATCTTGGGATATTCGCTTTTTCACCAATGTGCTCCAAAATGTCCATTCACAGAATGGACACAACTGTGTTATCAAACTGCTGAATCTGAAGAATGGTTTAACTCTGTGAGATGAATGCACACAACCCAAACCAGTTTCTCATAAAGCTTCTTTCTAGTTTTTATATGAAGATATTTCCTTTTTCACCATAGGCCTCAATGCACTGCCAAATATCTCTTAGCAGATTCTAAGAAATGAGTGTTTACAAACTACTGAAAGAAATGAAAGGTTTAACTCTGTGATATCAATGCACACATCATGAATCAGTTTCTCAAACAATTTCTTCTAATTTTTGTCCTGGGATATTCACTTTCTCACCATTGGCCTCAATGAGATCCCAAATGTCCATTCATAGCATGGACAAGAACAGTGCTTCCAAACTACTGAATACAAAGGAAGGTTTAACTCTGTGAGATGAATGAACACACCACAAAGCAGTTTCTCAGAAAGCTTCTTTCTAGTTTTTATCTGAAGATATTTCCTTTTTCACCATTGGCACCAAAGTGCTGCCAAATATCCTATTGCAGTTTCTACAAAAACAGTGTTTCCAAACTGGTGAATGAAAATAAAGGTTTAACTCTGTGAGATGAATGCACACATCATGAATCTGATTCTCAGATAACTTCCTTCAAGTTTTCGTCCTGGGATATTCACTTTTTTTGTTTGGCCTCGATGAGCTACAAAATGTCCATTCGCACAATGGACAAAAACAGTATTTACAAACTGCTTAATCCACACATCACAAAGCGGTTTCTCAGATAGCTTCCTTCAAGTTTTTATCCTGGGATATTTGCTTTTTCACCATTGACCTCAATGAGCTCCCAACTGTCCATTCGCAGAGTGGACAAAAACAGTGTTACCAAACTTCTAATTCCAAAGAAAGGTTTAACTCTCTGAGATGAATGCACACATCCCAAACCTGTTTCTCATTAAGCTTCTTTCTAGTTTTATTTGAGGATATTTTCTTTTTCACCGTAGGCATCAATGCACTTCCAAATATCTCTTTGCCAATTCTAAGAAAAAAGTGTTTCCAAACTGCTGAATGAAAAGAAAAGTTTCACTCTGTGTGATGAATGCACACATCACAAATCAGTTTCTCAGATAATTTTCTTAAAGTTTTTATCCTGGGATATTCTCTTTTTTGCCATTGGCCTCGATTAGCTCCCAAAAGTCCATTCACAGAATGGCCAGAAACAGTGTTTCCAAACTCCCGTATCCTAAGAATTGTTTAACTCTGTGAGATGAATGAACACATCACAAAGCAGTTTCTCAGAAAGATTCTTACTAGTTTTTATCTTAAGAGGTATTTTTTTGACCATAGGCATCAATGTGCTGCCAAATGATCTTACACAGTTTCTACAAAAAAATTGTTTCCAAACCACTGAATTAAAAGAAATGTTCAACTCTGCTAGATGAATGCACACATCACAAAGCGGTTTCTCAGATAGCTTCCTTCTAGTTTTAATCCTGGGATATTCACTTTATCGCCATTGACCTCAAAGAACTCTGAAACGTCCATTCCCAGAATGGACCCAAACATTGTTTCCAAACTACTGAATCCAAAGAAAAGTTTAAGTCTCTGAGATGAATGCATACATCATGAATCGGTTTCTCATATAATTTCCTTCTAGTTTTTATCCTGGGATATTTTCTCTTGCCCCATTGGCCTCAATGAGCTCCCAAATGTCCATTCATAGAATCAACAGAAACAGTGTTTCCAAAGTGCTGAATCCAAATAAAGGTTTAACTCTGTGGGATGAATGAACACATCACAAAGCAGTTTCTCAGAAAGCTTCTTTCTAGTTTTTATCTGAAGATATATCCTTTTTCACCATAGGCCTCAATGTGTTACAGAATATCTCTTCACAGATTCTAAGAAATCAGTGTTTCCAAACTGCTGAATGAAAAGAAAGGTTTACCTCTGTGAGATGAAGGCACACATCATGAATTGTTTTATCAGTTAACTTCCTTCTAGTTGTTATTATTGGATATTCACTTTTTTGCCCTTGGCCTCAATGAGTTCCCAAATGTCCATTCCACGAATGGATAAAAAAGTGTGTTTCCAAACTGCTGAATCCAAAGACAGGTTTAACCCTCTGAGATGAATGCACACATCTGAAACCAGTTTCTCATTAAGCTTCTTTCTAGTTTTTATCTGAAGATATTTCCTCTTTCACCATTGGCCTCCATAGTCTTCCAAATATCTCTTGGCATACTCTAAGAAAACAGTGTTTCTAAACTGCTGAATTAAAAAAAAAGATTTAACTCTGTGAGATGAATGCACACATTATGAATCGGTTTGTCAGATAACTTCCTGCAAGTTTTTATCCCGGGATATTCTCTTTTTCACCATTGGCCTCAATGAGCTCCCAAATATCCATTCACAGAATGGACAAAAACAGTATTTCCAAACTGTCGAATCCAAGGAAAATTTAACTCTGTGAGATGAATGAACACATCACAAAGTAGTTTCTCAGAAATCTTCTTGCTAGTTTTAATCTGAAGATGTTCCCTTTTTCACCATGAGCCCCAATGTGCTACCAAATATCTCTTTGCAGATTCTAAGAAATCAGTGTTTCCAAACTGCTGAATGAAAACAAAGGTTTAACCCTATGAGATGAATGCACACATCACAAAGCAGTTTCTCAGGGAGCTTCCTTCTAGTTTTAATCCTGGCATATTCACTTTTTCCCCTTTGGCCTCAATGAACTCCAAAATGTCTATTCACAAAATGGACAAAATCAGTATTTCCAAACTGGTGAATAGAAAGAAAGTTTTAACTTTGTGAGATGAATGAACACATCACAAAGCACTTTCCCAGAATGTTTCTTTCTAGTTTTTATCTGAAGATATTCTCTTTTTCACCATAGGCATTAATGGGCTGCTAATATTCTTTCACAGTTTCTACAAACACAGTGATTCCAAACTGCTGAATGAAAAGAAACTTTATCTCTGCTACATGAATGCACACATCACAAAGCAGTTTCTCCAATAGCTTCCTTCTAGTTTTAATCCTGGGGTATTTCCTTTTTTGCCTTTTGCTTCAGTGAGCTCCCAAACGTCCATTCACAGAATGGACAAAAACAGTGTTATCAAACTGCTGAATCCAAAGAAAGGCTTAACTCTGTTGGATGAATGAACACATCACAAAGCAGTTTCTCAGAAAGCTTCTTACTAGTTTTTATCTGAAGATAATTCCTTTTTCACAATGGGCCACAATGCGCTACCAAATATCTCTTCACAGATTCTAGGAAAATACTGTTTCCACACTGCTGAATGAAAAGAAAGTTTTAACTCTGCTAAATGAATGCATGCATCACAAAGCGGTTTCTCAGATAACTTCCTTCTAGATTTTATCCTGGGATATTCGCTCTTTTGCCATTTGCTTCAATAAGCTTCCAAATATCCATTTGCAGAATCGAAAAAAACAGTGTTTCCAAACTGCTGAATGCAAAGAAAGTTTTAACTTTTTGAGATGAATGCACATATCATGAACTGGTTTCTCAGATAACTTCGTTCTAGTTTTTATCCTGGGATAAATGCTTTTTTGCCATTGGCCTCAATGAGTTCACAAATGTCCAATCCAAAAATGGACAAAAGCTGTGTTTCCAAACTGCTGAATACAAAGACAGATATAACACTGTAGGATGAATGCACAAATAAAAACCAGTTTCTCATTAAGCTTCTTTCTAATTTTTATCTGAAGATATTACCTTTTTCACCATTGGCCTCCATACTCTTCCAAATATCCCTTGGCAGATTCTAAGAAAACAGTGTTTCTAAACTGGTGAATGAAAAAAAGATTTAACTCTGTGATATGAATGCAAACATCCCAAATCGATTTCTCTGATAACTTCCTTCAAGTTTTTATATTGGGATATTCTCTTTTTTGACATTGGCCTCAAAGAACTCTGAAATGTCCATTCTCAGAATGGACAAAAGCAGTATTTCCAAACTGCTGTATCCAAGGAAATTTTAACTCTGTGAGATGAATGAACACATCACAAAGTAGTTTCTCAGAAAGCTTCTTGCTACTTTTTATCTGAAGATATTTCCTTTTTTACCATGGTCCTCAATGTGCTTCCAAATATCTCTTTGCAGATTCTAAGAAATCAGTGTTTCCAAACGGCTGAATGAATAGAAATGTATAACTCTGTAAGAGGAATGCACATATCTCAAAGCAGTTTCCTAGATAGCTTCCTTCTAGTTTTAATCCTGGGATATCTGCTTTTTCACCATTTTCCTCAATGAGCTCCTAAACGACCCTTCAAAGAATGGACACAAACAGTATTTCCAAACTGCTGAATCCAATGCAAGGTTTAACACTGTGAGATGAATGCACACATCATGAATAGGTTTCTCAGATAACTTCCTTCTAGTTTTATCCTTGGACATTCACTTTTTCCCCATTGGCCTCAATGAGTCAGAAAGTGTAAAATCACAGAATGGACAAAAACAGTGTTTCCTGGAGCCTCTCTCATTGCTAACACAGCTGTATGAGATCAAACTGCAAGATGGCAGTGAAGCTAGGGTGGGGCGCCAGCCATTGCAGAAGTTTGAGCATGTAAACAAAGTGGCTGGGAAGCTTGAAAAGGGTGGAGGCCACCGCAGCTCAAGGAGGCCTGCCTGCCTCTGTAGACTCCACCTCTGGGGGTAGGGCATAGCCAAACAAAAGGCAGTAGAAACATCTGCAGACTTAAATGTCCCAGTCTGACAACTTGGAAGACAGTAGTGGTTCTGGACACAGCATGCAGCTTGAGATCTGAGAACGGACAGACTGCCTCCATAAGTGGGTCCCTGACCCCTGAGTAGTCTAACAGAGAGGCACCCCCCAGGAGGGGCAGACTGACACCTCACAAGCCTGGGTACCACTCTGAGAAAAAACTTCCAGAGGAACATTCAGGCAGCAACATTTGCTGTTCACAAATATTCGCTGTTCTGCAGCCTCTGCTGCTGATACTCAGGCAAACAGGATCTGGAGTGGATTTCCAGCAAACTCCAACAGACCTGCAGCTGAGGGTCCTGTCTGTTAGAAGGAAAACTAACAAACACAAAGGACATCCACATCAATACCCCATCTGTACGTCCTCATCATCAAAGACCAAAGGTAGAAAAAACCACAAAAATGGGGAAAAAACAGAGCAGAAAAACTGAAAATTCTAAAAATCAGAGTGCCTCTCCTCCTTCAAAGGAATGCATCTCCTCATGAGCAATGGAACAAAGAGGACAGAGAATGACTTTGATGAGTTGAGAGAAGAAGGCTTCAGATGATCAAACTACTCTGAGCTAAAGGAGAAAGTTGGAATCCATGGCAAAGAAGTTAAAAACTTTGAAAAAAGATTAGATGAATGGCTAACAAGAATAATCAATGCAGACAAGTCTGTAAAGGACCTGATGGAGCTGGAAACCATCGCAAAAGAACTACATGACAAATGCACAAGCTTCATTAGCAGATTCAATCAACTGGAAGAAAGGGTATCAGTGATGGCAGACGAAATGAATGAAATGAAGTGAGAAAAGAAGTATAGAGAAAAAAGGGTAAAAAGAAATGAACAAAGCCTCCAAGAAATATGGGACTATGTGGAAAGACCAAATCTACTTATGATTGGAGGGCCTGAAAGTGACGGGGAGAATGGAACCAAGTTGGAAAACACTCTGCAGGATATTTTCCAGGAGAACTTCCCCAATCTAGCAAGGCAGGCCAACCTTAAAATTCAGGAAATACAGAGAATGCCACAAAGACACTCCTCGAGAAGAGCAACTCCAAGACACGTAATTGTCAGATTCACCAAAGTTGAAATGAAGGAAAAAATGTTAAGGGCAGCCAGAGAGAAAGGTCGGGTTAGCCACAAAGGGAAACCCATAAGACTGACAGCTGATCTCTCAGCAGAAACTCAGCAAGCCAGAAGAGAGTGGTGGCCAATATTCAACAATCTTAAAGAAAAGAATTTTCAACTCAGAATTTCATATCCAGCCTAACTAAGCTTCATAAGTGAAGGAAAAATAAAGTACTTTACAGACAAGCAAATACTGAGAGAATTTGTCACCATCAGGCCTGCCCTACAAGAGCTCGTGAAGGAGGAACTAAACATGGAAAGGAACAACCGGTACCAGCCACTGCAAAAACATGCCAAATTGTGAAGACCATCGAGGCTAGGAAGAAACTGCATCAACTAACGAGCAAAATAACCAGCTAACATCACAATGACAGGATCAAATTCTCACATAACAATATTAACCTTAAATGTAAATGTGCTAAATGCTCCAATTAAAGGACACAGAGTGGCAAATTGGATAAACAGTCAAGATCAATCAGTGTGCTGTATTCAGGAAACCCATCTCACGTGCAGAGACACACATAGGCTCAAAATAAAGGGATGGAGGAAGATCTACCAAGCAAATGGAAAACAAAAAGAGGCAGGAGTTGCAATCCTAGTCTCTGATAAGACAGACTTTAAACAAACAAAGATCAAAAGAGACAAAGAAGGCCATTACACAATGAAAAGGAATAAATTCAACAAAGAGCTAACTATCCTAAATATGTATGCACCCAATACAGGAGCACCCAGATTCATAAAGGAAGTCTTTAGAGACCTACAAAGAGACTTAGACTCCCACACAATAATAATGGGAGATTTTAACACCTCACTGTCAACATTACATAGATCAACGAGACAGAAAGTTAACATGGATACCCAGGAATTGAACTCAGCTCTTCACCAAGCAGACCTAATAGACATCTACAGAACTCTCCACCCAAAATCAACAGAATATATATTCTTCTCAGTACCACACCACACTTATTCCAAAATTGACCACACAGTTGGAAGTAAAGCACTCCTCAGCAAATGTAAAAGAGCAGAAATTATAACAAATTGTCTCTCAGATCACAGTGCAATCAAACAAAAACTCAGAATTAAGAAACTCACTCAAAACCACTGAACAACATGGAAATTGAACAACCTGCTCCTGAATGACTACTGGGTACATAACGAAATGAAAGGAGAAATGAAGATATTCTTTGAAACCAAAGAGAACAAAGACATAACATATCAGAATCTCTGGGACACATTCAAAGCAGTGTGCAGAGGGCAAGCAGGAAAGATCTAAAATTGACACCCTAACATCACAATTAAAAGAACTAGAGAAGCAAGAGCAAACACATTCAAAAGCTAGCAGAAGGCAAGAAATAACTAAGATCAGAGCAGAACTGAAGGAGATAGAGACACAAAAACCCTTCAAGAAATCAATGAATCCAGGAGTTGGTTTTTTGAAAAGATCAACAAAATTGATAGAACACCAGCAAGACTAATAAAGAAGAAATAGAGAGAAGAACCAAATAGGTGCAATAGAAAATGATAAAGGGGATATCACCACCAATGCCACAGAAATACAAACTACAATCAGAGAATATTATAAAGCTCTACGCAAATAAACTAGAAAATCTAGAAGAAATGGATAAATTCCTCGACACATACATCCTCCCAAGACTAATCCAGGAAGAAGTTGAATCTCTGAATAGAGCAATCACAGGCTCTGAAATTGAGTCAATAATTAATAGCTTACCAACCAAAAAAAGTCCAGGGCCAGACGGATTCACAGTCAAATTCTACCAGAGGTACAAGGAGGGGCTGGTACCCTTCCTTCTGAAACTATTCCAATCAATAGAAAAAGACGGAATACTCCCTAACTCATTTCATGAGGCCACATGATCCGGATACCAAATCCTGGCAAAGACAGAACAAACAAAGAGAATTTTAAACCAATATCCCGGATGAACACTGATGCAGAAATCCTCAATAAAATACTGGCAAACCAAATTCAGCAACACATCAAAAAGCTTATCCACCACGATCAAGTGGGCTTCATCCCTGGGATGCAAGGCTGGTTCAACATATGCAAATCAAAAAACATAATCCAGCATATAAACAGAACCAATGACAAAAAGCACATGATTATCTCAATGGATGCAAAAAAGGCCTTTGACAAAGTTCAACAACCTTCATACTAAATACTCTCAATAAATTAAGTATTGATGAGGTATCTCAAAATAATAAGAGCTATCTATGACAAACCCACAGCCAATATCATACTGAATGGGCAAAAACTGGAAGCATTCCCTTTGAAAACTGGCACAACACACGGATGCCCTCTCTCACCACTCCTATTCAACATAGTGTTGGAAGTTCTGGCCAGGGCAATTAGGCAGAAGAAGGAAATAAAGGATATTCGATTAGGAAAAGAGGAAGTCAAATTGTCCCTGTTTGCAGATGACATGATTGTATATCTAGAAAACCCTATCATCTCAGCCCAAAACCTTCTTAAGCTGATAAGGAACTTCAGTAAAGTCTCAGGATACAAAATCAATGTACAAAAATCACAAGCATTCTTATACACCAATAACAGACAGAGAGCCAAATCATGAGTGAACTCCCAGTCACAATAGCTTCAAAGAGAATAAAATACCTAGGAATCCAAATTACAAGCAATGTGAACGAACTTTAAAAGGAGAACTACAAACCACCGCTCAAGGAAATAAAAGAGGATACAAACAAATAGAAGAACATTCCATGCTCATGGGTAGGAAGAATCAATATCGTGAAAATGGCCACACTGCCCCAGGTAATTTATAGACTCAATGCCATCCCCATCAAGCTAACAATGACTTTCTTCACAGAATTGGAAAAAACTACTTAAAAGTTCATATGGAACCAAAAAAGTGCCTGCATGGACAAGTCAATCCTAAGCCAAAAGAACAAAGCTGGAGGCATCATGCTACCTGCCTTCAAACTGTACTACAAGGCTACAGTAACCAAAACAGCATGCTACTGGTATTAAAACAGATATAGGCCAATGGAACAGAACAGAGCCCTCAGAAATAATGCCACATATCTACAACTATGTGATCTTTGACAATCCAGACAGAAAGAAGAAATGGCGAAAGGATTCCCTATTTAATCAATGGTGCTGGGAAAACTGGCTAGCCATATGTTGAAAGCTGAAACTGGATCCTTTCCTTACCCCTTATACAAAAGTTAATTCAAGATGGATTAATTACTTAAATGTTAGATCTAAAACCATAAAAACCCTAGAAGAAAACATTGGAAATACTATTCAGGACATAGGCATGGGCAAGGACTTCATGACTAAAACACCAAAAGCAATGGCAACAAAAGCCAAAAAGCCAAAATTGACAAATAGGATCTAATTAAACTAAACAGCTTCTGCACAGCAAAAGAAACTACCATCAGAATGAACAGGCAACCTACAGAATGGGAGAAAATTTTTGCTAGCTACTCATCTGACAAAGGGCTAATATCCAGAATCTACAATGAACTCAAACAAATTTACAAGAAAAAACAAACAACCCCATCAACAAGTGGGTGAAGGATATTAACAGACACTTCTCAAAAGAAGACATTTATGCAGCCAAAAAACACATGAAAAAATGCTCATCATCACTGGCCATCAGAGAAATGCAAATCAAAACCACAATGAGATACCATGTCACATCAGTTAGAATGGTGATTATTAAAAAGTCAGGAAACAAGAGTTGCTGGAGAGAAAGTGGAGAAATAGTAACACTATTACACTGTTTTTGGGACTGTAAACTAGATCAACCATTGTGGAAGTCAGTGTGGGGATTCCTCAGGGATCTAGAACTAGAAATACCATTTGACCCAGCCATCCCATTACTGGGTATATACCCAAAGGATTATAAATCATTCTGCTATAAAGACACATGCACACGTAAGTTTACTGTGGCACTATTCACAATAGAAAAGACTTGGAACCAACCCAAATGTCCAACAATGATAGACTGGATTAAGAAAATGTGGCACATATACACCATGAAATACTATGCAGCCATAAAAAAGGATGAGTTCATGTCCTTTGTAGGGACATGGATGAAGCTGGAAACCATCATTCTCAGCAACCTATCCCAAGGACAGGAAACCAAACACCACATGTTCTCACTCATAGGTGGGAATTGAACAATGAGAACACTTTGAAACAGGAAGGGAACATCACACATTGGGGCCTGCTGTGGGTTGGAGAGAGGCGGGAGGGATAGCATTAGGAGATATATCTAATGTAAATGATGAGTTAATGGGTGCAGCACACCAACAAGGGACATGTATACATATGTAACAAACCTGCACGTTGTGCAAATATACCCTAAAATTTAAATTATTACAAAGAAAAAAAACAGTTTTCCCAAACTGCTGAATCCAAAGAAAGGTTTAACTCTGTGGGATGAATGAACTCATCACAAAGCAGTTTCTCAGAAACCTTCTTTCCAATTTTTATTTGAAGATACATCCTTTTTCACCATAGCCCTCCATGGCTACCAAATATCTCTTCACAGATTCTAAGAAATCAATGTTTCCAAACTGCTTAATGAAAAGAAAGGTTCATCTCTGAGATGAATGCACACATCACGAATTGGTGTCTCAGATAACTTACCTCTAGTTTTTATCCTGGGATATTCGCTTTTTCGCCATTGGCCTCAATGAGTTCCCAAATGTCCATTCCAAGAATGGAGAAAAACTTTGTTTGCAAACTGCTGAACCCAGTCATGTTTACCTCTCTGAAATGAATGCACACAACCCAAACCAGTTTTTCATTAAGCTTCTTTCTAGTTTTTGTCACTAGATATTTCCTTTTTCACCATTGAACTCCATGGTCTTCCATATATCTCTTGGCAGATTCTAAGAAAACAGTGTTTCCAAACGGCTGAAAGAAAAGAAAGATTTAACACTGTGTGATGAATGCACACTTCATGAATCGGTTTCTCAAATAACTTCCTTCTAGATTTTATCCTGGAATATTCGGTTTTTTGCCGTTGGCCTCAATGAGCTCCAAAATGTCCATTTGCAAAATGGGCAAAAACAGTATTTCCAAACTGCTGAATCCAAAGAGACGTTTAAACCTGTGAGATGAATGTACACTTTACCAAGCAGACTTTCAGAAAGTTTCTAGTTTCAATCTGAAGATATTTCCTTTTTCACCATAGGCCTTAATGTGCTGACAAATATCCTTTTGCAGTATCTACAAATACAGTGTTTCCAAACTACTGAATGAAAAGAAAGGTTTAACTCTGCTGGATGAATGCACACATAAAAAAAACGGTTTCTCAGGCAAATTCCTTCTATTTTTAATCCTGGGACATTCGGTTTTTTGCCATTGACCTCATTGAGCTCCCAAATGTCCATTCGCAGAATCAACAGAAACAGTGTTTCCAAACTGCTGAACACAAAGAAAAGTCTAACTCTGTGAGACAAATAAATGCATCACAAAGAAGTTTCCCAGAATGCTTCTTTCTAGTTTTTATCCAAAGATATTTTTTTTTTACCTTAGGCTTCAGTGAGGTGCCATATGCTCTTTTGCAGTTTCTACAAAAACAGTGCTTCAAAACTGCTAAATGAAAGGAGATGTTTAACTCTGATAGATGAATGCAGAGATTAAAAAGTGGTTTCTCAGAGAGCTTCCTTCTATTTTTAATCCTCTGAGAGTCACTTTTTCACCTTTGACCCAATGAGCTCCCAAATGTCCATTTGCAGAATGGACAAAAACAGTGTTTCCAAACTGCTGAATCCAAAGAAAAGTTTACCTCTCTGAGATGAATGCACACATCCCAAACCTGTTTCTCATTAAGCTTTATTCTAGTTTTTATTTGAAGATATTTCCTTTTTCACCATAGGTGTCAATGTGGTACAAAACATCTCCTCACAGATTCTAAGAAAACCCTGTTTCCAAACGGCTGAATGAAAAGAAAAGTTGAAATCTGTTAGATGAATGTGCACATCAATATTAGGTTTCTCAGATAACTTCCTTCTAGTTTTGATCCTGAGATATTCACTTTTTCTCCATTGGCCTCAATAACCTCACAAATCTCCATTCACTGAATGGACAAACACAGTGTTTCCAAACTGCTGAATCCAAAGAAAGGTTTAACTCTATGAGATGAATGAAAGCATCACAAAGCAGTTTCTCAGAAAGCTTCTTTCTAGTTTTCATCTGAAGATATTTCCTTTTTGACCACAGGCATCAACGCACTGCCAAATATCCTTTCACAGTTTCTAAAAAAACAGTGTTTCCAAACTGCTAAATCCAAAGAAAGTTTTAACTCTGTGAGATGAATGCCCACATCCCTAACCCGTTTCTCATTCGGCTTCTTTCTAGTTTTTATTTGAAGATATTTCCTTTTTCACCAAAGGCCACAATGCGCTATGAAATATCTCTTTGCAGATTCTAAGAAAACCCTGTTTCCAAACTGCTGAATGAAAAGAAAAGTTGAACTCTGTGAGATGAATGCACACATCAAAAATCGGTTTCTCAGATAACTTCCTTCTAGTTTTTATCCTGGGATACTCGCTTTTTTGACATTGGTCTCAATAAGCTCCAAAATGTCCACTTGCAGAATGAAGAAAGGCAGTGCTTCCAAACTACTGAATCTAAAGAAAGTTTTAACTCTGTGATATGAATGAACACATCACAAAGCATTTTCTCAGAAAGATTCTTTCCAGTATTTACATAAAGATTTTTCCTTTTTGACCATAGGCATCAATGCACTGGCAAATATCTTTTCACAAGTTCTCCAAAAACCGTGTTTCCAAACTGCTGAATGAAAGAAAAGATTTAACTCTGCTAGATGAATAAGACATCACAAAGTGATTTCTCAGATAGCTTTCTTCTAGTTTTATTCCTGGGTTATTCCCTTTTAAGCCATTGGCCTCAATGAGCTCCCAAACATCCATTCACAGACTGGACAAAAACAGTGTTACCAAAGCGCTGAATCAAAAGTCAGGTTTAACTCACTGCGATGAATGCACACAACCCAAACCAGGTTCGCAGAAAGATTCTTTCTAGTTTTTCTATGAAGATGTATCCTTTTTCACCAAAGGCCTCAGTGCGGTACCAAATATCTCTTGGCATTTTATAAGAAATCAGTGTTTCCAAACTGCTAAATGAAAAGAAAGGTTTAGGTAGGGGGTGGAGCCAAGATGGCCGAGTAGTAACTGCTCCAGTCTACAGCTCCCAGCGTGAGTGACCCAGAAGATGAATGATTTCTGCATTTCCAACTGAGGTACCAGGTTCATCTAATGGGGACTGTTGGACAGTGGGTGCAGGACAGTGGGTGCAGTGCACCAAGTGTGAGTCAAAGCAGGGTGAGGCATCACCTCACCCAGGAAGTGCAAGGGGTCAGGGAATTCCCTTCCCAAGCCAAGGAAAGGTGAGACAGATGGCACCTGGAAAATCAGGTCACTCCCACCCTAATACTGTGCATTTCCAATGGTCTTAGCGAATGGCATACCAGGAGATTATATCCTGTGCATGGCTCAGAGGATCCTATGCCCATGGAGCCTAGCTCATTGCTAGCACAGCAGTGTGAGATCAAACCACAAGGCGACAATGAGGCTGCGGGAGGGGCGTCTGCCATTGCCAAGGCTTGAGTAGGTAAACAAAGCAGCTGGGAAGCTGGAACTGGGTGGAGCCCACTGCAGCTCAAGGAGGCCTGCCTGCTTCTGTAGACTCCACCTCTGGAGGCAGGGCACAGCCAAACAAAAGGCAGCAAAAACCTATGCAGTCATAAGTGTCACTGTCTGACAGCTTTGAAAAGATTAGTGGCTCTCCCAGCATGCAGTTTGAGATCTGAGAACAGGAAGACTGACTACTCAAGTGGGTCCCTGACCCCTGAGTAGCCCAACTGGGAGGCACCCCCAAGTAGGGGCAGAGTAACACCTCACATGGCTGGGTACTCCTCTGAGACAAAACTTCCAGAGGAACGATCAGTCAGCAATATTAGCCGTTCACCAGTATCCGCTGTTCTGCAGCCTCCACTGCTGATAGCCAGGCAAACAAGATCTGGAGTGGACCTCCAGCAAACTCCAACAGACTGGCAGCTAAGGGTCCTGACTGTTAGAAGGAAAACTAACAAACATAAAGGACATCCACACCAAAACCCCATCGGTACGTCACCATCATCAAAGACCAAAGGTAGATAAAACCACAAAATGGGGAAAGAACAGAGGAGAAAAAATGGAAATTCTAAAAATCAGAGCGGCTCTCCTCCTCCAAAGGAATGCAGCTCCTCACCAGCAATGGAACAAAGCTGGACAGAGAATGACGTTGATGAGTTGAGAGAAGAAGGCTTCAGATGATCCAACTACTCAGAGCTAAAGGAGGATTTCGAACCCATAGCAAAGAAGTTATTAACCTTGAAAAAAGATTAGATGAATGGGCAACTAGAATAACCAATGCAGAGAAGGCCTTAAAGCACCTGATGGAGCTGAAAAACACGGCACGAGAATTATGTGATGAATGCACAAGCCTCGGTAGTTGATTTGAACAACTGGAAGAACGGGTATCAGTGATGGAAGATGAAAAGAATGAAATGAAGTAAGAAGAGAAGTTTGGAAAAAAAAGAATAAAAAGAAATGAACAAATCTTCTAAGAAATATGGGACTATATGAAAAGACCAAATCTATGTCTGACTGGTGTACCTGAAAGTGACGGGAAGAATGGAACCAAGTTGGAAAACACTCTGCAGAATATTATCTAGGATAAATTCCCCAATCTAGCAAGGCAGGCCAACATTCAAATTCTGGAAATACAGAGAATGCCACAAAGATACTCTTTGAGAAGAGCAACCCCAACACACATAATTGTCAGATTCACCAAAGTTGAATGAAGGAAAAAATGTTAAGCACAGCCAGAGAGAAAGGTCGAGTTACCCACAAAGGGAGGTCCATCAGACTAACAACTGATCTCTTGGCAGAAACTCTACAAGCCAGAAGAGAGTGGGGGTCAATATTCAACATTCTTAAAGAAAAGAATTTTCAACCCAGAATTTCATATCCAGCCAAACTAAGCTTCATAAGCGAAGGAGAAATAAAATCCTTTACAGACAAGCAAATGCTGAGAGACATTGTCACCCCCAGGCCTGCCCTAAAAGAGCTCCTGAAGGAAGCACTAAATATGGAAAGAACCAACAGGTACCACCCACTGCAAAAACAAGCCGAATGGTAAAGGCCACCGAGGCTAGAAAGAAACTGCATCAACCAACGAGCAAAACAAACAGCTAACATCATAATGACAGCATCAAATTCACACATAACAATATTAACCTTAAATGTAAATGGGCTAAATGCTCCAGTTAGACTCCAACGCAATAATAATGGGAGACTTTGACACCCCACTGTCAACATTAGATAGATCAATGAGAGAGAAGTTAACAAGGATACCCAGGAATTGAACTCTGCTCTTCACCAAGCAGACCTAATAGACATCTACAGAACTCTCCATCCCAAATCAATAGTATATACATTCCTTTCAGCACCACACCACACCTATTCCAAAATTGACCACATAGTTGGAAGTAAAGCACTCCTCAGCAAATGTAAAAGAACAGAAATTATAACACACTGTCTCTCCGAACACAGTGCAATCAAACTCAAGACTAAGAAACTCACTCAAAACCGCTCAACTATAGGGAAGCTGAACAACCTGCTCCTGAATGACTACTGGGTAGATAACGAAATGAAGGCAGAAATAAAGATGTTCTTTGAAACCAATGAGAGCAAAGACACAACATACCAGAATCTCTGGGACACATTCAAGCAGTGTGTAGAGGAAAATTTATAGCACTAAATGCCCACAAGAGAAAGCAGGAAAGATCTAAAACTGACACCCTAACATCACAGTTAAAAGAACTAGAGAAGCAAGAGCAAACACATTCAAAAGCTAGCAGAAGGCAAGAAATAACTAAAATCAGAGCAGAACTGAAGGAAATAGAGACACAAAAAACCTTCAAAAAATTAATGAATCCAGGGGCTGGTTTTTTGTAAAGCTCAACAAAATTGGGAGACTGTTAGCAAGACTAATAAAGAAGAAAAGATAGAAGAATCAAACAGATGCAATAAAAAATGATAAAGGGGATAGGACCACCGATCCCACAGAAATACAAACTACCATCAGATAATACTATAAACACCTCTACGAAAATAAACTAGAAAATCTAGAAGAAATTGATAAATTCCTCGACACATACACCCTCCCAAGACCAAACCAGGAAGAAGTTCAATCTCTGAATAGACCAATAGCAGGTTCTGAAATTGAGGCAATAATTAATACCTTAGCAGCCTAAAAATGTCCAGGACCAGATGGATTCACAGCCGAATACTACCAGAGGTACAAGGAGGAGCTGGTACCATTCCTTCTGAAACTATTCCAATCAGTAGAAACAGAGGGAATCTCCGTAATTCTTTTTAAGAGGCCAGCATCATCCTGATACCAAAGCCTGGCAGAGACACAACAAAAAAAGAGAATTTTAGACCAATATCCCTGATGAACATCCACGCAAAAATCCTCAATGAAATACTGGCAAATCGAATCCAGCAACACATCAAAAAGCTTATCCATCATGATCAAGTGGGCTTCATCCCTGGGATGCAAGGCTGGTTCAACATACAAAAATCAATAAATGTAATCCAGCATATTAACAGAACCAATGACAAAAACGATACGATTATCTCAATTGATGCAGAAAAGGCCTTTGACAAAATTCAACAACGCTTCATGCTAAAATCTCTCAATAAATTAGGTATTGATGGGACTTATCTCAAAATAATAAGAGCTATCTATGACAATCCCACCGCCAATATCATAGTGAATGGGCAAAACCTGGAAGCATTCCCTTTGAAAACTGGCACAAGACAGGGATGCTCTGTCTCACCCCTCCTATTCCACATAATGTTGGAAGTTCTGCCCTGGGCAATCAGGCAGGAGAAGGAAATAAAGGGTATTCAATTAGGAAAAGAGGAAGTCAAATTGTCCCTATTTGCAGATGACATGATTGTATACCTAGAAAACCACATCGTCTCAGCCTAAAATCTCCTTAAGCTGAGAGGAAATTTCAGCAAATCTCAGGATACAAAATCAATGTGCAAAAATCACAAGCATTCTTATACACCAATAACAGACAGAGAGCCAAATCATGAGTGAACTCCCATTCACAAATGCTTCAAAGAGAATACAATACCTAGGAATCCAACTCACAAGGGATGTGAAGGACCTCTTCAAGGAGAACTACAAACCACTGCTCAATGACATAAAAGAGGATACAAAAAAATGGGAGAACATTCCATGCTCATGGGTAGGAAGAATCAATATCGTGAAAATGGCCGTACTGCCCAAGGTAGTTTATAGATTCAATGCCGTCCCCATCAAGCTACCAGTGACTTTCTTCACAGAATTGGAAAAAACTACTTTAAAGTTCGTATGGAACCAAAAAACACCCCTCAATCCTAAGCCAAAAGAACAAAGCTGGAGGCATCACGCTACCTGACTTCAAACTATACTACAAGGCTACAGTAACCAAAGCAACATGATACTGGTACCAAAACAGATATATAGACCAATGGAACAGAACAGAACCCTCAGAAATAATGCCACATATCTAAAACCATCTGATCTTTGACAAACCTGACAAAAACAAGAAATGGGAAACCAATTCCCTATTTAATAAATGATGCTGGGAAAACAGGCTAACCATATGTAGAAAGCTGAAACTGGATCCATTCCTTACACCTTATACTAAAATTAATTCAAGATGGATTAAAGACTTTAATGTTAGACCTAAAACCATAAAAACCTTAGAAGAAAACCTAGGCAATACAATTCAGGACATAGGCGTGGGCAAGGACTTCATGTCTAAAACACAGAAAGCAATGGCAACAAAAGCCAAAATTGACAAATGGGATCTAATTAAACTGAAGAGCTTCTGCACAGCAAAAGAAACTACCATCAGAGTGAACGGGCAACCTACAGAATGGGAGAAAATTTTTGCAATCTACTTATCTGACAAAGGGTTAATATTCAGAATCTACAATCAACTCCAACAAATTTACAAGACAAAAACAAACAACCCCATCAAAAAGTGGATGAAGGATATGAACAGACGCTTCTCAAAAGAACACATTTATGCAGCCAACAGACACATGAAAAAATGCTCATCATCACTGGCCATCAGAGAAATGCAAATCAAAACCACAATGAGATACCATCTCACACCAGTTAGAATGGCGATCATTAAAAAGTCAGGAAACAACAGGTGCTGGAGAGGATGTGGGGAAATAGGAACACTTTTACACTGTTGGTGGGACTGTAAACTAGTTCAACCATTGTGGAAGTCAGTGTGGTGATTCCCCAGGGATCTAGAACTAGAAATGCCATTTGACCCAGCCATCCCATTATTGGGTATATACCCAAAGCATTATAAATCATGCTACTTTAAAGACACATGCACATGTATGTTTATTGTGGCACTATTCACAATAGCAAAGACTTGGAACTAATCCAAATGTCCAACAACAGTAGACTGAATTAAGAAAATGTGGCACATATCACCATGGAATACTATGCAGCCATAAAAATGGATGAGTTCATGTCCTTTGTAGGGACATGGATGAAGCTGGAAACCATCATTCTCGGCAAACTATCACATGGCACATGTATACATATGTAACTAACCTGCACGTTGTGCACATGTACCCTAAAACTTAAAGTATAATTTAAAAAAAAACATGTCGCTGTATATCCCCTACCTCATTCCAGTATATTGAAAACCTTCACAATTTTTTAAAATAAATGGAGGATATGACATAAAACATCACACCTAGAGGACTAGATACCAACTGAAGACATACTCTAACTTGGGCAGAAATTAACTCTTCAGATATCTCTTGTGTGATTCTATCAGGATAATATTTCTTACATGTTTGTAGACACAATCTATGACTGTTACATCATCACTATATTAAATAAATGAGACAGTTTGGTCATTATAGATAAGTTAATTTGAATATTTGGAATGAATTCAAATGAAGTAATCTCTCTGAACACTTTCTTTCCCCTTAGAAAATCTCTAGAGGAAAAAGACATGGGTCTCCCCAAGGAACAGTAGCTAAATGCCAAGTAATGTGAAAAGCCTATAATGTGAAAAATATATTCTAAGGAAAATTGAACAATAAATTATGAGTTTCACATTCTGAAATACTGAGAAGACAAGTAATATTTAAGCCAGAATGAAGGGGAAACCAGCCCCAGGTTCTCTTCCCTAAGCATATTCTCAGCAAGGAGAGCCTTATTCTTCCTGTTAGAAAGTCCATTCCCAAGAATCCCTGAGGCTCAGAAGCAGAGAGCGTTAAGAACGGAAGTTGACATTCTGATTCTTGGAATAATAGATCATCTTAGTTCTGCAGTTTTAGGTTAGAGTACAAGCTTTTGATCAAGACCTGAATGTATGTCAGAATCAATCCTTTAATTTTATTCCAATATCAATTCAATAACTGTTTCTACAATAAGGCATTTTTATTTGCCAAGAAGAGAGCAGTGCTTAAGGTCTGCCTTTGTTATTTCCATGACTTGGCTTACCATTGGCTCCACTGAACACCTCCACCTCATCATATATTTAGTTAAATATTGGATCTTCGGTGTCATAAGAGCCTAGATGAAGAGTCTCATAAATACTTATCTGAACCAGCTAATATCTTTATCATGTAAATGGCTCCACTAGAAGTTGGTCATTTTCAACTTAACTAATAAATGGATTAAATTCATCCACCCCAAATGTAACACATATTACTGCTAAAATTTGGAGAGAATGTCTGCAAGTGTTGTGCTCTCTTACTGCTAAGTGGTAAAAGATGCACAAACACAGCTTTAATTCTGAAAACTATCAGATGTGATCAAAGATACTGTGGTTTATACTATGACTCCAAGATGGAGAACTAATATAAAAATAAGTCATAATTATCTATGTCCTTTCTAGCTGAATTCAAATAACTGCACTGCTTTCCAATTCTCTGAATGACACAATAGTGCTTGTTGTATCAGATGATGCCTACAACAGCCCAGAATCTGCATTTAATTTCTCCAATAATAAAAAATTCATCAAAAATATCAACTAATGTAGAAATTGCCAAAAATTTCCATGGTTTATAATAATTCTCTGCAATCCATACCTATTACCAAACAAGAAACTTAAATATAGATACAATATATATTTCTTTTTTTAAAAGCGGAAATGCATGTGTATTACTCTGTTCTCACATTGCTAGAAGGAAATACCCCAGATTCGTTAATTTATAAAGAAAATAGGTTGAATTGACTCACAGTTCTGCACGATTGGGAAAGCCTCAGGTAACTTACAATCATGCCTCTTCACGGGGTGAGAGGAGAGAGAATAAGTGCCAGAAAGGGGAATGCCAGACACTTATAAAACCATCAGATCTCATGAGAACTCACTCACAAACATGAGAACAGCATGGGGGAAACCACATCCATGACTCAATTACCTCCCACCTCATCCCTCCCATGACACATGGGCTTAATGGAGATTAAAATTCAAGATAAGATTTGGGCGAGGACACAGCCACACCATATCAGTATGTTATGTAGTCCCAGCCATTTTTAAGACTGAGGTGGGAGAATCCCTTAAGCCCAGGAGTTTGAGTCCAGCTTGGGCAACATAGCAAGACGCTGTCTCAGAAAAGAAAAAGAAAGCTAGAGAGCAGAACACCACATTTAGAGTCTAATTTCTCTAAAAGTGAGATAATTCCCAAAATCATAAATGAAAGCCTGAAAATATGTGTGCAACTTTCTATAGATTATTTACCCTAAGGGACAACATGTAAAATTGAAGCTCTACCAAGGAAAAGAGTCCTTTATAAACAACAAGGCTTTCATTTGAGACCACAAGATACTATCTTTGTATGACTACATCACAAGGGTATTTACTCTTGGAGTAGGAATGCACAGACAATAAGGCAGTCCTCAAAGGAACTGAAGTCCATCTTTCATCCTCTAATTTCTTGATTGAATTAAGACTATCTGGGATTTTTTATTCTCCAATCCCAACTCTTGAGTAGAAACACAGGAAATTCTCTCTTTTAAAAAAAAATCCCAAAAAATTATTGAATTGCCACTTTTCACATGCAAAATTGGGCACTCAAAAAAAGTAACAAAGTATAGTAGAAATGGCATGATTGAAAGGCAAGTGCAATAAAAAAACAGATGATCTAGATAATGAAATATAAGCATTTTTAATAAGTTCAGTATGAACAAATATTAAAACAAGATAAATAATAAAATGAACAAAATAAACTGAAAAACTAAAATGTATAATAACAAATTAAAAACATAATGGTGGGATTTAACAGCAAATTAGAGACAAAAAAATAGAAAATTAATAAACTGCAAAAAATATTAGAAGAAAATATGCAGACCAAAGCAGACAGCAAAAAAAAAGCAAATGCAGAAAACAGTATAAAAGAGATATAAAGGACACAGTGCAAAACTCTGCCATACTTTTAATTTAATTACAATTCCAGAAAAGGGAGAGAAAGAGAATCAGGTCGGCAAAATATTTGAAGAGATATTGCTGAAAATTCTCTGAAACTGCTGAGAGATATTAAGCTATGAATTTGTAAGGTTTTATGAGTTTCATGAAGAATGAATTTTAAAAACAATAATTTGTTTTAAAAGGATAAACAGAAAAGGTACAGCAGAATAAAAGCTAAATACAGACAAAATTTTAAGAACATACTGCATTCAATAAAATAATAATAAGGCCAGGTGTGGTGCCTCACGTCTGTAATCACAGCACTTCGGGAGGCCAAGGCAGGTGGATCACTTGAGGCCAGGAGTTTGAGACCAGACTAGCCAAATCCAGTCTCTAATAAAAATACAAAATTAGCCAGGTGTGGTGCCAGGCACCTGTAATCCAAGCTTCTAGGGAGGCTGAGGCAGGAGAATTGCTTGAACCTGGGAGGCAGAGGTTGCAGTGAGTCGAGATGATGCCACTGCACTCCAGATTAGGCAACAGAGCAAGATTCTGTAGAAGGAAAGAAAGAAGGAATGGAAACAAAGGAAAGGAGAGGGAAGAAGGAAAGGAAAGGAAAGGAAAGGAAAGGAAAGGAAAGGAAAGGAAAGGAAAGGAAAGGAAAGGAAAGGAAGGAAAGGAAAGGAAAGGAAAGGAAAGAAAGAAGAAAGAAGGATAGAAGGAAAGAAAGAAAAGAAAAGAAAGAAAGAAGAGAAGAAAGAAAGAGAAAAGAAAGAAGAAAATAATAAGACTGACAAACTTCTTAAAAGATGCAGTGAAAACCAAAAGAAAAAGGAAATACATCTTCACAGTGATAAATGAATAAAAATGTCAACATAGAATCCATTTAAAATCTCACAGAAGTGAATATAAAATGCAGATTTTTCTGACTAATTTAAAAAATATTTAGAGATTCTAGAATCAGGCACAAACTATGGAATAAGAGCTCTGAAGAAGGATCTTTGGAAGGAAGGAAAAAGCTCTGAAATGGAAAAAGGAAATGCAGGAAAGAAGGAAGACTAATTGAAAGAAGAAATATAGAAATAAATAACATGAATGTTAATCATATGTAAAATTAATAAGTATGAAACCAAAAGAAAAGTGGTGGATTTGAATTCAATACATAATTAACTTTATCTTTTTAATGAGCAAAATTCTCCTATTTAAGAAATAGAACACAATGGTAAGAGAAACATCTTAAATAACAGTATGAAAAGGTGAAAATAAAATAATAGAATAAAGTGCATAAATTCTGACCAAAAGAACACTATTTCTGTGCTAATATCAGACAAAACTAGACTTCAAGGCAAGAAATATTTCCAGAAATAAATTTTTATAATGGCAAAAGATTAGCAATATGAAGATAAAATTATAAATTGGTATGCACCTGAAAGCACAACTTTATAAGTTATTTTTTTAAAATAGGCTGAAACAAAAGGAGAAATAGGCAAATCAACAATAATACAGGAAGATTTTAGCACAACTCTAAGTGCTAGAATATATGCACAAAAAATTTATAAAGATATTTATGATTCAAACAAAACCATTTAGAAAATTTGACCCACTGACGTAAGAGATCATCACATACAACACCATGAAAATACACTTTCTTTTCAGGAGCATATGAAACATTTTCCAAAATCAATCATATACTGGTTCATAAAACCACTGTCTATGAATTTCCTATAATCACCATAATAAAATATGTCACTGAACACCAAGAAAATCAGCTAGAAAATAAAAAACTAAAATTACCCAGAAATTTTCTATCTCAAAATTAAACACACCACTTTTAAATAATCCATTAGTAAAAATAAATCACAGAAGTTAGGAAGTATTTTGAGCCTAATAATAATGAAAATACAACATATCAAAGCTTGTAAAACTCAGCTAAAATATTACTTGCATTTTCTAGAAAATAACAAAGACTGAAAATCAGTGCACTAAATATCTATTCAAGAAAACATTTCACTTAGCATAATGTCCTCTAGGTAGATTTCTGTTATTGCACATGATATAAAAACATCCCACTGTACTCCACAAAGAAAGAAAAAAAGAAAGAAAGAGAGAAAAGAAGAAAGAAGGAAAGAAAGAAAGAAACAAAGAAAGAAAGAAACAAAGAAAAGAAAGAAAGAAAGAAAGAAAAGACAGAGAAAGAAGAAAATAATAAGACTGACAAACTTCTTTAAAGAATTACTTCTTAAACAATTACTGTTTGTCAATTAAAAACAAAATAAAACAAAGAGGTTATTAAGTCTTCCAAGTTCATTCATGTTGTCAAAAATAGCAGAATGATCTTTTGAAGGTTTAATAATATTTGATTATGAAATATTATTGCATTACATATACAAATACAAAGGGCAAAAAGTACAAATTTTCATTTTTTTGGATGAAGTAATACTGGTGATCTAAGGTACAGCATAATGTCTGTAGTCAATAATACCATATATTATGTGAGTATAAGTGTGCATGTGTACATTAGTTAGATAGATGATTGATGACAGATAGATGATAGATAGGTAGATGAATAGATAGATAGATAGATAGATAGATAGATAGATAGATAGATAGATAGATAGATAGATAGAAAGATAGATGTCACATTGCCTTTACTCATTCATCTACTGATGGATATGTAAGTTGTTTCTATATCCTGGTGATTATGAATAATGCCGCATTTCATATTGGAGTGCAGGTATCTCTTCAAGATACTAACTTCATTTTCTTTTGATACATACCAAGTAGTGGGATTGCTGGATCAGATGGTAGTTTTATCCTCCATAGTGCCTTCTATAATGGCTGTATCAATTTACATTCCCACCAACTATATAACAGGGTTCCCTGTTCTCCACACTGAAGGGTAAATACCACATGATTTTAATTACATGTGGAATCTAAAAAAGAAGTCAAATTCTTAAGAGCAGAGAGTATAATGGTGATTGGGATGGAATGCAGGGAGAAGAAAAGAGATGTTGGTCAAAGAGTACAAGATTCAGTCATGCAGAATGAGTAAGTTCTGGAGAGCTAAGTTACAGCATAGAGACTATACTTGATAATACCATATTGCACACTTGAAGTTTGCTGAGAAAATACATCTTAAGTATTCTCACCAAACACAAAAGGTAATTATGTGAGGTGATGAACATATTGATTGTGGTAATCATTTCACAATGTATACATTTATTAAAATATCACACTGTACATCTTAAATATATGTTATACATTTTTTGTCACATACACCTCAATAAAGAAAATAAAAAACAAACTATGTTTTAAAGATTACAACAACAAAAGAAGTAACCAATCTGCATGGAATGGCAAAAACAGACAAAAGTAGAAACTGTTGCACTGTCCCTGGAAGGTAGTCTGGAAGCACTGGAGTGAAGGATGGGAGTATTTTGAGCAGTCAGTCTGGTTTTCCACAGTATGTGGAAGGAATAATAACCATACTTATGGATCTACACTGAAAATGGACACTGGCTAACAGGTTTCATAAGCTAATGAGGAAATTCAAAATTTAAAAATGGAAAAATGATGACAAAGTAGTTGGAAGAGCAGTATGATCTAATGATATCTGAACCTAAATGTCAACCTGGATGCAAAGAGGGACTGCTCTGGGAAAGGGCATGAGACCTTTATTGAGGTGGCTTTCTGCAACTTCTAAAGATACTGAAGGGGATATCATCTGAATGCTGTCTACTAACAGCACACTCAACAGCTGGAAAAATAAATCCTTCTTTCCTAAATGAAGGGCAGGGCAGAACCTCCTTATGTATACTGTAATATATCCCTTATGCCATTTGAATTTATATATTCTTATACATGGTCAGAACAGCTCTTTTAGGATTCTCTTACTTGAGGCGAATTAGAAGAGAAAGGCTTGAGGACAAACTGTATCTCGCCACTGAAGCAGATCTGAGTTGCAACACAAGGGAATAATGTAGCCTATAGCTAATCCTATTATTTTTTCACACCTTACTTGCTGAAAGGTTTAGTGATTTTCCCTCTTCCATCATCAAAACTAGATTTCAACAGCATAATTATTTTAGCAATTTAAATGTTTACTTGTAAAAAATAAGATATGTAAACTATCCTCTATAGCTTAAGTAATTAAAAATATTATACTTTAAAAACTGAAAGATAGCATTACTATGACTTCAATGTAAACTACTGTTGACATTTTTCTAGAAAAACAATGATTTAACGTAGTTTCCTGAGAACATGACATTTTCAAAAGACAAAATTCCATAATAACAGAAAACCTTCATAATACATTTCACAGTCACACTTTTATAAATCTATTTAAATGACAGTAGACAAGGTTCTTACCTGAGCATATTTATTTACTAGTACATTTACTGGAATAATTTTTAGATTTATAAGTAAAAACCCATATTATGCTTCCAGAACTAACAGGCATTTGTTCCTTTACCCTCCTACACACTTGACATGATCTGAAATTTTAAACTTTCCAATCAAATATATCTGAAATTAGTTGTACACCTTTACTAATATATCATATAAAATATAACATCCCACAAACTAAGATTATAATTATAAATATATTGGTTTATTATACCTGTAATATGGAACATGTTTTTTCTTATTTGGAAAATAGAAAAAGAAAAAATTAGGCTACATATTAAAACCAAATATACATTCCATATGTGGAACAATTTTCATGTTTGCTAGCTTAACTTTCTAAATTAGAATTCCTTAAAAACTCATATGGATTTAAGACATTAGCTACATATCAACATATCACAGGAATTTTCAATGAATATCTCCTGTCAGTGGTTTCAAATACTCACATCATTCTCCAGAAAAGCAATGCTTCTTTCACAGAGCATTATTGTAGATACCTCATGCATCTATGTGTGATCATAAAACACATGAAATGGATGGCTGATCCAGGGATATAGAATTAGTTCCTAGTGGCTACAGCTTCCACACTTCCACACAGGCTTTTCATTATCTCGGTCATTAGAGAATTATGGCACTATCCAAAACAGATGACAAAAATATAAAGATGCTTAAACTTAATAATGTAGAAAGGTAGTTGAATATTCTCATATGCTGGGGAATTTTTTCATAGAAAAACAAAGATACTATCTTTGAATGACTATGTAAATATTGACTTAATTGGTGGAAATGTACCTGCACAAGCCCCTTATTTTATGACCAAGAATACAAAATGTACCAACACTAAAATTTGTTAGTGAAAATTTCCTCGATTATGGTGAAGCAACCATAAGTACTTTACTGTGACTGAGGATTCATAAGATTCATGTGCCCAGCTATTAAGGTTTGCACCTAACAAGGAAAATGCTGAAATTTAACTTCATGGAAAAACCAATGACAGAGTTTTCTCACAGAAAGAAACCAAACTCTTCAGTCTCTCAGTCATTCAAATGTCATTCAAATAGCGTACCCCTAAGTCCACTTCTTTCCTAATTAAAAGCATGTCCCTATATCTCCCCCCAATCCCAGTAAATTCATAATTTTCACAATTTTTTACAAGAAATGGAGCATATGGCAAGAAAACATCACACATAGAGGACTAGATACCAACTGAAGACATACTCTACCTTAGGCAGAAATTTAATTCAGATATCTCTTGGGTTATTCTATCAAGAAAATAATTATCCCATTTATGTGTAAACACAATCTATGAGTTTTACATCACCACTACTTTAAATGAAAGAGGCAGTAAGGTCATTATAGATTAGTTAATTTGAATATTTGGAATAAATTCAAATAACATAATCTTTTTGTACTCTTTTTTTCGCTTAGAAAACCTCTAGAGGAAAAAAAGACTTGGGTCTCCCCAAGAAAGACTAGCTAAACGCCAAGTAATGTGAAAAGCCTATAATGTGAAAAATATATTCTAAAGAAAATTGGACAATAAATTATGAGTTTCATATTCTGAAATGCTGAGGTAACACAAATAATATTTAAGCCAGAATGAATGGGAAGCTGTTGTGGGAAGTCAGGGACCCTGAACACAGTCACTGGCTGGAACCGTGGCAGAGGAACATAAATTGTGAAGATTTCATGGACATTTATCAGTTCCCAAAATTTATACTTTTATAATTTCTTATGCCTGTCTTTACTGCAATCTCTGAACATAAATTGTGAAGATTTCATGGACATTTGAGTTCCCAAATACTACGCTTATAATTTCTTATGTCTGTCTTTACTTTAATCTCTTAATCCTGTTATCTTCATAAGCTGAGAATGTACGTCACCTCAGGACCACTATTGTACAAATTGATTGTAAAACATGGGTGTTTGAACAATATGAAATCAGTGCACCTTGAAAATGAACAGAATAACAGCAATTTTAGGGAACGTGGGAAGACAACCATAAGGTCTGACTGCCTGCAGGGTCAGGCACAATAGAGCCATATTTCTCTTCTTGTAGAGAGCCTATAAACAGACATAAAAGTAGGAGAGATATCACTGAATTCTTTTCCCAGCAAGGAATACTAATAATTAATACCCTAGGGAAGGAATGCATTCCTGGGGGGAGATCTATAAACGGCCGCTCTGGGATTGTCTGTCTTATGCAGTTGAGATAAGGACTGAAATATGCCCTGGTCTCCTGCACTACCCTCAGGCTTACTAGGATTGGGAAATTCCAGCCTGGTAAATTTTGGTCATACCAGTTCTCTGCTCTTGAACCCTGTTTTCTGTTGCTTAAGATGTTTATCAAGACAATATGTGCACAGCCGAACATAGAACCTCATCAGTAATTCTAATTTTGTCCTTTGCCTTGTGATCTTTGCTTCGCCCTTTGCCTTGTGATCTTTATTGCCCTTTAAGGCATGTGATCTTTGTGACCTACTCCCTGTTTGTACACCCCATCCCCTCTTAAAGTCCTTAATAAAAACCTTCTGGTTTTGTGGCTCAGGTGGACATCACGGACCTACAGATATGTGATGTCACCCCCGGTGGCCCAGTCCTAAAATTCCTCCCTTTGTACTCTTTTTCTTTATTTTTCAGACCAGCCAACACTTAGGGAAAATAGAAATAACCTATGTTGAAATATTGGGGACAGGTTCCCCTGACAGGAAGGCCCAGGTTCTCTTCTCTGAGCATATTCCCAGTGAAGAGGGCCTTAACCTTACTGTTAGAAGGTCCATTCCCAAGAAGCCCTGAGGCTAAGAAGCAGAGAGCCTAAGAACCAAAGTTGACATTCTGATTCTTGGCAAACAGATCATCATAGTTCTGCAGTTTTAGGTTAGAGTACAGGCTTTTGATCAAAGCCTGAATCTATGTTACATATGACCATAGTGATCTGTAGTCCATTAATTCAATCCTTTAATTTTATTCCAATATCAATTCAGTAACTGTTTCTACAATAAAGAAATTTGTATTTTCCCACAACAGAGCAGTGCCTAAGCACTTCAATTGTTATTTCCATGACTTAGCTTACAACTGGCTCCATTGAACATCTTCATCTCATCATATGTTTAAATACTAGATATTCTGTGTCATAAGAGCCTTAGATAAGAGTCCCATAAATACTTATCTGAACGAGCTAAGGAGTTTATCATGTAACAGGCTCCACTAAATGTTGATCATTTTCAACTTACCTAATAAACTGATTAAATACATCCACCCCAAAGTCATATGTATGAATTCTAAAATTTAAAGACTGTGTCTATAAGCACTGTGCTCACTTATTGGTAAGTGGTAAAAGATGCACAAACATATCTTTAATTCTGAATAACTATCAGATATGATCAAAGATATCATGAATTTAATTATGACTCCAAGATGGTGAACTAATATGAAAATAAGCCATAATTCTCTGTGTCCCTTCTATCTGAATTCAAATAACCACTAATGTTTTCAGAATGACATAAAAGTGTTTGTTACATTGGATGATGCCTACAACAGCACAGAATCTGAATTTACTTGCTCCCATAATAAAAAGTAGACAAAAAATATTAACTAATGTAGAAGTTGCCAAAAATTTCCCATTGTCCATACAAATTATCTGCAATCCTTACCTATTACCAAGCTAGAAAATTAAATATAGTTACAGTATACACTCATTGTTTTTAAAAAAAAAAAAAAAGAAATGCATGTATATTAGTGCATTCTCACATTCCTATAAGGAAATACCCAAGACTGGGTAATTTATAAAGAAAAGAGGATTAATTGTCTCACAGTTCTGCATGATTGGGAAGGCCTCAGGAAATTACAATCATGCCTCTTCACAGGGTAGCAGGAGAGAGAATGCGTGACAGCAGCAGAAATGCCAGACACTTATAAAACCATCAGAGGTCATGAGAATTCACTCATGATCAAGAGAAGAGCATGGGGGAAACCACCCCCATGATTCAATTACCTCCTACCTTGTCCCTTCCACAACACATGGGGATAATGGAGATTAAAATTCAAGATGAGATTTGGGGGGGGACACAGCCAAACTATATTAGCATGTTATGTAGTCCCAGGTATTTTTAAGACTGAGGATTTCAGGGTCATGGTGGATGGGAGCATGGACTAGATTGCAGCTCTGGAATATATGTATTAACAGCATATCCTTCAGTACACGTAGCATTTGTTTATCCATGCAATGTCTGCATATTTTCATGCTCCTGTGTGGTAACCTCACCATTTGGTTACCACAAAAAAAGAGGCAGAAAAGCCTCTAATGAATGGATATCCAAGAAATTCGGCAAGAGAGAATGCTATTATGGAAGGTCATAAAAGTATTCTGAGGGAAGTTATAAGTGGGCATAGGATCCAACAAAGAACCCAGGTTTTGACTCAAAAAACAAAGATAATGCTTCTGGCCTAGGCTTTTCAGGTGGTGGCCACTTTAATATATGCATGAATAACATATAATGATGAGCAGAATAATGACATAGCCCACTAAGCCAACCAAAATGTGGTGAAGAATAAAGTTCTGTAAAACTTTGAGGAGTATTTGCTAGGGTCAAATATTACAACACAGTTTGTGGGCTATTTCATAGGACCATTAGCCATAGATCCTAGTGGTGTCAATTAGATTTATCCTTAAATACACGTTTTTCTATTTTGTAATTCACTTAGCCTGTGACCCAAGCCACAAGTGACAACACTGTCAAGCTACAGAAACACTACATAATACCAATTTGCCCAACCAATTACATCTCATTTATCCAAGACGGAGATTTCCTCATAGCCCATGGACATAAATGGGCTAAAAAGTATGTCACATGGACATATTATACCCCTTACAACCCACATAATAATGACTTAATAAAAGCTAAAATTGGGTTTAAAAGAGTAATAAGTTATTGAAAAAAAATCATAGCAGATGGGAAAGGAGCACATAGATGGATAATAATTCCTAGAAAGGACATGATTATTATTTTCCCATGAGATTCTATTGAATCTTGAGAATAAAACTGTTAATTGTTTCTCTCATATATGACATGAAGTCAGTTACTGCCAGGAAAATATACTAGCCTCCTTTTCACATGAGTGGGAGAACTTAAATGAAGGTATTTAATGCTCTGCTTCAGAATTATATTATTTGGAAAAAAATTCCCAGTGCAATAAATGGCTCTGTTGATAAAACTGAATAAAAACAAATCATAAATATGAATAAATGAAGATGATAAAAGATAAAGAAGGAAATGGAGTAGTCCAAATGATATTTTAAAAATGATATTGTTTGAATCTGTGTCCCTACCCAAATCTCATGTAGAAATGTAACCCCCAATGCTGGAGGTAGGGCCTTGTAGGAGGTGACTGGATTATGGAGGAAGTTTCTCATGATTTAACATCATCTAATTTTGATACTGTCATCACAATAGTGGGTTCTCATGGGATCTGGTTTTTTAGAAGTGTGTGGCAACTCTGCTTCTTGCTCCTGCTCCTGCCATGTAAGAAGTACCTGCTCCCACTTTGCCTTCCACTATGATCGTAAATTTACTGAGGCCTCCTCAGAAGCTGAGGAGATGCCAGCATCATGCTTTCAGTTACAGCCTGTAGAAAAATGAACTGATTAAACTTATTTTTTAATAAATTACAGAGTCTCTCTGATATTTCTTTATAACAATGCAAGAATGGACTAATGCAAAAAATTAGTACCAAAGAGTGGGGAATTTCTATAAAGATACCAGAAAATGTGGAAGCAGCTTTGGAATTGGGTAACAGGCAGAGGCTGGAAGAGTGTAGAGGACTTAGAAGAAGACAGAAAGATGAGAGAGAGTTTGGAACTTCCTAGAGAAGTTTGAATGGCTGTGACCAAAATGCTGATAGTGAAATGAATGGTAAACTCTAGACTGAGGAGGTCTCAGAAAGAAACAAAAAACTAAATGGGAACTGGATGGAATAAGGGTCATTTTTGCCAAGCTTCAGCAAAGTCTGGCTGCATTGTGTCCCTTTTCCATCAATCCATCAAACTTTGAACTGGAGAGTGATGATTTAGGGTATCTGGAAGAAGAAATTTCTAAGCAGCACAGCATTCAAGATTTAGCCTGGCTGCTTCTAATAACCTAAGCTCATACAAATGAGCAAAGAAATGACATGAAACTGGAACTTATATTTAAGTGGAAAGCAGAGTGTAAAAGGTTGAAAAATTTGCCACCTGGCCATGTGGTTGAAAAGAAAAGCCCATTTTCTGGGAAGAAATTCAAGCAGGCTGCAGAAATTTGCATAAGTGGAGCCATGTGCTAACCAACAAGACAATGGGGAAAAGCCCTCAAAGGCATTTCAGAGATCTTTTCAGCAGCCCCTCCCATCACAGGCCGGAAGACCTAGGAGAAGTGAATGGTTTTCTGGGCCAGTCTCAGGGCCCTGTTGCCCTCAGCAGCCTTGTGACACTGCTGTGTGTATCCCAGCCATTTCAGGTCCAGCTGTGACTAAAAAGGGCCAAAGTACAATTCAGATGATGAAAGCTGTGAATT
Source organism: Homo sapiens (assembly GCF_000001405.40). Lineage (NCBI taxonomy): Eukaryota > Metazoa > Chordata > Mammalia > Primates > Hominidae > Homo > Homo sapiens. The sequence goes on along the minus strand of NC_000011.10, from coordinate 48,630,687 downwards.
TTGAAGGCTTCCATGTGGTGTTAAGCCTGCAGGTGCACAAATTGCAAGAGATGAGGCTTGGGAGCCTCCAACCAGGATTCAGAGAATGTATCAAAAAGCCTGGAATTTCATACCAAAGCCTGCTGCATGGGTGGAGAATCACAGACGATCTGTACTAGGACAGTGCAGAGGGAAAATGTGTGGTTGGATCCCACACACAGAGTACCCACTGGGGCACTGCCTAGTGGAGCTGTGAGAAGAGGACTACCATCCTCCAGACCCCAAAATGGTAGATCCACCAGAAGCTTGCACCCTGTACCTAGAAAAGCCATGGGCCCCCTCAAGACCAACCAAAGACATTAAGAGCAACTGCACTGGCTGAACCCTATAAAGCCACATGAGTGGAACTACACAAGGCCTTAGAAGACTACCCATTGTACCAACATGTCCTGGATGTGAGGCATGGAGTCAAAGGTAATTGTTTTGGAACTTCAAGATTTAGTGACTGCCCTGCCAGATTACAGACTTCCATGGGGCCTGTAACCCCTTTCTTTGGGCTGATTTCTTCATTTTGGAATGAAAGAATTTACCCAATTCCTATATCTTCTTTGTACCTTGGAAGTAACTAGGTTACTTTTGATTTTACATGCTTAGGTGGAAGGGACTAACCTTGTCTCAGACAAGACTGGACTGTGCACTTTTCAGTTAATGCTGGAATGTGTTAACACTTTGGGGGACTGTTGGGAAGGCATGATTGTATTTTGAAAGTTGAGAAAAACATGAGATTTTAGGGAGGTGAGGAGCAGAATGACATGGTTTTGATCTCTGTCCCTACCCATTAACTGGCCTGACATCTCTACTTTCTACCACTAGGATCTCTGAGCACCATGTAAAACACCTGACTATACTTTTGGTTCTTCTGGTTCTTCACCTAAATGGATAGGAAGAAGGATCCAGGGATCTCTTACAGTCATCTCTTCCAATATATTATAAATGTGAATTAAGTTATTCTGCATCCTACAGACTACCCACTTAGGTGAATAAGGCAGTGACTTCAGTCCTATACTCCAAAGCAGAAGAAATACCAAGCCAACCTGCCTGAATTTCTGGCACACAAAAGTTTTAAATAAAATAAAACGGTGGTGGTTTTAACTCACAAAAACTGTGAAGCCTTGCACCATGCCTGAAGGGAGGACCAGAATAAAAAGTGGCACCTCAAAGTGTGGTGATTCCGTAACAACAATTCAGTGTGTATTGCATTGGCTGTAGTGCCCAAAAATAGAAGCCTCCAGGATGTTGTGAGTGAAGGCTGTAAAGACAGAAGTAAATGTTCTGGAGGAAAGGGAAGAGACTTAGTCACTATCCAGTGCTGGAAACGTTTAGTAATTCTGTCACCTGTAGTAAAGTAGAAAATAAAAATTGTACCTAAGTGAATAGGTGGTTTTGGCTAAAATTTCCAAGTAGAATATGAAAAGTTACCACTGTTTCTTATAGCAATGTATCTTACCGTAAGGCATTAGATTTTTTTTATAAAAAATAACTTAAAAGATTAACTGTTACATTTTCAAACAGAATTTACAAGAAACATAAAAGAGCCAGAACTTGCGCTTTCAGAAATAGAACTAGTTTCTCTTTCCAGTCTCTGCAAAGAGCTAAGTACTCTAAAGGTAAGAAAGGTCATCAAAATAAATGTCATTTCAAAGTTGTGGATGTTAAGACCCTCTCATAAACACTTTAAACTAGACAAACATAATTCTCACATTCTTAAGAGTATTAGCTCACTGCACATAGACATTCAGCCCAAGTCTGAGAAGGGCCAGTTTCAAAGATATTTGTGAGTATGCTGCTTGTGAGTATATTAAAGCAAGCACCATAGGCTTCACTTGTGAACAGGAGGATCTATTTTAATTGCCTAGTCCTCTCTTTCTCCATTATGTGCTGGGCATGTGGAAGAAATACACTGTCTCAATGGATTTGTAAATAGAGAAAAACCATAATTTAAAAAGTGCACAGTAGAAACTGCACCCAAGGATCCCATCCACACTCGGTCTGGATATAGAAGTTGAGATCTTGAATATCAAAGAGATGCCATGATGGGATGACATCTTAATTGAGTGGGGAGCTTCAAAATCCTGCCTTCCCAAACTAGGAAACCTTAATTGACTTAGAAGTCTAACAATCTCGCAGGATAGATGTTGTCTATGTACACCTCTACTAAAAGAAGAGGAACACTCATTCTAACTATAGTTAAGTTTTTATGCCAGGGTTTTTTTACATTGGCTTTTACAGCAATTCTCATCTCTAAATTTCTCAGTGTGTATATTAAAGGATTCAACATGGGTGTGTGATAACTGTATAAAACACAGTCATGAATTTATCAATAGGAACGTTTGAAACAGGTCTAACAAAAAGGAAAACACAGGGAACAAGAAACAGGACAGTGACTGTAATGTAGGAGATGCAGGCAGAAAGGGCTTTACACCTCCCTTCCTGGCAATAAGTTTTAAGGGTGTTTAGGATTACTCCATAGGAGATTAGTAGAAAGGTGAAGATGACCATACAGATTGCTAGACCATTGGCAACAACAGTGAGGCCTATAAAGTAGGTATCAGTGCACGCCAGTTCCAGTAATGGGTACATGTCACAGACAAAGTGGTCAGTGACATTGGGCCACAGAATGAGAGAGTGTACACAACAACAATTTGAAACACACAGCTCACAAAACCTGCAGACACAGCCACCACCAACAGAAGGATACAAACCTGTTGATTCATGATGGTCAAATAGTGCAGTGGCTTAGAGATGGCCACATAGCAATCGTAGGACATCCCCACAAGTAGGAAGACCTCAGCACCACCAAATAAGTGGTCTATAAATAGCTGCCCCATGCATGCTGTGAAGAAAATAGTCTTTTTGTCATGGAGTAAGTCTATAATCAATTTGGAAGAAATGGTATTGGAATATGCCACATCCATAAATAACGGGCAGTGAGGAAGAAGTACATTGGGGAGCCAAAGGAGGGGCTGGCAATAATAGCCACCACAGCGAGCAAGTTTCCCGCCATACTCACAATGTATGTGAGTAAAACCATGACAAATAATGCATTTTGCACATCAGGACACTGAGTGTTGCCCAAGAGGACAAATTCTGTAATATTATTACTCAGTCCCCTTTACTCTTCTCTAAGGCTTCTGTCACAGTTGAGAGCTCAGGAGAACAGGACCTGTAATGAAATAGTGAACAGGAATATGAATACATCCATGAAGTCACAGAGCACCTCTTCATCGTTGTATCCTCAGTACAGATTTACACACACGATAAACATTTTGTAAGTTTCTATTGAGTTTCTCATCTCCTCAAAGATTTTAGTTTGAGCCTACAGGTAACAGCTTGTGCCTCTAAGTTTTTGTGAATATTCTGTACAGAAGAAGAGTTAAAGGTGCAATAGCCATTCATATATTTCATAACTCCTATTTAAAACATATTTTTTGGCATGGAGGTCAGCTATGATGAATAGGCAACAGATTATTTGTCTCAAGAAAGTTACTTTCTCATGGCGGTAACAGACTTTAAATAAACAAATTGGCATAGATTCAGTACTTTGAGTTTGTAGTTGTGGTATCTTTATGATCTGTGTAGCATCAAAAATAACATCTTCTGAAATAGCTCACTCAGTACTGTGGCAATCCACAGTTACTCGTTTGGTCCTTCATGCCGCAAAAAATGTTCAGTCTTTTTGAATACCTCATTAAATGTCAAAAGACTGGACATTGACTTGTATGAATAGTAAAATATTATTTATCACATTATTCCTTCTGGCAATGATTTGGTCTGACCCTCTGTTGCCTTGTAACAAGATGTATGTTTCTATATCTTATCCTTACTTATTCCACAAATTTCTTTATCACATTTACATACAATATCCTTGTTTTCAACAACTAATTTTGAACTCAAGTAAACTAATTGATGACTATCACCAACTGCCACATTAGCTGTGAGTATTTTTTTCTGAATTCTTCAAGTGAACTAGATAGTGAGAGAGGAGAAAATATACCCTGTACAAAGAGGAACAGAATGGTGGTACATGGTTTTATTTATAACACTATTTAGATATCGGGAGTACTCACAAATACTGTGAACATTGTGATCAGAACATTGGTTCTGATCACAGAACAGTGTTCACTGTGAACATTGGATCAGAACAAATCATCTGAATCTTTGTTAATTTGAAAAGATTAATAGACATAGTCCTGGGAAAAGAAAAGAAGACACCTATAATTCAGGAAAGGCTTTTGGGGAACACAATATATGTCTTAGTAACTACCTGTTTAATTATGTATGAGTACTTATTTTATCTGTGATGGAATGTATCTTGACAAGATCAGGCAGAATTATAGTGGAAAAGTTGGACCCCTCATCAGAGGTAGAGCTAAATGGTAGAAAATGAAAGAAAAAGAGTCAAGTCAGGAAACACAGTAATTATTGTAATTAACAATAAGTAATTATTGTAATTATTCTTATTAATTATTAATGAGCAGATTAAGATTAATGTGATAATTGAAGCAATTATTCTCCTAAAAATCTTCATAAAGATTTTTAGTGATGAAATACTGGAAGCACAACCTCCTGTTGGTCACTGGGGTGACCCAAGAGGCTTCTTGGGGTAGCCTAACACAGACCAAATTCTAGTGAATAAAAAAAAAAAAAGAAAGCTCAGAAGAAAAACAGGACACATTGATTTCTCAAAGTCTCTAGATCAGATAGATAAGGACAAATTTAAATTACAGAGATCAATGGGACAAGTAGAAATAAAAACCCAAACTTCCTGATTACTCGCTGATGAGAAAAATGGCAAAATTACTAAACCTCAAATGTAGACAAGATGATTCCATTTACATAGATCTGGCAGTGGAAGAGGATGTGTGCAGACAGAGTTTGAGCTGTCTCTAGAAGCCAGCAGTGATGAACATTCCACATGTCTCATTCACATTACCTCTTCCAGCTGATTCCAGAGTTCTGTCATTGTTGAAGCTATAGACTGATAGAGACACATCTGCTGAAGAACAAAAGGGAATAATGTAGCCTATAGCCAATTCTGTTATTTTTTCACACCTTACTTCCTGAAAGGTTTACTGTCTTTTCCCTCTTCTATCTTCAAAACTAGACTTCAACAGGATAATTCTATTTGGCAATTTAAATGTCTACTTGTAAAAACATGAGATCCTCTATAGTTAAAAACTTAAGTACTTATACTTGTAAAAACTTAAGATCCTCTATAGTTTAAGTAATTAAATATGGAATACTTTAGAAACTGAAAGACAGCATTACTAGGCTTTCAATGTAAACCGTTAAGTTAACGTATTTCTAGAAAAAATGATTTAACAGTGTTTCCTAAGAACAAGCCAGTTTTAAAAGATAAAATTCCATAACAAAAAACTTCTATAATATTACATTTCACAGTCACAGTTATATAAATCTATTTAAATGACAGTAGACTAAGTACTTTCCTCAGCATATTTATCTACTAGTATGATTGTTGGGATAATTTTTAGATTCATAAGTTAAAATCCATATTATGCTTCCAGAACATAACAGGCATTGGTTCCTTCACACTCTAACACGTTTGACATGATCTGCAATTTTAAACTACATAATCAAATATATTTGAGTAATTGCTCACCTTTATGAATATGGTATATAAAATATAACATTCCATAACCTAAGATTACAATTATAAATTTATTGGCTTATTATACATGTAATATGGAACATGTTTTTCTTCTTATTTGGCAGAATGAAAAAGACAACCAATGTGGCTGTATATTAAAACCAAATATATGTTGTATATTGTGATAAATTTCCATGTTTTTGGCTTAATTTTCCCAATTAGAATTTATCCAATGAAATCATGTGGTATTTATGACATTACCTGTACTTCAACATATCACAGAAATTTTCAATGAATATCTCTTGTCAATGGTTTCAAATACTCACCTTTTGGTCCAGAAAAGCAATGCTTCTTTCATTGAGGGTTACTGTAGATACCTCATGCATCTATGTGTGATCATAAAACACATGAGTATAAATGGCTGATCCATGGATATAGAATTGGTTCCTAGTGGCTACAGTTTCCACAGTTCCACACAGGCCTCTCATTATCTCAGTCTTTAGAGGAGTATAGCACTATCCAAAGCAGATGACCAAAATACAAAAATACTTAAACATAATGTCAAATTTTATTCTACAAAGGTAGTTGAATGCTCTTACCTGCTGAAAAATTTCTTCATAAAAAACAAAGATCCTAAATTTGCATGACTATATACAAATTGACATACTTAGAAATTAACCAAGATGAGTCCATTATTTAGTGGCAAAAGTATCAACACTACAATTTGTTACTTGAAATTTTTCTCAATTATGGTGAAACAACCAGAAGCACTTTACTATGATTGAGGATTTGTGATAACATTCAGGGTCCAGCTACTAATCTTTGTACCTATCAAGAAAAATGCTGAGATTTAACTTCATGGAAGAACAAATGACAGAGCTTTCCCATAGGCAGAAGCCAAACTTTTCAGTCTTTCAGTCATTCAACTAGGATATCCCTAAGATCACTTCTTTCCTAAGTGAAACCATGTCTCTGCATCTCCCCAATCTCATCCCAAGAAGATGAGAACTTTCACATATTTTCACAAGCAATGGTGGGTATGACAAAAAAAATTACACCTAGAGGACTAGATGCCAACTGAAGACATACCCTACCTTGAGCAAAAAAAAATCACTTTTTCAATATCTTCTGGGGTATTCTAGCAGGTAAATAATTCATCCATTTATGTGTGTAGACACGGTCTATGACTTTTACATCAACAATATTTTAAATGGAAGGGACAGTAAGGTCATTATAGATTTGTTAATTAGAATAGTTGGAAAATGTAAAGCACCCGATTCTGTCACAGTTCGTGGCACCACTTGTAACCTGCTACAATCCCTGGTGGACTGAACAAAAGGGGTGAATGCGGGAATAAAAGACAAAGAGACAAAGAGTATATTTGGAAGAAGGGGTCGGGGGCACCTTGCCTCTAGTGAAAAAGGGCCCTGAGGTTTACACAACCCTCAATATTTATTAGGCAAAAGAGATAGCGAGGAGGGTGAGTAGTTGTCAGGTAACTGTCAGTTCACCCTTTGGTTCACAGCAGGCTTGCGAGGCTGTATTCCATGAACAATTGGTGCTAGATGTCTCAGGAGATAACTTCAAGGAGCCCAGTGCCAGGAGGTGATGGCCCTCAGCAAACCTTCTGGTGGCAGGCACAGATGTGAGTTTGCCTACATCCTGCATTCATGGTAAACAGTTTGCTGTTTGATCATATAGCCTCCAGTGGAATGCTGAGCTGGTCACAATCCCTTTGCTGGCTCTCTACATCTCCCCATTTCTGTTTATGGATTAATTAAAAGAAGGTAAGGCCAGGGTGGGCAGACCTCATTTTCTGTTTAGCAGTCCATCTGATTTTACAGACTATGAACAGAAGACAGAGACAAAACAACATTATTCCAAGAACTACATATAAGATGTTAATGTGGTACCTTAGATAGGTCCAAGGGTTGAGGCTCTCCAGGCCTTGCTGGAATTTGGCCCAGTCTTCTAAGGCTGAAATTCTTGAGTTTGCCTATTTAAATCAAGAATTTTGTTTTGTAATTCACTGATATCAAAGATGATATTGGATGTGAAAGCTCCCTTCAATTGGCTTTCACACGGTGCCATGGTGCCATGGATACTCACTTTGGTTATATTCTAAGTTGGTTACACAAATATGAGTGTGGTTAAAATGGCAACAAAATTGCTGCTACAACTGCAGGCTTTGTACTTGTTCCTCTAATCATAGGACTGTGGATTTTAACATTGCCACTTCAGTTTGTAACTCAGGATTAATTTTATTCTGGCCATGATCCCTGGTGGACTAAACAAAGACAAAGAAAAAAGAAAATATATTTGGAAGAAGGGGTCAGAGGGCTCCTTACTCTAGTAAGCAAGGGCCCTGAGCTATACACAGCCCTCCGTATTTATCAGGCAAAAGAAATAGCCAGGAGGGGTGGGTAGTTGTCAGGCAATTGTCAGTCAGCCATTTGGTTCACAACAATTGGTGTTAAATGTCTCAGGAGATAACTTCAAGGAGCCCTGTGCCAGGAAGTGATGGCCCTCAGCAAACCTTTTGGCAGCAGGCACAGTGTGAGTTTGCTCACATCCTGCATTCATGATAAACAGTTTGCTGTTTGATCATATAGCCTCCAGTGGAATGCTGAGCTGGCCACCATCCCTTTGCTGGCACTCTACGGGAACAAATTCAATGAAGTAAGCTCTCTGAAAACCTTTTTTCTAAGAAAATCCCTAGAAGAAAAAGACTTGGCTCTTGCTAAAGAAAAGTAGCTAAATGCCAAATAATGTGAAAAGCCTGTAATATGACAAGAAAAACTCAAAAGTAAATTGAATAGTAAATTATGAGTTTTACACTATGAAATATTTAGGTGAGACAAGTAATATTTCAGCCAGAATGAAAGGAGATCCAGCCCCAGGCTCTCTTCTTTAAAAATGTTCCCAGTAAGGAGGGCCTCACCCTTCCTGTTAGAAAGTCTGTGCCCAAGAAACCCTGAGGCTCAGAGGCAGAGAGCTTAAGAATGGAAGTTGACATTCCGATTCTTGGAAAGATAGGTAATCATAGTGCTGCAGTTTTAGTTAGAGTACAGGCTTTTGATCAAGGCCTGAAACTATGTCAGATAAAATCATAATGATCTGTACTCCATTCATTCAATCCTTTAATTTTATTCCAATATTAATTCAATAACAGTATCTACAATACAGAAATTTGTATTTGCCAACAAGGGAGTAGTGCTTAAGGGCTTCCACTGTTATTTCCATGACTTGGCTTACCATTGGCTCCACAGAACATCTTCATCTCATCATATGTTAATTAAATATTGGTGTGATAAAAGCCTTAGATAAAGAGTCCCAATAATAACTATCTGAGCCAGCAAAGATGTTTATCACATAATGAGCTCCACTAAAAGTTGGTCATTTTCAACTTACCTAATACATGTTTTAAATTCATCCACCCCAAATATAACATGTATTATTGCTAAAACTTGAAGAGCATATCTATCAACATTGTGCTCTCTTACTAGTAAGTGGTAAAGCATGCACAAACATATGTTTAATTCTGGGGAACTATCAGATATGATCAAAGATACTGTGGTTTAAATTATGACTCCAAGATGAACAACTAATATATGAAAATAAGACCGAATTCTCTATGTCCCTTCCAGCAGAATTCAAATAACTACTAATACCAACACCTAGTGTGGAAGTAAATCCTTCCTCAGCCAGGCCTTCAAATGAGATGGTAGCCCCAACCAGCACCTTGATTACAGTTTTGTGAGAGACCTTGAAGCATGGGAACCTGCTAAACCACACTGTTTCCTCACCTACAGAAATTGAGAATGAGTACAAATTGTTTGAATCACTAAGTTTTGAAATATTTTGCTATGAATAAATATGTAACTCATAAATGTATCTAGAATATACTTCAAATACTGGGAAACATGCCAAAAATATTTAGTGAACCTATGAATCAAAGAAGAAGGTATAATGAAGCTAAGCAAATAGTTAGAACTAAACGATAACAGAAACATATCAAAATGTGTGAGGTTTGATCAAAACAGTACTTAAAGAAAAATGTATAGCTATAAATGCTTACATTTAAAATAAATGTTTAAAAGCAGCCATTCAACCCTTCACCTTAAGAAGCTAGAAGAGTAAATAAGAGCCAAGGTAAATAAACAAAAGGACATAAACATAAGATCAAAAACCAATAAAATGGAAAACATAAAATAGAGAAAATAAAAATAGCAAAAATTCTTACTTTTATAATGAAATTGATAAACTGTTAGCAAGGGAGATCAAGAGAAAACAAAGAGAAATCCAAATTACCAATATCAGAAATAATAAAACAAATAATCATCCCAAAGTTCCTTTAGAAGTTAGAAGGTTAGAAAAGGATAGTTATGAAACGCATTATTTCTTTTTTTTTTAGTTTCAAAAAGTTTATTTATTTATTATACTTTAAGTTCTGGGATAGATGTGCAGAACTTGTAGGTTTGTTACATAGGTATACACATGCCATGGTGGTTTGCTGCACCCATCACCCTGTCATCTACATTAGGTATTTCTCCTAATGTTATCCCTCCCCTAGCCTCCAACCGCCCTGACAGGCCCCTGTGTGTGATGTTCCCCTCCCCAGGTCCATGTGTTCTCATTGTTCAACTCTCACCTATGAGTGAGAACATGCAGTGTTTGGCTTTCTGTTCTTGTGTTAGTTTGCTGAAAATGATGGTTTCCAGCTTCACCCATGTCCCTACAAAGGACATGAACTCATCCTTTTAATGGCTGCATAGTATTCCATGGTGTATATGTGCCACATTTTCTTTATCCAGGCTATAATTGATAGGCAGTTGGGCTGGTTCCAAGTCTTTGCTATTGTGAACAGTGTCGCAATAATTGTACATGTGCATGTATCTTTATAGGATGATTTATAATCCTTTGGGTATATAGCCAGTAACAGGATTGCTGGGTCAAATCGTATTTCTGGTTCTAGATCCCTGAGGAATCACCACACTGTACTCCACAACGGTTGAACTAATTTACACTCCCACCAACAGTGTAAAAGTGTTCCTGTTTCTCCACATCTTCTCCAGCATCTGTTCTTTCCTGACTTTTTAATGATGGGCATTCTAACTGGCGTGAGATAGTATCTCATTGTGGTTTTGATTTGCATTTCTCTAATGAACAGCGATTATGAGGTTTTTTTCATGTATTTGTTGGCCACATAAATGTCTTCTTTTGTGAAGTGTCTGTTCATAAATCCTTTGCCTAGTTTTTGATGGGGTTGTTTTTTTCTTATTTTATTTTATTTTATTATACTTTAAGTTTTTGGGTACATGTGCACAATATGCATGTTTGTTACATATGTATATATTTGTCATGTTGGCGTGCTACATCCATTAACTCATCATTTAGCATTAGGTATATCTCCAAATGCTATCCATCCCCCCTCCCCCCACCCCACAACAGTCCCTGGAGTGTGATGTTCCCCTTCCTGTGTCCATGTGTTCTCATTGTTCAATTCCCACCTATGAGTGAGAACATGTGGTGTTTGGTTTTCTCTCCTTGGGATAGTTTGCTGAGAATGATGGTTTCCAGTTTCATCCATGTCCCTACAAAGGACATGAATTCATCATTTTTTATGGCTGCATAGAACTCCATGGTGTATATGTGCCACATTTTCTTAATCCAGTCTATTGTTGTTGGACATTTGGGTTGGTTCCAAGTCTTTGCTATTGTGAATAGTGCCACAATAAACATATGTGTGCATGTGTCTTTATAGCAGCATGATTTATAATCCTTTGTGTATATACCCAGTAATGCATTATTTCAATTAATTGGACAGCTTAGATGAATTGGGTAGAATGTAGGGAAAGCACAACCTTCTGAAAATGACACCAACAGAAACTGACACACTCCTATCTCTTTCCAAGTAATGAACTAACCTTACCTGTAGAAAATATGATAGTGTTTCAGAAAACCCTAAAGAATCTACAGACATAATTGAACATAGTTAAATTTCCTTTATAAATACTAGCAACAAGGACATTGGAATTTTTTTTTAAGTGAAAAACCTTTGATGAAATCTGAAAACATAAACACTTAGGAATAGATAAGGAAGATCCGTAATAAAAACTACAAAACTCTTCAAAAATAAACATTTAAAATACCTAACAGATATATTGTATTCAGGAATTAGAAAACCCACTATTGTTAAGATATTATTAGTAAAAGATGATTTACGGATCCAATTTCAAATGAATAAAACTCCAATATGCTCCTTTTGAGATGTAGACAATTGTTCTGCATGCTGCTCTGTGAAACGATTTTACCACTTCCCAATCAAGGGTTATCTTCTATTTCTGTAAAACATCAAATGTGGGGTGGTCATGTGATCACTCAATCAAATAGAATATGATGCAAGTGACATTGCACCAGTTCTGGACATAGCACTTACCTGGCCAAACTCATCTATGTTCTACCACTGAGATCTCTGAGCACCATGCAAAAAGTGTGGCTATTCTCTGGAGTGATCTTGTGGTCCTTCATCTAAAGAGATAGGAGAAAAAGCCCAGTGCATCTCTTAAAGTCATCCCTTCTAATATACTATAAATATGAATTAAGTTATCCTGCCTTTTACAGAACATTTAGTTATCAGGTGAATAAGAGAGTGACTTCAGTCCTTGCCACACAAAACAGCAGAAACACCCTGCCAACAACCACCTGAATTCCTGGCTCACAAAATTTTGATATAAAATGAAATGATGGTTGTTTAACTCACAAAAACTGTGGAGCCCTGCACAGTACATGAAGACAGAACCAAAATAAAAGTGACATCTCAAGGCGTGGTGTTTCCATAACAATTTAAAGTCTATGGAATTGGCTTTAGTGCCCAAAAATAGGGGCCACCAGGACATTGTAAGTGAATGCTCAAAAGACAGAAGTAACTATTCTGGAAGCTGTGAAAATTTGACTTGTGATGCAGTGCTGAAAAAATTTGTACCTCTGTCACCTATAGGAAGGTAGAAAATGAAAAATGTACATAAGTAAACTGGTGGATATGGCAAAAATTTCCAAGTAGAATATTGAAAATTTCAGCTGTTTCTTACAGCAGTGTATCATATAATAAGGCATAGATATTTAAAAAACACTAATGAGGGGTGGAGCCAAGATGGCCGAATAGGAAGAGCTCCAGTCCACAGCTCCCAGCATGAGCAATGCAGAAGACTGGTGATTTCTGAATTCCCAACTGAGGTACCGGGTTCATCTCTCTGGGGAGTGTTGGAAAGTGGGTGCAGGACACTGGGTGCAGCGCACTGAGTGTGAGCCAAAGCAGGGTGAGGTAACGCCTCACCTGGGAAGTGCAAGGGGTCAGGGAATTCCCTTTCCTGGTCAAAGAAAGGGGTGACAGATGGCACCTGGAAAATCAGATCACTCCCACCCTAATACTGCACTTTTCCAACCGTCTCAGCAAATGGCACACCATGAGATTGTATCCCACACCTGGTTTGGAGGGTCCTAAGCCCACAGAGCCTTGCTCATTGCTAGCACAGCAGTCTGAGATCAAACTGCAAGGCAGCAGGGAGGCTGGGGGAGGGTTAGCCACCATTGCCGAGCCTTGAGTAGGTAAACAAAGTGGCCTGGAAGCTTGAACTGGGTGGAGCCCACCACAGTTCAAGGAGACCTGCCTGCCTCTCTAGACACCACCTCTGGGGGCAGGGCATTGCCAAATAAAAGGCAGCAGAATCCTCTGCAGACTTAAATGTCTCTGTCTGACAGCTTTGAAGGAGTAGTGGTTCTCCCAGCATGCAGCTGGAGATCTAAGAATAGACAGACTGCCTCCTCAATGAGTCCCTGACCCCCGAGTAGCCTAACTGGGAGGCACCCCCAAGTAGGGGCAGACTGACACCTCACACGGCTGGGTACTCCTCTGAGACAAAACTTCCAGAGGAACGATCAGGCAGCAACACTTGCTGTTCAACAATATCCACTGTTCTGCAGCCTCCGCTGCTGATACCCAGGCAAACAGGGTCTGGAGTGGACCTCCAGCAAACTCCAACAGACATGCAGCTGAGGGTCCTGACTGTTAAAAGGAAAGCTAACAAATAGAAAGGACATCCAAACCAAAACTCCATCTGTACATCACCATCATCAAAGACCTAACGTAGATAAAACCACAAAGATGGTGAAAAAACACAGCAGAAAAACTGGAAACTCTAAAAATCAGAGCACCTCTCCTCCTCCAAAGGAACACAGCTCCTCACTAGCAATGGAACAAAGCTGGATGGAGAATGACTTTGACGAGTTGAGAGAAGAAGGCTTCAGATGATCAAACTACTCTGAGCTAAAGGAGGAAGTTTGAACCCATGGCAAAGAAGTTAAAAACCTTGAAAAAAAATCAGACGAATGGCTCACTAGAATAACCAATGCAGAGAAGTCCTCAAAGGACCTGATGGAGCTGAAAACCAAGGCATGAGAACTACATGACAAATGCACAAGCCTCAGTACCTGATTCAATCAACTGGAAGAAAGGGTATCAGTGATGGAAGATAAAATGAATGAAATGAAGCAAGAAGAGAAGTTTAGAGAAAAAAGAACAAAAATAAATGAATGAAGCCTCCAAGAAATATGGGACTATGTGAAAAGACCAAATCTACATTGGATTGATGTACCTGAGAGTGACGGGGAGAATGGAACCAAGTTGGAAAACACTCTGCTGGATATTATCAAGGAGAACTTCCCCAATCTAGCAAGGCAGGCCAACATTCAAAATCAGGAAATCCAGAGAATCGCACAAAGATACTCCTCAAGAAGAGCAACTCCAAGACACATAGTTGTCAGATTTACCAAAGTTGAAATGAAGGAGAAAATGTTAAGGGCAGCCAGAGACAAAAGTCAGGCTACCCACAAAGGGAAGCCCATCAGACTAACAGCAGATCTCTCAGCAGAAACTCTACAAGCCAGAAGAGAGTGGGGGCCAATATTCAACATGCTTAAAGAAAAGAATATTCAACTCAGAATTTCATATCCAGCCAAACTAAGCTTTATAAGTGAAGGAGAAATAAAATCCTTTACAGACAAGCAAATGCTGAGAGATTTTGTCACCACCAGGCCTGCCCTAAAAGAGCTCCTGAAGGAAGCACTAAACATGGAAAGGAAAAACTGGTACCAGCCACTGCGAAAACATGCCAAATCGTAAAGACCACTGAGGCTAGGAAAAAACTGCATCAAGTAACGAGCAAAATAACCAGCTAACGTCATAATGATGAGATCAAATTCACACATAACAATATTAACTATAAATGTAAATGGACTAAATGCTCCAATTAAAAGACACAGACAGACAAATTGGATAAAGAGTCAAGACCATTCAGTGTGCTGTATTCAGGAAACCAATCTCACATGCAGAGACACACATAGGCTCAAAATAAAGGCATGGAGGAAGATCTACCAAGGAAATGGAAAAAAAAATGGCAAGGGTTGCAATTCTAGTCTCTGATAAAACAGACTTTAAACAAACAAAGATCAAAAGAGACAAAGAAGGCCATTACATAATGGTAAAGGGATCAATTCAACAAGAAGAGCTAATTATCCTAAATATATATGCACCCAATACAGGAGCACCCAGATTCATAAAGCAAGTCCTTAGAGACCTAGAAAGAGACTCAGACTCCCACACAATAGTAATAGGAGATTTTAACTCCCCACTGTCCACATTAGGCAGATCAATGAGACAGAAATTTAACATGGATACCCAGGAATTGAACTCAGCTCTGCACCAAGAAGACCTAATAGACATCTACAGAACTCTCCACCCCAAATCAACAGAATATACATTCTTCTCAGCACCACACCACACCTATTCCAAAATTGACCACATAGTTGGAAGTGTAGCACTCCTCAGCAAATGTAAAAGAACAGAAATTATAACAAACTGTCTCTCAGACCATAGTGGAGTCAAACTAGAACTCAGGATTAAGAAACTCACTCAAAATGGCTCAACTACATGGAAACTGAACAACCTGCTCCTGAATGGCTACTGGGTACATAATGAAATGAAGGCAGAAATAAAGATGTTCTTTGAAACCAACGAGAACAAAGACATAACATACCAGAATCTCTGGGACACATTCAAAACAGTGTGTAGAGGGAAATTTACAGCAATAAATGCACACAAGAGAAAGCAGGAAAGATCTAAAATTGACATCCTAACATCACAATTAAAAGAGCTAGAAAAGGAAGAGCAAACACATTCAAAAGGTAGCAGAAGGCAAGAAATAACTAAGATCAGAGCAGAACTGAAGGAAACAGAGGCACAAAAACCCTTCAAAAAATCAATGAATCCAGGAGCTGGTTTTCTGAAAGGATCAAGAAAAATTGACAGACTGCTAGCAAGACTAATAAAGAAGAAAAGAGAGAAGAATCAAATAGACGCGACAAAAAATGATAAAGGGGATATCACCACCGATCCCACAGAAATCCAAACTACCATCAGAGAATACTATAAACACCTCTATGCAAATAAACTAGAAAATCTAGGAGAAATGGACAAATTCCTGGACACATACACCCTCCCAAGACTAAACCAGGAAGAAGATGAATCTCTGAACAGACTAATAACAGGCTCTGAAATTGAGGCAATAATTAATAGCTTACCAACCAAAAAAAGTCCAGGACCAGACGGATTCACAGCCAAAATCTACCAGAGATACAGGGAGGAGCTGGTACCATTCCTTTGAAACTATTCCAATCAACAGAAAAAGAGAGAATACTCCCTAACTCATTTTATGAGGCCAGCATCATCCTGATACCAAAGCCTGGCAGAGAAACAAAAGAAAAAAGACAATTTTAGACCAATATCCGTGATGAACATTGATACGAATTCCTCATTAAAATACTGGCAAACTGAATCCAGCAGCACATCAAAAAGCTTATCCACCATGATCAAGTGGGCTTCATCCCTGAGATGCAAGGCTGGTTCAACATACACAAATCAATAAATGTAATCCAGCATATAAACAGAACCAAGGAAAAACACCATATGATTATCCCAATAGAAGCAGAAAAGGCCTTTGACAAAATTCAATAACTCCTCAAGCTAAAAACTCTCAATAAATTAAGTATTGATGGGACATACCTCAAAATAATAAGAGCTATCTATGACAATCCCACAGCCAATATCATACTGAATGGACAAAAACTGGAAGCATTCCCTTTGAAAACTGGCACAAGACAGGGATGCCCTCTCTCACCACTCCTATTCAACATAGTGTTGGAAGTTTGGGCCAGGGCAATCAGGCAGGAGAAGGAAGTAAAGGGTATTCAGTTAGGAAAAGAGGAAGTCAAATTGTCCCTGTTTGCAGACGACATGATTGTGTACCTAGAAAACCCCATCGTCTCAGCCCAAAATCTCCTAAAGCTGATAAGCAACTTCAGCAAAGTCTCAGGATACAAAATCAATGTGCAAAAATCACAAGCATTCTTATACACCAATAACAGACAAACAGAGAGCCAAATCATGAGTGAACTCCCATTCACAGTTGCTTCAAAGAGAATAAAGTACCTAGAAATCCAACTTCCAAGAGATGTGAAGGACCTCTTCAAGGAGAACTACAAACCACTGCTCAATGAAATAAAAGAGTATACAAACAAATGGAATAACATTCCATGCTCATGGGTAGGAAGAATCAATATCATGAAAATGGCCATACTGCCCAAGGTAATTTATAGATTCAATGCCATCCTCATCAAGCTACCAATGACTTTCTTCACAGAATTGGAAAAAACTACTTTAAAGTTCATATGGAACCAAAAAAGAGCCTGCATTGCCAAGTCAATCCTAAGCCAAAAGAACAAAGCTGGAGGCATCACGATACCTGACTTCAAACTATACTACAAGGCTACAGCAACCAAAACAGCATGGTACTGGTACCAAAATAGAGATGTAGACCAATGGAACAGAACAGAGCCCTCAGAAATAATGCCACATATCTACAACCATCTGATCTTTGACAAACCTGACAAAAACAAGAAATGGAGAAATGATTCCCTATTTAATAAATGGTGCTGGGAAAACAGGCTAGCCATATGTAGAAAGCTGAAACTGGATCCCTTCCTTACACCTTATACAAAAATTAATTCAAGATGGATTAAAGACTTAAATGTTAGACCTAAAACCATCAAAACCCTAGAAGAAAACCTAGGCAATATCACTCAGGACATAGGCATGGGCAAGGACTTAATATCTAAAACACCAAAAGCAATGGCAAAAAAAAGCCAAAATTGACAAATGGGATCTAATTAAACTAAAGAGCTTCTGCACAGCAAAAGAAACTACCATCAGAGTGAACAGGCAACCTACAGAATGGGGGAACATTTTTGCAATCTACTCATCTGACAAAGGGCTAATATCCAGAATCTACAATGAACTCAAACAAATTTACAAAGAAAAAAAAACAACCGCATCAAAAAGCGGGTGAAGGATATGAACAGACACTTCTCAAAATAAAACATTTATGCAGCGAAAGACACGTGAAAAAATGCTCATCATCACTGGCCATCAGACAAATGCTAATCAAAACCACAATGAGATACCAACTCACATCAGTTAGAATGGCAATCATTAAAAAGTTGGGAAACAACAGGTGCTGGAGAGGATGTGGAGAAATAGGAACACTTTTACACTGTTGGTTAGACTGTAAACTAGTTCAACCATTATGGAAGTCAGTGTGGCGATCCTCAGGGATCTAGAACTAGAAATACCATTTGACCCAGCCATCCCATTACTGGGTACGTACCCAAAGGATTATAAATCATGCTGCTATAAAGACACATGCACACCTATGTTTGTTGTGGCACTATTCACAATAGCAAAGACCTGGAACCAACCCAAATGTCCAACAATGATAGACTGGATTAAGAAAATGTGGCACATATACACCATGGAATACGATGCAGCCATAAAAAAGGATGAGTTCATGTCCTTTGTAGGGACATGGATGAAGCTGGAAACCATCATTCTCAGCAAACTATCGCAAGGACGAAAAACCAAACACCACACTTTCTCACTCATAGATGGGAATTGAACAATGAGAACACATGGACACAGGAAGGGGAACATCACACACCTTCCTTTGTGGGTTATGGGGTGGGGGGAGGGGGGAGGGATACCATTAGGGATATACCTAATGTTAAATGACAAGTTAATGGGTGCAGCACACCAACATGGCGCATGTATACATATGTAACAAACCTGCACATTGTGCACATGTACCCTAAAACTTAAAGTATAATAAAAAGTAATAAAAAATAAATAAATAAATAACACTAATGAAAAGATTAACTGTTACATATTCGACATAATTTACAAGAAACATAAAAGAACAAGAAATTGGTGGTTTCAAACATAAAACTGGTTCCCCTTTCCAGTCTCTGCAAGAGCTAAGTACTCTAAACCTAAGAAAGGTCATCAAAATAAATGTCATTTGAAAGTTGTGGATGTTATGACACTTAGAAAGACTACAGAAAAATTTAACAGTGTGTTTCATAAGTACCTTAAACTAGAGAATCAGAATTCTAAGATTCTTAAAGTGTTATGTGACTGCATATAGAGTTTCAGCCCAAGTCTGAGATGGGCCAGTTTCAAAGATATTTTTGAGTATGGTCCTTGTATATTCCACAAAATCTTTAAAAACTTACACTGAGGGAAGCACCACAGCCTTCCCTTCTGAACAGGGGCTTCCATTTTATTACCTATTCCTCCCTTTCTCCATTGTGTGCTGAGAATGTGGAGGAAATACCCTGTCTCAAAGATCTGTAAACAGTAAAAGCCATAATTTAAAATGTGCACAATGAAACCTGCACCCAAGGAGCCCCAACCGCACTCAGTCTCGATATAGAAGTTGAGATCTTGAACTTCAATCAGATGTCATGAAGGGATGACTTTGTAATTGAGCTAGGAGCATCCAAATCCTGTCTTCTTTCTTTGGGATCCTTGACTTGCCCTTAGAAACCTGAAAACTTCAGTGGGAAGACCTTGACTACATACCTCCTTACCTACATGAGGACGGACACTCCTATTACTAAATATAGTTAACTTTTTACCCAAGAGTTTTTCTATAGCATTTCTCATCTCTTAATTTCTCAACGTGTATATTAAAGGACTCAACATGTGTGTGATAATGGTATAAGACACAGTCATGAACTTATCAGTAGGAAAGTTTGAAACAGGTCTAACATATATGAAAATACAGGGTACAAAAAAGAGGGCAACCACGGTAATGCGGGAGCTGCAGGTAGACAAGGCTTTATGCCTCTTTTCCTGACTGTTTAAGGGAGTTTAGGATGACTCCACAGGAGATTAACAGAAGGGTGAAAATGACCATACAGATTGCTCCACTATTGAAAACAACAGTGAGGCCTACAAAGTAGGTGTCAGTGCACGCCACTTTCAGTAATGGGTACATGTCACAACCGAAATGATCAATGACATTGGGACCACAGAAAGGGAGACTGTACACAACAATTTGAAACGCAGAATGCACAAAACCTCCAATCATGGCCACCACCAACAGAAGGAAGCAAACCTGTCGATTCATGATGGTCAAATAGTGCAGTGGCTTACAGATGGCCACATAGCGATCACAGGCCATCACCACCAGAAGGAAAACCTCAGCACTGCCAAAGAAATGGTCTATAAATAGCTGGCCCATGCAACCTGGGAAGGAAATAGTCTTTTTATCACAGAGTAAGTCTACAATTAACTTGGGAGAAATGGTAGTGGAATATGCAGCATCTATAAATGACAGGCAAGCAAGGAAGAAATACACCGGGGAACCCAAGGAAGGGCTGGCAATAATAGTCACCACAATGAGCAGGTTCCCCACCACTGTCACCAAGTGTGTGAGTAAAAACATGACAAATAATGCTTTTTGCACACCAGGATCCTGAGAAAAGCCCAGGAGGACAAATTCTGAAATATTGTTATTCTGTCTCATTTACTCTTCTTTAAGGCTTGTATCAGAGGTGAGAGCTCAGGAAAACAGGACCTGTAATGAAATAGTGACCAGGAATATGATTACATCCATTGTGTCACAGGGCACATCTTCATTGTTGTATCCTGAATAGTGATTTAAACACAATAAATATTTGGTAAGTCTCTATTGAGTTCCTCACCCAAAGAGCCCATCTTGCCCTGATGATACTATTTCTCCTCAAATATTTTAGTTTCAGTGCACAGGTAAAGGCTTCTACCTCTAAGTTTTGGTGAATATTCTATGTAGAAGAAGAGTTAAAGTCCCAACAGCCATTTATACATTTCATAACTTCTTATTTAAAACATTTTCTTGGCATGGAAGTCAGCTGTGATGAATAGGCAATGGGTACTTGATCTCAAGAAACTTAGTCTCTGGTGGTGGTAATAAACTCTAAATAAATAAACTGACATAGATTTAGTCCTTTGTGTTTGTACTTGTGGTATCTTTGTAATATAATCTGTATAGCACCAAGAATAATTTCTTCCGGAATATCTCACTCAGTACTCTGGCCTTCTACTGTTAGAACTTCATTCCTTCATGCCTCAAAGGATGTTCATTAGTCTTTCACTAAATGTCAAAAGACAGGACTCTGAACTGTATAAATGCTATGACATTATTTATCACATTGTTCCCTGTAGCAATTACTTGATGTGACTCTATGTTCTCTTTATAAGGATCTGTGATTCTGTCCATTTTATCCTTGCCTGTACACAAATTTTTACAACACTTATATATAATATCCTAATTTTCAGCAATTAATTTTGAACTCAAGTGAACTAACTCATGACTGTCACTAACTACCAAATAAGCAGTTAGTGTTTTTTTCTGAATTCTTGGGAGGAGCTAGGTAGTGAGATAGAAGAAAATAGACACTGTAGAAAGAGGGACATGGTTTTATTCATAACACAATTTAGATACCAAGAGTACTCAAAAATGTAATCTTAGTTACAAGATTTCAAAAAGAATCATACTCTAAGAGAAATTCCAAGTTCAGTGTAAAAAGGCACAGATTTGATTCTGAATGCATTTACAAGTCTGTCCCAGTTTACTCACTGGAAAACAATGGGATTAAATTTGAGAAATTCAGAATCCTTTCTAGTCAATTATCTACAGAACTATTCATGCACCTCTCCTTTATGGTATTCTGCTGACAATTTGTTTTTCATTTTTTATAAATTTATAATTAAATAAAAATTTCCAACCTTATGATATTTACATGAAAAATGGTAGTCAGTGGGACACGGGGTTTCATGATTACAGTGAATAAATAGTGACTATAAGTGTCTCATTCAGTATGTACCTATTTAAGATCCAAGACATCATTGGAGAGAAAGTGTAGCATGTGGTGAATAATGTGGACACTGGAGCCACACTACTTCAGCTACAACCTCAGGTTCGCCGTTTTTTATGAGAGTTTGGGCCATTTACTAAAGCTCTCTATCCCTTAGTTGCATCATTTTTAAAATGAGGATCCCAACAACCCTTACCTATTAGGGTTGTTGTTTTATTAAAACAAAGTAAAGTGCCTAGAACACTGGCTGGCACCTGGGAAGGACTCAATAAATGATAGCTATTATTACTGTTTTTGAATGCTTCACTGTGGACACAGAATCAGAACAAATTATACAGATCTGTCAACTTGAAAAGATTTATAGACATAGTCTAGGAAAAATAAGGATAAGATACCTATAATTCAGGAAGGCCTTTTGTGGCCAAACAATGAAATAGTATGTCTTAGAAAATAATGATTTAATTATGTGAGTAGTAATTTTACCTGTGATGGAATGTATCTTAGTGAAAAGCAAGCAGAATTATAGTAAAAAGTTGGACCCACCATCAGAGAGAGCTCAGGGAATGAAAAGAAGGCTAAAATAAGAAAACAAAGAAATTGTAGTTAACAAATGAGTATCCACAAGCAATAAGAAGGTTAATGGGACAATTAAGTGAGATTATTATTCTTTTAAAATTCTCTTCAGAAAGATTCCTTTTAGTGAGAAAATGCTCGAAGTGCAACCTCCTGTCGGTCCCTGGGGTGACTCAGGGGGCTTTTTGGGGTAGATGTAACAAAAACAAACCGGATACTAGTAAAAAAGAAAAGAAAAGAAAAGAAAAAATACATGCATTGTTACTCTTAACTCTCTGGTACTGACGGTTAAGGACAAACCAATTACAGAGAACAATGGGACAAGTAGAGATACAAACCCAGACTTTCTGATTATTCACTGCTGAAGAAAGCTGCAGAATTACTAAACCTCAAATGTAGACAGGATGGTTCCATTTACATAGATCTGGTAGTGGAAGAGGAGGTGTGCAGAGAGAGTTTGGGCTGTCTCTAGAAGCCAGCTGTGATGAACATTCCACTTGTCCCCATGTTACCACTTCCAGCTGATTCCAGAGTTCTGTCATTGTTGAAGCTATAGACTGATAGAGAGGCAACTGCTGAAGAACACAAGGGAATAATGTAGTCTATAGCCAATTCTGTTATTTTTTTCACACCTTACTTGCTGCAAGGTTTAGTGCCTTTTCCCTCTTCCATCATCAAAATAGATTTCAACAGGATAATCCTTTGGCAAGTTAAATGTTTACTTGTAAAAAATAGGGTGAGTAAACCGTCCTCTATAGTTTAAGTAATTAAATTTGGAATACTTTAGATACTGAAAGATAGCATTACAAGGCTTTCAATGTAAACTGCTAAGTTAAAGTTTTTCTAGAAAAAAATGATTTAACATAGTTTCCTAAGAACATGATATTTTCAAAAGATAAAATCCCATAATAACAAAAAACCTCCATAATATTATATTTCACAATCATAGTTTTATAAATCTACTTAAATGACCATAGACTAGGTACTTTCCTCAGCATATTTATCTACTAGTTTGTTTGCTGGGATTTTTTAGATTCATAAGTAAAAGCCCATATTATGCTTCCAGAATATAAAAGGTATTGGTTCCTTCACATTCTAACACACTTGACATGATCTGCAATTTTAAACTCCCTAATCAAATATATCTGAAAGTAATTGTACACTTTTATTAATATATCATATAAAATATAACATCTCAAAAACTAAGATTATAATTATAAATCTATTGGTTTATTAAGCATGTAGTATGGAACATGTTTTTTTAATTTAACAAATAGAAAAGAAAAATAAATTAGGCTATATACTAAAACCAAATATACATTGTATATTCCGAAAAATTTTCATGTTTCCTGGCTAACTTTCCCAATTAAACTCCTTCAACAATATCATATGGTATTTAAGATATTAGCTACATTTCCTCATATCACAAGAATTTTCAATGAATATCTCCTGTCACTGGTTTCAAATACTCACACTGTAATCCAGAAAAGCAATGCTTCTTTCCCTGAGTGTTAATGTAGATACCTCATGCATCTATTTGTGATCACAGAACACATAAATATGAATGACTGATCCAGGGTTATAGAACTAATTTCTAATGGCTACAGTTTCCACAATTCCACACAGGCTTCTCATTGTCTCAGTTGTTACAGAAGTATGGCAATATCCAAAGCAGATGACCAAAATATAAAGATGCTTAAACATAATATACAAAGGTAGTTAAATAGTCTCACCTGCTGGAAAATTTCTTCATAAAAAACCAAAAATATTATTATTGCATGACTATGTAAAAATTGACCTAATTAATGAAAATTAAACTGGACAAGACCCTTATTTTGTGACACAAGTAAACAAAAATGTACCAACACTAAAATTTGTTACATGAAAGTTTCCTCAATTATGGTGAAGTAACCATAAGTACTTTACTGTGATTGAGGACTTATGATAACATTCATGCGCCCAGCTATTAAGCTTTGTACCTAACAAGGACAATGCTGAAATTTAACTTTATGGAAAAAACAATTACAGAACTTTCTCACAGGCAGAAGCCAAACTCTTCAGTTTTTCGGTCATTCAAATATCATTCCAATATCATACCCCCAAGTCTACTTCTTTCCTAATTAAAATCATGTCTTTATATCTCCCCACCTCAGCCCAGTAAATTGAGAACTTTAACACATTTTTACGCAACATGGAGGATATGATAAGAAAACACCACACCTAAAGGACTAAATACCAAATGAAGACATGCTCTACCTTGGGCAGAAATTTAACTCTTCAGATATCTCTTGGGTTATTCTATCAGGAAAATAATATTTCCATTTATGTGTGTAGACACAATCTATGACTTTTACATCATCGTATTTTAAATAAAAGAGAGTGTAAGGTCATTATATATTAGTTAATTTCATTATTTGGAATAAATTCAAATGAAGTAAACTCTCTGAACATCTTTTTTTCCCCTTAGAAACTCCCTAGAGGGAAAAGATTTGGGTGTCATTAAGGAAGAGTAGCTAAAAGCCAAGTAATGTGAAAAGCCTATAATGTGAAAAGAAAAATTTTAAAATAAATTGAACAAAAATTATGAGTTTCACATTATGAAATACTGAGGTAAGGCAAGTAATATTTAAGCCAGAATGAAGGCGGAACCAGTCCCAGGTTCTCTTCCCTAAGCACATTCCCAAAAAGAAGAGCTTTACCTTTCCTGTTAGAAATTCCATGCCCAAGAAGTCCTGAGGCTCAGAGGCAGGCAGCCTAAGAACAGAAGTTGACATTCTGATTCTTGAAAAAGTAGGTAACCATGGTTCTGCAGTTTTAGATCAGAGTACAAGCTTTTGATCAAGGCCTGAATCTATGTCAGATACAACCATAATGACCTACAGTCCATTAATTCAATTATTTAATTGTATTCCAACATCAATTCAGTAACTGTTTCTACAATAAAGAAATTTGTATTTTCCAACAAGGGAGCAATGCTTAAGGGCTTCCATTGTTATTTCCATGACTTGGCTTACCATTGGCTCTATTGAACACGTTCATTTCATCATATGTTTAGTTAAATATTGGATCCACTGTGTCATAAGAGTGTTAGATACAGAGTCTCATAAATACATATCTGAACCAGCTAATGAGTTTATCATGTACCGGACTCCACTAAAAGTTGGTCGTTTTCAACTTACCTAATAAATGGATGAAATTCATCCACCCCAAATGTAACATGTATCACTTCTAAAGTTTAAAGACTATGTCTGTAAACACTGTGCTATCTTACTGGTAAGTGGTAAAAGATGGACAAACATTTAATTCTGAAGAACTATCAGATATGATCAAAGATACCATGGATTAAATTATGTCTCCAAGATGGATAACTAATGTGAAAATAAACCATAATTCTCTATGTCCCTTCTAGCTGAATTCAAATAACCACTAATTCTTCCCACTTTTCAGAATGACACAAAAGTGTTTGTTAGATCAGATGATGCATACAATAGCCAAGAGCTCCAATAATAAAAAGTACATAAGAAATATTAACTAATGTATAAATTGCCAAAAATATGCCATAGTCCATCGTAATTCTCTGTAATCCATATCTATTATCAAGCTAGAAAGTTAAATATAGTTAAATATACATTTTTAAAGGAAAAATGCATGTATATTAGTCTGTTCTCACATTGCTGTAAGGAAATACCCAAGACTGGGTAATCTATAAAGAAAAGAGGTTTAGTTGACTCACAGTTCTGCATGATTGGGAAGGCCTCAGGAAACTTACAATCATGCCTCTTCACAGGGCAGCAGGAGGGAGAAGAAGTGGCAGCAGGAGGGAGAAGAAGTGACAGCAGGAGAAATGACAGACACTTATGAAACCATCAGATCTCATGAGAACTCACTCATGATCAAGATGACAATATGGGGGAAACCATCCCCATGATTCAAATACCTTCCACCTAGTTCCTTCCACAACACATGGGGATAATGGGGATTACAATTCAAGATGAGATTTGGGTGCAGGCAAAGCCAAATTATATCAGCATGTTATGCACTCCCAGGTATTTTTAAGACTGAGGATTTCAGACATCATGGTGGATGGGAGGCAGGACTAGATTGCAGCTCTGGAAAGAGCAGCTTACGGAGGCTTGCACTGTGAATTTTAGCTCCAGACTGACTACAAGAACAAACCAGTCATCCTGAGAGGACCGACAGACCCTCTGAAAGAAGCAGACTGCTCCTGCAGGACCCAGGAGACACCTCAAATACTGTGAGTGCCATAATCGCAGAAGTGGGAAACGGAGACCCTCCTCTCCCTAACACACACGTGCACTAGAGAAGCGGAAGGTCTGTTTGCAGGAGAAATTCCTGACTTTACCTGGAGCTGAGTCAAGTTAGAGAGCCAAGCCAAGAAAAATACGGGGGTAGAGGAAACAGCAGAAAGGCCCTGGGAGCTCACTGGATCCCCAAGCAGCCCATTCCTGTCTGGCACCACCGGGATCCATCAGGAGGGTGGCCAGAGGAGCAGGCAGTGAAACTCCCCAGGGAGAAGGAGTTCTGAAGCTGAACTTTGTAACTATTTGAATGGGATGAGAAACCTCCTGGCCAGAACTTGGGGGAGGGCTCAAATCTTGTTTGCAGACTTCACAGGTCAGGGAAGAACTAAAACCCTTTTCTTTCACAGCTGAGAGACAGAAAGCCTTGGGCAAGTTTTCAAGCCCTACTTGCCCTCCACCTAGAAGAGACTCAGATTACTATGGGGGACAAGGTGCGAGTGAGACCAGTCCTTCTGTTTGCATGGGAACTGAGTAAGGCCTGTGACTGCTCACTTTCCTGCACTTCCCTGACATCCTGAAGGACTCAGCAGAGGCACCCATAATCTTCCGAGGTACACAAACCAATGACCTCAGAATATCACACCCATCCCCCACAGCAGCCACAGCCAGACCCACCAAAGGAGAGTCTGAGCTCAGACATGCCTAGCCCCACCCCCAACTCATGGTTCTTCCCTGTCCACACTGGTAGCGGAAGACAAAGGGCATATAATCTTGGGAGTTCTAGGGCCTCACCCACAGCCTTTCCCTCTCCACACTACTACAGCTGATGCTTTCTGGAAAGTGCCACCTCCTGGCAGGTGGCCAACAAGCACAAAAATAGAACATTAAACCACCAAATCTAAGGAGACCTATGGAGTCCATTGCACCCTCCGCCACCTCCACTGGAACAGGCGCTGGTATCCATGGCTGAGAGATCCATAGATGGTTCATTCACACAACTCTGCAGACAAGCCTCAGTACCAGCCCAGAGCAGGGTAGACTCTCTGGGTGGCTACACCCAAATGAGAGACAAAAATCACTGTAGATTGGCTCACAAGAAGCCACCTCCACAGGAAAACGTGAAAAATACTACATCAAGGGAACACCTCGTGGGACAAAAAAAAATCGCACTAGTTCACCAGCAATGAATCCAAACCAAGAAGAAATCCCTGATTTTCCTGAAAAAGAATTCAGGAGGTTAGTTGTTAAGCAAATTAGGCAAAGACCAGAGAAAGGTGAAGCCCAATGCAAGGAAATCCAAAATGGGATACAAGAAGTGAATGGAGAAATATTCAAGGAAATAGATAGCTTAAAGAAAAAAACATTCAAAAATTCAGGAAACTTTGGACACACTGTTAAAAATGTAAAATGCTCTAGAAATACTCAGAAATAGAATTGGAGAAGTAGAAGAAAGAAATTCAGAGCTCGAAGACAAGGTGTTTGAATTAACCTAATCCAACAAAGACAAAGAAAAATGAATAAGAAAATATGAACAAAGCCTCCAAGAAGTCTTGAACTACATTAAATGGCCGAACCAAATAATAATCAGTGTTCCTGAGGAAAAAGAAAATTCTAAAAGCTTGGGAAACATATTTGGGAAAACAATAGAGGAAAACTTCCCCAGCCTTGCTAGAGACCTAGACATCCAAATACAAGAAGCACAAAGAACACCAGGAAATTCATCTCACAAAGAGGTCTTGGCCTAAGCACATTGTCACCAGGTTATCCAAAGTTAAGACAAAGGAAAGAATCTTAAGAGCTGTGAGACAGAAGCTCCAGGTAACCTATACAGGAAAACCTATCAAATTAAGAGCAGAAGCCATATAAGGTAGAAGGGATTTGAGCTCTATCTTCAGCCTCCCCAAACAAAACAATTATCAGCCAAAAATTTTGTATCCAGAAAAACTAAGCATCATGAATCAAGGAAAGACAGTCTTTTTCAGCCAAACAAATCCTGAAAGAGTTTGCCACTACCAAGCCAACACTACAAGAACTGCTAAAAGGAGCTTGAAATCCTGGAACAAACCTGGAAACACCAAAAAACAGAAATTCTTTAAAGCATAAATCACAGGACCCATAAAAAAAAATACAAGTTAAAAAGCAAAAACAAAAGAAGCAAAGTACACAGGCAACAAAGAGCACAATGAATGTGATGGTACTCTCATTTCAATATTAACATTGAATGTAACTGGCCTAAATGCTTCACTTAAAAGATACAGAACTGCCGAATGGATAAGAACTCACCAACCATCTGCTGCCTTCAGGAGACTCACTTAACACATAAGGGCTCACATAAAATAAAAGTAAAGATGTGGAAAAAGGCATTTCATGCAAATGGGCACCAAAAGAAAGCAAGCAGGGGTAGCTATGCTTATATCAGACAAACAAACTTTAAAGCAACAGCAGATAAAAGAGACAAAGCGGGACATTATATAATGGTAAAACACCTTGTCCAACAGGAAAATATCACAATCCTAAATATATGTGCACCTAACACTGGAACTCTCAAATTTATAAAACAATTACTAATAGACCTAAAAAATGACATACGCAGCAACACAATAATAGTGGGAGACTTGAATATTCCAATGACAGCCCTGGACTGGTCATCAACAGAAAGTCTACAAAGAAGCAATGAATGTAAACTGTACCTGGGAACAAATGGGATTAACAGATATATACAGAACATTTCATCCAACAACCACAAAAGACACGTTCTATTCAACAGCACACAGAACTTTCACCAAGATAGACCATAAGATAGACCATAAAATGAGCCTTGATAAATTTAAGGAAATCAAAATCATATCAAGCACTCTCTCAGATCACAGTGGAACAAAACTGGAAATCAACTCCAAAAGGAGCCTTCGAAACCATGCAAATGGCATTATAATTTAAAAAACGTGCTCCTGAATGAGCATTGCCACAAAAACAAAATCAAGATGGAAATTAAAAAATTATTTGAACTGAACAACAACAATGACAAGATATATCAAAACCTCTGGGATATAGCAAAGGCAGTGGTAAGAGGAAAGTTTATCACCCTAAATGCCTACACTGAAAAAACTGAAAGAGCACAAATTGACAATCTAAGGTCAGACCTCAAGAAACTAGAGAAACAAGAACAAACCAAACCAAAAACCAGCAGAAGAGGTAAATAACCAAGATCAAAGCAGAGCTAACTGAAATTGAAACAAAAAAAAATACAGAAGATAAATTAAACCAAGGGCTCTGTTGTGTTGCATTGGTCTATATCTCTGTTACAGTACCAGCATCATGCTGTTTTGGTTATGTAGCCTTGTAGTATACTTCGAAGTCAGGTAGCATGATGTCTCCAGCTTTGTTCTTTCAGCTTAGGATTGACTTGGCAATGCGGGCTCTTTTTTGATTCCATATGAACTTTAAAGTAGTTTTTTCCAATTCTGTGAAGAAAGTCATTGGTAGCTTGATAGGGATGGCATTGAATCTATAAATTACCTTGGGCACTATGGCCATTTTCATGATATTGATTCTTCCTACCCATGAGCATGGAATGATCTTCCATTAGTTTGTATCTTCTTTTATTTCAATGAGCAGTGGTTTGTAGTTCTCCTTGAAGAGGTCCTTCACGTCCCTTGTAAGTTGGATTCCTAGGTATTTTATTCTCCTTGAAGCAATTGTGAATGGGAGTTCACTCATGATTTGGCTCTCTGTTTGTCTGTTGTTGGTGTATAAGAATGCTTGTGATTTTTGTGCATTGATTTTGTATCCTGAGACTTTACTGAAGTTGCCTATCAGGTTAAGGAGATTTTGGGCTGAGATGATGGGGTTTTCTAGATATGCAATCATGTCATCTGCAAACAGGGACAATTTGACTTCCTCTTTTCCTAATTGAATACCCTTTATTTCCTTCTCCTGTCTGATTGCCCTGGCCAGAACTCAGAAATAATGCCACATATCTACAACCATCTGATCTTTGACAAACCTGACAAAAACAAGAAATGGGGAAATGATCCCCTATTTAATAAATGGTGCTGGGAAAACTGGCTAGCCATATGTATAAAGCTGAAACTGGATCCATTCCTTACACCTTATACTAAAATTAATTCAAGATGGATTAAAGACTTAAATGTTAGACCTAAAACCATAGAAACCCTAGAAGAAAACCCAGGTAATACCATTCAGGACATAGGCATGGGCAAGAACTTCATGTCTAAAACACAAAAAGCAATGGCAACAGAAGCCAAAAGTGAAAAATGGGATCTCATTAAACTAAAGAGCTTCTGCATAGCAAAAGAAACTACCATAAGAGTGAACAGGCAACCTACAGAACGGGAGACCATTTTTGCAATCTACTCATCTGACAAAGGGCTAATATCCAGAATCTACAATGAACTTAAACAAATTTAAAAAACAAACAACCCCATCAAAAAGTGGGTGAAGGATATGAACAGACACTTCTCAAAAGAAGACATTTTTGCAGCCAAAAGACACATGAAAAAATGCTCATCATCACTGGCCATCAGAGAAATGCAAATCAAAACCACTATGAGATACCATCTCACATCAGTTAGAATGGCAATCATTAAAAAGTCAGGAAACAACAGATGCTGGAGAGGATGTGAAGAAATAGGAACACTTTTACACTGTTGGTGGGACTGTAAACTAGTTCAACCATTGTGGAAGTCAGTGAAGCGATTCCTCAGGGATCTAGAACTAGAAATACCATTTGACCCAGCCATCCCATTACTGGGTATGTACCCAAAAGATTATAAATCTTGCTGCTATAAAGACACATGCACACATATGGTTATTGTGGCACTATTCACAATAGCAAAGACTTGGAACCAACCCAAATGTCTAACAATGATAGACTGGATTAAGAAAATGTGGCACATATACACCATGGAATACAATGCAGCCATAAAAAATGATGAGTTCATGTCCTTTATAGGGACATGGATGAAGCTGGAAACCATCATTCTCAGCAAACTATCACAAGGACAAAAAACCAAACACCGCATGTTCTCACTCAAAGATGGGAATTGAACAATGAGAACACATGGACACAGGATGGGGAACATCACACACTGGGACCTTTTGTGGGGCGGGGGGAGGGGGGAGGGGGGAGGGATAGCATTAGGAGATATACCTAATGTTAAATGACGAGTTACTGGGTGCAGCACACCAACAAGGCACATGTATATATATGTAACAAACCTGCATGTTGTGCACATGTACCCTAAAAGTTAAAGTATAATAATAAAAAAAAGCTGGTTCTTTGAAAAGATAAATAAAATTGATAAACCGTTAACAACTTTAACCAAGAAAAGAAGAGAGAAAATCCAAACAAACTCATTAATGAATAAAACAGGAAATATTACAACAGACACCAGTGAAATACAGGAGATCATTCAATGCTAGTATGAACACCTTAATGCCCACAAACTGGAAAACCTAGAAGAGATGGAGAAAATTCCTGGAAAAATACAACGCTCCTAGCTTAAACCACGAAGAATTAGATACCCTGAACAGACCAATAACAAGCAGCAAGATTGAAATGGTAATTTTAAAATTCCCAACAAAAAGGAGTCCTGGACTCTAGCTGATGATATGATCACTTACCACGAAAACCCTAAGGACTCCTCCAGAAAGCTCATAGAACTTATAAAATAGTTTAGTGAAGTTTCCAGATACAAGATTAATGTACACAAATCAGTAACTCTTATACACTAACAGCAACCAAGCAGAGAATAAAATGAAGAACTCAACAGATTTTACAACAGCTGCAAAAAAAAAAAAAAGCAATATAGCTAACCAAGGAGTCAAAAGCCCTCTACAAGGAAAACTACAAAACACTGCTGAAAGAAAACATAGATGACACAAAAAAAATGGAAACACATCCCATGCTCATGGATCGGTAGAATGAATATTGTGAAAATGACCATACTGCCAAAAGCAATCTACAAATTCAAGGCAATCCCCATCAAAATATCATTCTTCACAGAACTGGAAAAAGGAATTCTAAAATTCATATGGAACAAAAAGAGAGCCCACATAGCCA
Organism: Homo sapiens; assembly: GCF_000001405.40. Classification (NCBI taxonomy): domain Eukaryota; kingdom Metazoa; phylum Chordata; class Mammalia; order Primates; family Hominidae; genus Homo; species Homo sapiens. Next base: position 48,597,815 of record NC_000011.10, on the reverse strand, counting down.
AAGCAAGGCTAAGCAAAAATAACAAATCTGGAGGCATCACATTATCTAATTTCAAACTATACTATTAGGCCATAGTCAACAAAACAGCATGGTACTGGTACAAAAACAGACAAACAGACCAATGGAACAGAATAAGGAACTCTTAAATAAACTCAAGTACTTACAGCTAACTGTTCTTGAACAAAGCAAATGAAAACATAAAGTGGGGAAAGGACACCCTTTTTAACAAATGGTACTGGGTTAATTGGCTAGCTACACGTAAGATAATGAAACTGAATCCTCTTCTCTCAACAAAAATCAACTCAAGATGGATTAGGGACTTAAACTTAAGAGTTTAAACTATAAAAATTATAGAAGATAACATTGGAAAAACCCCTCTAGATGTTGGCTTAGGCAAGGATTTTATGACCAAGAACCGAAAAGCAAATGCAATGAAAACAAAGATAAATAGCTGGGACTTAATTAAAAAACAGAACTTTTGCACAGCAAAATGAATAGTCCGCCATAATAAACAGACAAACCACAGAGTAAGAGAAAATCTTCACCATCTAAACATCTGGCAAAGAACCAATATGCAGAAACTACAACGAACTCTAACAAATCAGTAAGAAAAACACAAACAATCCCATGAAAAAGTGGGCTAAGCACATGAATAGGCAATTCTCCAAGGAAGACATACAAATGACCAACAAACATGACAAAATGCACAACACCTCTAATGATCAGGGAAATGCAAGTCAAAACCACAATGCACTATCACCTCACTCCTGCAAGAATAGCCATAATCAAAAAATCATAAAACAGTTGATGTTGGCATGGATGCCGTGAATAGGGAACACTTCTACACTGCTGATGGGAATGTAAACTAGTACAGCTGCTGTGGAAAACAGTGGTGAGATTCCATAAGGAATAAAAGGTAGAACTACCATTTGATCCAGCAATCCCACTACTGGGTGTCTATTAGAGAGGAAAAGAAGTTATTATACAAAAAAGATATTTGCGCATGCATGTTTATAGCCACACAACTCCCAATTGCAAAATCGCAGAATCAACCCAAATGTTCATCAATCAACAAGTGAATAAAGAACTGTGGTATATATATAGGATGGAATACTACACAGCCATAAAAAGGAATGAATTAACTGTATTTGCAGTTACTGGATGAGATCGGAGACTGTCATTCTAAGTGAAGTAACTCAGGAATGGAAAACCAAACATTGTATATTCTCACTGATATGCGAGAGCTAAGCTATGAGGATGCAAAGGCATAAGAATGATACAATGGACTTTGGGGACTTGGGAGGAAGAATGTGAAGGAGGCGAGGGATAAACAACTACAAATATGGTGCAGTGTATGCTGCTCAGGCGATGGGTGCAACAAAATCTCACTAATCACCACTAAAGAACTTACTCATGTAACCAAATACCACCAGTATCCCCAATAACTTATAGAAAAATAGAAATATAAAAAATAAAATAAAATAAAATTCTCCAGAATTTTCTGCATATTTGAAAGTTAAGTTAATCACTTTTTAACAACTTATTGGTGAATAAATTACAATGGAAATTAGAAAATATTTTGAGCTTAATATTTATAAAAATACAACCTACCAATGTTTGTTAAAGCCACTTCAGATCCAGCTGTGGCAACAAGGGGCCAAGGAACAACTCAGACCACTGCTTCAGATGATGAACACTGTGAGTTTTGAAGGCTTCCATGTGGTGTTAAGTCTGCAGGTGCACAAAATGCAAGAGATGAGGCTTGGGAGCCTCCAACCAGGATTCATAGGATGTATCAAAAAGCCTGGAATTTCAGACTGAAGCCTGCTGCAGGGGTGGAGCATCACAGAAGATCTGTGATCTGTGCTAGGGCAGTGCAGAGAGGAAATGTGTGGTTGGAGCCCACACACAGAGTGCCCACTGGGGCACTGCCTAGTGGAGCTGTGAGAAAAGGACTACCATCCTCCAGACCCCCAAATGGTAGAACCATCAGAAGCTTGCACCCTGCACCTAAAAAAGCCACAGACCCCCCTCAAGAGCAACAGAAGACATTAAGAGCAACTGTGCTGGCTGAACCCTGTAAAGCCACATGAGTGGAGCTACCCAAGGCCTTGGTAGCCTACCCATTGCACCAGTATGCCCTGGATGTGAGGCATGGAGTCAAAGATAATTGTTTTGGAACTTGAAGATTTAGTGACTGCCCTGCTAGATTACAGAATTGCATGGGGCCTGTAACCCCTTTCTTAGGCTGATTTCTTCATTTTGGAATGAAAGTATTTACTCAATTCCTATACCTTTTTGTATTTTGGAAGTAAATAGATTGCTTTTTATTTTACACACTCAGGTGGAAGGGACTAACCTTGTCTCAGACAAGGCTGGACTGTGCACTTTTCAGTTAATGCTGGAATGGGTTAACACTTTGGGGAACTGTTAGGAAGGCATGATTATATTTTGAAAGTTGAGAAGAACGTGAGATTTTAGAGGGAAGTTTCTGATGGTTTAATACCATTACCCCTTGGTGCTGTCAACATGACAGTGAGTTCTCATGAGACCTTGTGATTTATAATTTTGTGGTACTTTCCCCTGTTACTCCTGTTGCCGTCTACTTAGATGTACCTGCTCCCACTTTGCCTTCTGCCATGATTGTAAATTTATTGAGGCCTATCCCAGAAGTTGAACAGATGCCAGAATCCTTCTTCCTGAACAGCCTGTGGAACAATGCGCTAACCAAACCACTTTTCTTTACAAGTAACTCAGTTTCAAGTATTAATAATTTTTACAGCAATGCAGGAATTAACTACTACAAGGAATGTCTAAAAATGTGATAGTACAAATCTTAATTTTGGGATGTAGTGATAAATGCTGAGACATAAATCTGCTTGAGTTTCAATGGAAAGCCAAAGTATTTAATAAGTGACTCTAATCATGCAGAAATGGAACCCCAAACTTTCTTCACCCCTCTGCACTGGTAAGCTGCTAATATTTCTACTCACCCTGTCAAGCTTTCATCTATTTCGGGAAATAGAATGGAGAAGTGAATGTAGTTTCAACATGGCTCTGTGCAATTCAGTAATAAGGTAAATATTTAACGGGTGAGAAAATCATGGCCAGTAGACCCACATTACAAAAAATACAAAAAGAAAGATTTCCTCAGAACAAAGAAAGCAATATTACTTGAATATCAAGTTTATCAAAAGAATGAAGATAGAAACAATACATACAAAATAATAATTATTCTCTTAATTGACATAAAATCAACGGTTTAAGGTGAAATTAATAAGAATATATTCTGGAGTTCATAACATGTAGCAGTAAAGTATATAAAACAATTTCAAAGTGCTGTGGGATATAAGTAGAATTATACTCTCGAAAGATTTTTCATTTCTATTGAGAAACTGAATCCTACCAACAGCCAGCTTGGAAGTGGATCCTTCCTAAGCCAAGCCTTCATATGAGACTGTAGTCCCAACTAGCACCTTGATTAGAGCTTTGTGAGAGACCTTGAAGCACAGGAACCAGCTAACCCTTCTTAGTTTTCTGACCTACAGTAATTGAGAATGAGTACATATTGTTTGAATCTCTAAGTGTTGGAATAATTTGTTATGACTAAATAAATAACTCATATATAGAATATGCTTCAAATATTGAAAATTATGCCATAAATATTTAGTGAACCTATGAATCAAAGAAAAAGGTTTAATGGAAATAAGCAAATACTTAGAACTAAGCAATAATGGAAACATATCAAAATGTGTGAGGTGTGATTAAAACAGTACTTAAAGAAAAATGTATAGCTATAAATGCTTACACTTAAAATTAATGTTTAAAAGCAGCCATCTGAGCCTTCCCCTTAAGAAACAAAAACAAGAAGAGCAAATAAAAGCCAAGCTATTTAAACAAATGGACATCATAAATATAAGACTGAAGTTCAATAACATGAAAAACATAAGATAGAAAAAGTAAATTAGCCAAAAGTTCATACTTTTATAATAAAACTGATAAACTGCTAGAAGAGTGAGCAGGAGAAAACAAAGAGACATTCAAATGGCTGGTACCAGAAATAAACAAATAATCATCCCATAGATCATTTAGACTTTATTTTTTTATTTTTATTTATATATATATATATATACATTTTATTATACTTTAAGTTCTAGGGTACATGTGCACAACGTGCAGGTTTGTTACATATGTATACATGTGCCATGTTGGTGTACTGCACCCATTAACTCATCATTTACATTAGGTATATCCCCAATGCTATCAGTCCCCCCTGCCACCAACCCACAACAGGCCCTGGTGTGTGATGTTCCCTTTCCTGTGTCCAAGTGTTCTCATTGTTCAATTCCCATCTATGAGTGAGAACATGTGGTGTTTGGTTTTTTGTCCTTGCGATAGTTGGCTGAGAATGATGGTTTCCAGTTTCATCCATGTCCCTGCAAAAGACATGAACTCATCCTTTTTTATGGCTGCATAGTATTCCATGGTGTATATGTGCCACATTTTCTTAATCCAGTCTATCATTGTTGGACATTTGGGTTGGTACCAAGTCTTTGCTATTGTGAGTAATGCCTCAATAAACATGCATATGCATGTGTCTTTATAGCAACATGATTTATATTCCTTTGGGTATATACCCAGTAATGGATGGCTGGGTCAAATGGTATGAACTCAAACAAATTTACAAGAAAAAAACAAACAACCCCATCAAAAAGTGGGTGAAGGATATGAACAGACACTTCTCAAAAGAAGACATTTATGCAGCCAAAAGACACATGAAAAAATGCTCATCATCACTGGCAATCAGAGAAATGCAAATCAAAACCACAATGAGATATCATCTCATACCAGTTAGAATGGCGATCATCAAAAAGTCAGGAAACAACAGGTACTGGAGAGGATGTGGAGAAATAGGAACACTTTTACACTGTTGGTGGGACTGTAAACTAGTTCAACCATTGTGGAAGAAAGTGTGGTGATTCCTCAGGAATCCAGAACTAGAAATACCATTTAGACTTTAAAAGGATAGAAAGATTGTTATGAAAAACATTATCTCGATTTATTTCACAGCTTAGATGACAGGTAAAATTTAGGAAAAGTACAACCTTCTAAAAATGACACAAAGAGAAATTGAAACACTCCCATATCCTTCCATGTAATTAGATACGCTTACTTGGAGATAACGTGATAGTGTTTTAGAAAACCCTAAAGAATCTACAGACATAACTTTCTAAAAATAAGAACTGAATTTAACAAGCTTATGGAACTCAAGTGCCAAATAAATAATTCAATTTCCTTTACATATAATAGCGACAATAACAATTGGAATTTTGTTTCAAATTAAAAACCTGTGATGCAATCTAAAAACATAAATACTTAGGAATAGATGAGGAAGATCCCTACACTAATAAAAACAAAACTCTCCAAAATCAAATATTTAAAATACATAATAGATACATTGTATTCAGGAATTACAAACCCAATGTTGTTTAGATGTTGTTAGTGTAAGATGATTTATACATCCAACTCAACATGAATAAAATTCCATTACACTATTTTTGAGATGTAGACAATTGTTCTACATGCTGATCTGCAAAGCGACTTTGCCCCTTCTCCATCAAGGGTTATCTTCTTTTTCTGTAAAACCTCAAATCTGTGGTAGTCATGTGATCACTCTGACCAACAGAACATGGTTCCAGTGACATTGTGCCAATTCTGCAAATACCCATTAACTGGCCCGACATCTCTACTTTCTGCCACTGGGATCTCTGAGCACCATGTAAAACAAGTGACTATCCTTTTGGTTCTTCATCTAAATGGATAAGAAGAAGGACCCAGGGAACTCTTACAGACATCTCTTCCAATATATTATAAATGTGAATTAAGTTATTCTGCATCCTACAGACTACCCAGTTATCAGTTCAATAAGACAGTGACTTCAGACCTTCACCCCAAAGCAGAAGATATACCCAGCCAACCTGCCTGAATTCCTGGCACACAAAATTTTGACATAAAATGAAATAGTCGTTGTTTGAACTCACAAAAACTGTGAAGCCTTGCACCATGCATGAAGGGAGGACCAGAATAAAAAGTGGCAACTCCAAGTGTGGTGATTCCATAACAACAATTCAAAGCATATTGCATTGGCTATAGTGCCCAAAAAAAGAAGCCTCCAAGATATTGCAAGTGAAGGCTAAAAAGACAGAAGTAAATGTTCTGGAGGAAAGGGAAGAGACTGAGTCACTATCCAGTGCTGGAAACGTTTAGTAATTCTGTCACCTGTAGTAAAGTAGAAAATAAAAAGTGTACCTAAGTTAATAGGTGGTTTTGGCTAAAATTTAAGTAGAATGTGGAAAGTTACCACTGTTTCTTATAGAAGCTTATCTTACCATAAGGCATAGGGGTTTTTTTAATAAAAAATAACTTAAAACATTAACTGTTACACTTTCAAACAGAATTTACAAGAAACATAAAAGAGCCAGAACTTGCTGGTTTCAGAAATAGAACTAGTTTCCCTTTCCAGTCTCTGCAAAGAGTTAAGTACTCTAAAGGTAAGAAAGGTCATCAAAATCAAAGTCATTTCAAAGTTGTGGATGTTAAGACCCTCTCATAAATACTTTAAACTAGACAAACATAATTCTAACATCCTTAAGAATACTATCTCACTACACATAGACTTTCAGCCCAAGTCTGAGAAGGGCCAGTTTCAAAGATATTTGTGAGTATGCTGCTTGTGAGTATACTAAAGCAAGCATCATAGGCTTCACTTGTGAACAGGAGGATCTATTTTAATTGCCCAGTCCTCTCTTTCTCCATTGAGTTCTGGGCATGTGGAGGAGATACACTGTCTCAATAGATTTGTAAATAGAGAAAAACCATAATTTTAAAAGTGCACAATGGAAACTGCACCCAAGGAACCCCATCCACACTCAGTCTGGATATAGAGGTTGAGATCTTGAATATCAAACAGATGCCACGATGGGATGATTTCTTAATTGAGCTGGGAGCTTCTCAATCCAGCCTTCTCAAACTAGGAAACCTTAATTGACCTTAGAAGTCTAACAATCTCATGGGACAGACGTTGTCTACATACACCTCTACTAAAAGAAGAGGAACACTCATTCTAACTATAGTTTAGTTTTTATGCCAGAGTTTTTTTACATTGGTTTTTACAGCAATTCTCATCTCTACATTTCTCAGTGTGTATATTAATGAATTCAACATGGGTGTGTGATAACTGTATAAAACACAGTCATGAATTTATCAATAGGAAAGTTCAAAACAGGTCTAACAAACAGGAAAATCAGGGAACTAAAAACAGGACAACCACAGTGATGCAGGAGATGCAGGCAGAGAAGGTTTTACACCTCCCTTCCTGACTGTAAGTTTTAAGGTAAACTACCTAAACTAGAATGACTCCATAGGAGATTAGCAGAAGGGTGAAGACAAACATACACATAGCTCCACCACTGGCCACAACAGTGAGGCCTATAAAGTAGGTATCAGTGCACGCCAGTTCCAATAATGGGTACACGTCACAGACAAAGTGGTCAGTGACACTGGCACCACAGAAAGGGAGATTGTACACAACAATTTGAAACACAGAATTCATAAAACCTCCAGTCACAGCCATCAGCAAGAGAAGGATGCAAACCTGTCGATTCATGATGGTAAAATAGTGCAGTGGCTTACAGTCGGCCACATAGCGATCATAGACCATCCCCACCAGTAGGAAGACCTCAGCACCACCAAATAAGTGGTCTTTAAATAGCTGCCCCATGCATGCTGTGAAGAAAATAGTCTTTTTGTCATGGAGTAACTCTACAGTCAATTTGGGACAAATGGCTGTGGAATATGCAGCATCTATAAATGACAGGCAGACAAGGAAGAAGTATATTGGGGAGCCCAAGGAGGGACTGGCAATAATAGCCACCACAATGAGCAGGTTCCCCACTGTAGTCACAATGTATGTGAGTAAAACCATGACAAATAATGCATTTTGCACATCAGGATCCTGAGTGTTGCCCAAGAGGACAAATCCTGTAACATTGTTACTCAGTCCCCTTTACTCTTCTCTAAGGCTTGTATCAGTGTTGAGAGTTCAGGAGAACAGGACCTGTAATGAAATAGTGAACAGGAATATGAATACATCCATGATGTCACAGAGCACGTCTTCATCGTTGTATCCTCAATAGTGATTTACACACACGACAAACATTTTGTAAGTCTCTACTGAGTTTCTTATCTCCTCAAAGATTTTAGTTTGAGCCTACAGGTAACAGCTTCTGCCTCTAAGTTTTTGTGAATATTCTGTACAGAAGAAGAGTTAAAGGCCCAACAGCCATTCATATATTTCATAACTCCTTATTTAAAACATATTTCTTGGCATGGAAGTCAGCGATGATGAATAGGCAACAGAATACTGGTCTCAAGAAAGTTACTTTCTCGTGGTGGTAATAGACTCTAAATAAATAAACTGGTGTATATTCAGTGCTTTGAGTTTGTAGTTGTGGTATCTTTATGATCTGTGTAACATCAAAAATAACATCTTCTGAAATATCTCACTCAGTACTATGGCATTCCACAGTTACACATTCAGTCCTTCGTGCCTCGAAAGATGTTCAGTCTTTATGAATATCTCATTAAATGTCAAGAGACTGGACATTGACTTGTATAAATAGTAAAATATTATCTATCACATTATTCCCTCTAGCAATTACTTTGTCTGACCCTCTGTTGCCTTATAAGAGGCTATACATCTCTGCATCTTATCCTTACCTATTCCACAAATTTTTATCACATTTACATATAATATCCTGATTTTCAGCAACTAATTTGGAACTCAAGAAAACTAACTGATGACTATCACCAACTGCCACATTAGCTGTGAGTATTGTTTCTGAATTCTTCAGGTGAACTAGATAGTGAGAGAGGAGAAAACAGACATTGTACAAAGAGGCGCCGAACAGTGGGACATGGTTTTATTTATAACACTATTTAGATATCAAGAGTACTCAAAAATAGAACCTTAGTGTCCAGATTCCAAAAAAAGCATACTCAAAGAAAAATTCCACCTTCACTGTAAGATGATATGAATTTGAGTCATTTTCTGAATGCATTTACAAGACTGTCTTCATTTGCTCATTGGAAAACAATGTGATTAAATTAGATGAACTGAGAATCCTTTCTAGTCAACCATCTACGAAACTGTTAGTGCACCTCTCGCTTATTCTATTCTGCAGACTTGTTTTCATTTTTCATATATTTATAATTAAATAGCAATTTCCAAGTTCATAATTGTTACATGAATAATGGCACTCAGTGGTAGATATTTCATGGTTAGAGTGAGTAAATTATGACTAAAAGTTTGCCACGCAATATGTGCCTATTTAAGATCCAAGAAATCCATGGAGAGAAAGGGCAGCATGTGACAAATAATATGAACACCAAAGCCACACTGCCTCTGCTACAACCCCAGCTTTACCACTTATTATGTGACTTTGGGACACTTACTAAACTTCTCTATGCCTCACTTTTATTTAAAACCTCTAGAGTTATTTTATTACAACAAAATAAAGTGCCTAGAACACTGGCTGGTACCGGGTAAAGGCTCAATAAAAATAGCTAAAACTCTTGTTCCTGAATGTTCCACTGTGAACATTGGATCAAAACAAATCATCTGCATCTTTGTCAATTTGAAAAGATATATAGACACAGTCCAAAAAAAATAAAAGAAGACACATATAATTCAGGAAAAGCTTTTGGGGGACACAATATAATTGTATGTCTTAGGTATTATCTATATAATTATGTATGAGTTGTGATTTCATCTATGATGGAACGTATCTTGACAAAATCCTGGAGAATTAGAGTAGAAAAGTTGGACCCATCATCAGAGAGAGAGCTAAATGGTAGAAAATGAAAGAAAAAGGGCTCAAATCAGAAAACAGAGTAATTACAGTAAATAATTTAATATCCACAGGTAGTAAAAACATTAAGATTAATGTGATAATAGAAGCTGGTATTCTAAAAATCTTGGGGTAGCCAAACAAACACAGACCAAATCCTGGTAAACAAAAGAAAAGAAAACACAGAAGAAAAACAAAACACATTGATTTCTCAAAGTCTCTAGATCTGATGGCTAAGGACAAACTTAAATTACAGAGAACAATGGGACAAGGAGACATAGAAACCCAAACTTTCTGATTATTCGCTGCTGAGGAAAATGGCAGAATTATTAAAACTCAAATGTAGACAAGATGATTCCACTTACATAGATCTGGCAGTGGAAGATGACATGTGCAGAGAGTTTGAGCTGCCTCTAGAAGCCAGCTGTGATGACCATTCCATATGTCTCATTCACATTACCACTTCCAGCTGATTCCAAAGTTCTGTCATTGTTGAAGATATAGACTGATAGAGACACCTCCTAAAGAACACAAGGGAATAATGTAGTCTATAGCCAATTCTGTTATTTTTTCACACCTTACTTCCTGCAAGGTTTAGTGCTTTTCCCCCCTTTCATTATCAAAACTAGATTCAACAGGAAAATTCTATTTGTCAATACAAATGTTTACTTATAGAAATAGAGTATGAAAACTATCCTTTATGGTTTAAATCATCCAAACATAATACTTTAAATGCTGAAACATAGCATTACTAGGCTTTCAACGTAAACTGCTAAGTTAACATTTTTCTAGAAAAAATGATTTAGTATACTTTCCTAAGGACATGCCATTTTCAAAAGAAAAAGTTCCATAATAATGAAAAACTCTATAATATTATATTTCACAGTCACAGTTTTATAAATCTATTTAAATGACAGTAGACTAGGTACCTTCCTGATCATATGTATCTATCAGTATCTTTGCTGAAATAATTTTTAGATTCACAAGTAAAACCCTATATAATTATGCTTCTAGAACATAACAAGCATTGGTTTCTTTACACCCTAATACACTTGACATGATCCAGAATTTTAAGTTCTCTAATCAAATATATCTGAAAGTAAATGTACACCTTTATTAATATATCATATAAAAATAATATCCCATAATCTAAGATTATACATCTATTGGTTTACTTATCATACATGTAATTAGGAACATTTTTTTCTTATTTGGCAAATTTGCTGGAAAATTTCTTCATAGAAAAACAAAGACACTGTCTCTGTTTGACTATGTAAAAGTTGACCTAATTAGTAGAAATTAACCTGGACCAGACCTTTATTATATGACAGAAGTATCAACACTAAAATTTGTTACTTGAAAGTTTTCTCACTTATGGTGAAGCAACCATAAGTACTTTACTGTGATTGAGGATATATGATAACATTCATGCCCCCAGCTATTAAGCTTTGTACCTAAAAAGGACAATACAGGGGAAGCCTAATTCTTCAGTCTTTCAGTCATTCAACTAGCATATCCCTAAGACCACTTCTTTCCTAAGTAAAAGCATGTCTCTATATCTCTCCAATCTCATCCCAGGAAATTGAGAACTTTCACTCATTTTTACAAGCAATGGTAGATATTACAAGAAAATGTTACACCTAGAGGACTAGATACCAACTGAAGACATATTCTACCTTGGGCAGAAATTTAACTTTTTTGATATCTCCTGGGTTGTTCTATCAGAAAAATAACTCTGCCACTTATGTGTGTAAACACAGTCTATGACTTTCACATCAACAATATTTTAGAGAGAGACAGTAAGATCATTATAGATTAGTTAATTAGAATATTTGGAACAACTTCAAATGAAATAACCTCTCTGTATACTTTTTTCTTACAAAATCCCTAGAGGAAAAGACTTGGTTCTGGCTAAGGAAGAGTAGCTAAATGATAAGTAATGTGAAATGCCTGTAATATGAAAATAATAATTTTAAAGTAAACTGAATAATAAATTATGAGTTTCACATTATGAAATATTTAGGTAAGGCAAGTAATATTTCAGCCAGAATGAAAGGAGAACCAGTCCCATGTTCTCTTCTCTAAAAACATTCCCGGTAAGGAGGGCCTTACCCTTCCTGTTAGAAAGTCCGTGCCCAAGAAGCCCTGAGGCTCAGAGGCAGAGATCCTAAGAATGGAAGATGACATTCTGGTTCTTGGAAAAATAGGTAATCATAGTGCTGCAGTTTTAGTTAGATGGCAGGCTTTTGATCAAGACCTGTACCTATATAAGATATAATGACTTGCATTTCTCTGATGGCCAAAATGATGAGTTCATGTCCTTTGTAGGGACATGGATGAAATTGGAAACCATCATTCTCAGTAAACTATCGCAAGAACAAAAAACCAAACACCGCATATTCTCACTCATAGGTGGGAATTGAACAATGAGATCACATGGACACAGGAAGGGGAATATCACACTCTGGGGACTGTGGTGGGGTGGGGGGAGAAGGGAGGGATAGCATTGGGAGATATACCTAATGTTAGATGACGAGTTAGTGGGTGCAGCGCACCAGAATGGCACATGTATACATATGTAACTAACCTGCACAATGTGCACATGTACCCTAAAATTAAAGTATAAAAAAAAAAGATATAATGACAATAATCAGTACTCCATTTATATGGTTTGGCTGTGTCCCCACCTAAATCTCAACTTGAATTATATCTTCCTCATTTTTATCTTGCCACCACCGTGTAAGAAGTGGCTTTCACCTCCCACCATGATTCTGAGGCTTCCCAGCCCTGTCGAACTGTAAGTCTAATTAAACCTCTTTTTCTTCCCAGTCTTGGGTATCTCATTATCAGCAGTGTGAAAATGGACTAATACATCCATTAACTCAATTTTTTACTTACATTCCAATATCAATTCAATAACTGTGTCTATAATAAAGAAATTTTTATTTGCCAACAAGGGAGCAGTATTTAAGGGCTTCCATTTTTATTTCCATGACTTGGCTTACTATTGGCTCCATTGACACCTTCATCTCATTATATGTTTAGTTAAATATTGGATCTTTATGTCCTAAGAGCCTGAGATAAAGAGTCCCATAAATACCTATCCAAACCAGCTAAAGTTTTATCACATAACAGGCTACACTAAAAGTTGGCCATTTTCAACTTACCTAATAAATGGATTAAATTCATCCACCCCAAATGTAATATGTATTACTGCTAAAATTCAAAGAACATGCCTATAAGTGCTATGCTGTCTTTCTGGTAGGTGCTAAAATATGCACAAACTTATGTTTAATTCCAAAGAACTATCAGACATGATCAAAGATACTGTGGTTTAAATTATGATTCCATGATGAAGAACTAATAAAATAATAGGACCTAATTCTCAATACCAGTGTGGAAGTGGATTCTCCCACAAACAAGCTTTTATATGGGATGGTAGTCCCAACCAGCACCTTGATTACAGTTTTGTGAGAGACCTTGAAGCATGACAACCTGCTAAACCATCCTTAATTACCTGAACAACAGAAATTGAGAATGAGTACATATTGTTTGAATCAATAAGTTTTGAAATAATTTGCTATGAATAAATAAATAATTCATAAATATATCTAGAATATGCTTCAAATATTGGGAATCATGCCAATAAGTATTTAGTGACCCTAAGAATCAAAGAAAAAAAGTATAATGGAATTAACCAAATATTTAGAAATCAGCAATAACAAAAACAACAAAATGCGTGAGGTGTGATCAAAACTGTACTTACAGTAATATGTATACTATAAAAGTTTACATTTAAAATAAATGTTTACAAGCAGCCATCTGAGCCTTCACCTTAAGAAGCTAGAACAAGAAGAGTAAATAAAAGCCAATGTAATTAAATGAAAGGACATAAACATAAGATCAAAACCAGTAAAAAGGGAAACATAAAATAGAGAAAATGAAAATAGCCAAGTGTTGGTACTTTTATTATGAAACTGATAAATTGATAGTAAGAGTGATCAAAAGAAAAGAAAGAGAAATTCAAATTACCAATATCAGAACTCATAAAACAAATAATATCAAACAATAGGAAAGTTTGAAACAGGTCTAACATACATGAAAATACAGGGAACATAGATCCTTTAAACTCAACAGGTTACAAAATGATTGTTATGAAATACATTATTTCAATTAATTTGACAGCGTAGATGAATGAGGTAAAATGTAGGGAAAGAATAATCTTCTAAAATTGACACAAAAAGAAACTGAATCACCCCTATCTATTTCCAGGTAATGAGCTACCTTACTTGTAGATAACATGATAGTGTGTCAGAAAACCCTAAAGAATAACTTTGTAGGATTAAGAAGTAAATTTAGCAGGTTTATGGTGTTTCAGAAAACCCTAAAGAATAACTTTGTAGGATTAAGAAGTAAATTTATCAGGTTTATAGCACTCAGATGCTAAATAAAAAATTCAATTTACTTTATATACACTAGCAACAATGACAATGGGAATTTTTTAAAAATTGAAAATTTGTGATGAAATCTGAAAATGTAAATACTTAAGAATAGATAAGAGAGATCATTACACGAATAAAAACTATGAAACTCTTCAAAAATAAACATTTAAAATACCTAACAGATATACGGTATTCAGGAACTAGAAAATCCAATATTGTTAAGAAGTTGTTAGTACAAGATAATTTATGGATCCAACTTAAAATGAATAAAACTCCAATATGCTCTTTTTGAGATTTAGACAATTGTTCTGCATGCTGCTCCACAAAGTGACCCTGCTACTTCTCCATCAAGGGATATCTTCTATTTCTGTAAAACCTCAAATTTGGGTGGTCATGTGAACACTATGACAAATAGATTATGACGCGAGTGACATGGTGCTACTCTGGACATAGCGCTTAACTGGCTGTACCCATCTACTTTCTACCACTTGGATCTCCGAGTACCATATAAAAAGCTTGACTATTATCTGGAGTTATCTTGTGGTCCTTCATCTAAATGGATAGGAAGAGAGACTGAGTGCATTTCTTACTGTCATCCCTCCCAATATGATACAAATGTGAATTAAGTTATCCTGAGTTTATGTAAAACTCAGTTATCAGCTGAATAAAACAGTGACTTCAGTCCTTGCCACACAAACAGAAGAAATACCCAGCCAACAACTTCCTGAATTCTGACTCACAAAATTTTGAGATAAAATAAAATGATGGTTGTTAACTGTGGAGCTCTGCACCATACATGAAGACAGGACAAGAATAAAAAATGGCACCTCAAGGTGTGGTGCTTCCATAACAACAATTTAAAGTGTATGAAACTGGCTTTAGTACCCAAAAATAGGGGCCTCCAGGATATTGTAAGTAAAGGCTGAAAATACAGACGTAACTGTTCTGGAGGTTGTGAAAAAAGTGAGGTGCTATCTAGGGGTGAAAAAAATTTAGTAATTCTGTCACCTATAGTAATGAAAACAATAAAAAAGTACTTAAGGGAATAGGTGGATATGGCTAAAATTTCCAAATAGAATATTGAAAGTTACAGCTGTTTCTTATAGCATTATATCTTATAATAAGTCATAGATTTAAAAAAAACTGATAAGATTAACTGTTACATATTCAGACAGAATTTACAAAAAACATAAAAGAACCAGAACGCGCTGGTTTCAAAGATAAAAATGACCTCCCTTTCAAATCTCTGCAAAAATCTAAGAACTCTAAAAGGAAGAAAGGTCATCAAAATAAGTCATTTCAAACTTGGGGATGTTAAGACTCTATAAAAAGACTTAAGAAAAATTTAATGATGTGCCTCATAAGTACTTAAAACTAGACAAACATAATTCTAAGATTCTTAAAAGTATTTTCTGACTGCTCATAAAGTTTCAGCTCAAGTCTGAGAAGGGCCAGTTTCAAATATATCTGTGAATATGGTGCTTGTATATTCCACAAAGTCTTTTTTTAATTTATTTATTTATTTATTTATTTATTATACTTTAAGTTTTAGGGTACATGTGCACAATGTGCAGGTTAGTTACATATGTATACATGTACCATGCTGGTGCGCTGCACCCACCAACTCGTCATCTAGCATTAGGTATATCTCCCAATACTATCCCTCCCCCCCCCCCACCCCACAACAGACCCCAGAGTGTGATGTTCCCCTTCCCGTATCCATGTGTTCCCATTGTTCAATTCCCACCTATGAGTGAGAATATGCGGTGTTTGGTTTTTTGTTCTTGTGATAGTTTACTGAGAATGATGATTTCCAATTTCATCCATGTCCCTAGAAAGCACATGAACTCATCATTTTTTATGGCTGCATAGTATTCCATAGTGTATATGTGCCACATTTTCTTAATCCAGTCTATTATTATTGGACATTTGGGTTGGTTCCAAGTCTTTGCTATTGTGAATAATGTCGCAATAAACATACGTGTGCATGTGTCTTTATAGCAGCATGATTTATAGTCCTTTGGGTATATACCCAGTAATGGGATGGCTGGGTCAAATGGTATTTCTAGTTCTAGATCCCTGAGGAATCGCCACACTGACTTCCACAATGGTTGAACTAGTTTACAGTCCCACCAACAGTGTAAAAGTGTTCCTATTTCTCCACATCCTCTCCAGCACTTGTTGTTTCCTGACTTTTTAATGATTGCCATTCTAACTGGTGTGAGATGGTATCTCATTGTGGTTTTGATTTGCATTTCTCTGATGGCCAGTGATGGTGAGCATTTTTTCATGTGTTTTTTGGCTGCATAAAAGTCTTCTTTTGAGAAGTGTCTGTTCATGTCAATTCAAGATGGATTAAAGACTTGCATGTTAGACCTAAAACCATAAAAACCCTAGAAGAAAACCTAGGCATTACCATTCAGGACATAGGCATGGGCAAGGACTTCATGTCTAAAACACCAAAAGCAATGGCAACAAAAGCCAAAATTGACAAATGTGATCTCATTAAACTAAAGAGCTTCTGCACAGCAAAAGAAACTACCATCAGAGTGAACAGGCAACCTACAAAATGGGAGAAAATTTTCGTAACCTACTCATCGGACAAAGGGCTAATATCCAGAATCTACAATGAACTCAAACAAATTTACAAGAAAAAAACAAACAACCTCATCAAAAAGTGGGCTAAGGACATGAACAGACACTTCTCAAAAGTCTTTAACTAAATTACACTGAAGGAAGCAGGATAGCCTTCCCTTTTGAATGGGAGCATCTATTTTAATTACCTATTCTTCCCTTTCTCCATTCTATGCTAGGCATATGGAAGAAATACTCTGTCTCAACAGATGTGTAATAGGGAAAATCCAAAATTTAAAATTTGCAAAACAGGACCTGCACCTAAGGAGCCACATCTACTCTCAGTCTGAATGCAGAGGTTGAGATCTTGAGCTTCAAACAGATGTCATGATGGGATGATTTATTAACTGAGTTCGGAGCATCTAAATCCTGTCTTCCCACATTGGGATCCTTGAATTACCCTTAGAAGTCTGAAATTTCACTGAGAAGACCTTGTCTACATACATCCTTACGTATATGAGGAGGAAAACTCTTATCCTAATTATAGCTCATTGTACCAAAGAGTTTTTCTATAGCAGTCCTCATCTCTGAATTTCTCAACGCGTATATAAAAGGATTCAACATGGGTGTGATAACTGCATAAAACACAGTGAGGAATTTATCAATAGAAAAGTTTGAAACAGGTCTAACATACATGAAAATACAGGGAACAAAAAACAGGACAACCACGGTAATGTGGGATCTGCAGGTAGACAGGGCTTTATGCCTCCTTTCCTGACTGTAAGTTTTAAGGGAGTTTAGGATGACCCTATATGAGATTAGTAGAAGGGTGAAGGTGACCATACAGATTGCTCCACCATTGAAAACCACAGTGAGACCTATAAAGTAGGTGTCAGTGCATGCCAGTTCCAATAATGGGTACATATCACAGTAAAAATGGTCAATGGCATTCGGGCCACAGAAAGGGAGACAGTATACAACAACAATTTGAAACACAGAATGCACAAAACCTCCAGTCATGGCCAACACAAACAGAAGGATGCAAACCTGTTGATTCATGATGGTCAAATAGTGCAGTGGCTTACAGATGGCCATGTAGCGATCCCAGGCCATCATCACCAGAAGAAAGATCTGCACCACCAAACAAGTGGTCTATAAACAGCTGGCCCATGCAAGCTCGGAAGGAAATAGTCTTTTTATCACAGAGGAAGTCGACAATCAATACAGGAGAAATGGTGGTGGAATACACAGCCTCTATAAATGACAGGCAGGTGAGGAAGAAGTACACTGGGGAGCCCAAGGAAGGGCTGGCAATAATAGTCATGACAATGAGTAGGTTCCCCACCACTGACACAATGTATGTGAGTAAAAACATGACAAATAATGCATTTTGCACATCAGGATCCTGAGAGAAGCCCAGGAAGACAAATTCTGTAATACTGTTATTTTGTCTCATTTACTCTTTTTTCAGGCTTGTATCAGAGGTGAGAGCTCAGGAGAACAGGACCTGTAATGAAATAGTGAACAGGAATATGATTACATCAATTGTGTCACAGAGCATGTCTTCGTTGTTGTATCCTGAATAGAGATTTACACACAACAAATATTTAGGAACTCAAATTTGAGTTCCTCATCAAAGAGCCCCTTTTTCCTTGACAATTCTACTTCTCCTCAAACATTTTAGATTCAGACAGAGGTTAAGATTTCTACCACTAAGTTTAGTGAATATTCTATACAGAAGAAGAATTAAAGTCCCAACAGCCATTCATACATTTAATAACTTCTTATTAAAAATATTTTTCTGGGCACAGAAATCAGCTACGATAAATAGGCAACAGGTTCTTAGTCTCAAGAAACACTCTCTGGTGGTGGTAAGCAACTCTAAATAAATAAATTGACATAGATTTAGTCCTTTGTGTTTGTACTTGTGGTATCTTTATAATATGATCTGGGTAGCACCATGAATAACATCTTCTGAACTATCTCACTCAGGTTCACCGTTTTTTATGAGACTTTGGGTCATTTACTAACACTCTCTGCCCTTTACTTTCATCATTTTTAGAATGGAGATCCCAATAGTCCTTACCTCTTAGAGTTGTTGTTTTATTAAAACAAAGTAAAATGCCTGGAACACTGGCTGGCACCTGGTAAGTCCTCAATAAATGATAGCTATAATTAGTGTTCTTGAATGCTACATTGTTAATATAGGATCAGAACAAATCATGCAGATCTTTGTCAACTTGAAAAGATTTACAGACATACTCCAGGAAAAAAAGGGATAAGATACCTGTAATTCAGGAAAACGTTTTGGAGGCACACAATAAAATTGTATGCCTTATAAATTAATGATTTAATTATATGAATAGTAATTTTACCAGTGGCCAAATGTACTTTGATGATAAGCAAGCAGAATTACAGTGAAAAAGTTGGACCCACCATAAGAAAGAGCTCAGGAAATGAAAAGAAGGCTAAAATGAAAAACAAGGAAACTGTAATTAATAAATGAGTTTTCACAAGCGATAAGATTAATGGGATAGTTAAGTGAGGCTGTATTCTTTTAAAATGTTCTTCAGAAAGATTCCTTTTAGTGACAAAATACAGAAAGTGCAACGTCCTATAGGTCTCTGAGGTGACCCAGGAGGCTTTCGGAGGTAGCCTTAACAAACACAGAACATCCTAGTATTAAAAAAAAAAAAAAGATACTTCAAAAGAAAAAAAAAACACATTGTTTCTCAGAGTCTCTAGATCTGATGGTTAAGGACAAACTTAAATTACAGATAACAGTGGGACAAGTAGAGATACAAACCCAAACTTTCAATTATGCGCTGCTGAGGAAAACTGCAGAATTACTGAACCTCAAATGTAGATAGGATGATTCCATTTACATAGATCTGGCAGTGGAAGAGGACGTGTGCAGAGAGAGTTTGAGCTGTCTCCAGAAGCCAGCTGTGATGAACACTCCATATGAACCATCATATTACCACTTCCAGATGATTTCAGAGTTCTGGCATTGTTGAAGCAATAGACTGATAGAGACACACCTGCTGAAGAACACAAGGGAATAATGTAGTCTATAGCCAATTCTGGTTTTTTTACACCTTACTTGCTGCAATATTTAGTGCCTTTTCCCTCTTACATCATAAAACTAGATTTCAACAGGATTATCCTTTTGACAATTTAAACGTTTACTTATAAAAAATAGGGTATGTGAACTACCTCTACAGTTTAAGTAACTAAAAATATTATACTTTAGGCCAGGCGCAGTGGCTCATGCCTGTAATCCCAGCACTTTGGGAGGCCAAGGTGGGTGGGTCACTTGAGGTCAGGAGTTCAAGACCACCCTGGCCAACCTGGTGAAACCCCATTTCTACTAGGAATACAAAGGTTAGCTGGGCATGGTGGTGGGCATCTGTAATCCCAGCTACTCGGGAAGCCGAGGCAGGAGAATCATGTGAACCTGGGAGACAGAGGTTGCAATGAGGTGAGATCACACCATTGCACTCCAGGCTGGGAGACAGACCAAGACTCCATCTCAAAAAAAAAATTATACTTTAAAAACTAAAAGCATCACTAGGCTTTCAATGCAAACTACTAATTTAATATTTTAATAGAAAAAAAAACAGTGATTTAACAGAGTTGCCTAAAACATGATATTTTCTAAAGATAAAATTCCATAATAACAAAAACCTCTATAATATTGTATTTCACACAGTTTTGCACAACTTGCAGGTTTGTTACATATGTATGCATGTGCCATGTTAGTGTGCTGCACCCATTAACTTGTCATTTACATTAGGTATATCCCCTAATGCTATCCCTCCACCATGCCACCACCCCACAACAGACCCCGGTGTGTGATGGTCCTCTTCCTGTGTTCAAGTGTTCCATTGTTCAATTCCCACCTGTGAGTAACAACATGCGGTGTTTGGTTTTTTGTCCTTGTGATAGTTTGCTGAGAATGATGGTTTCCAGTTTCATCCATGTCCCTACAAAGGACTTGAACTCATCCTTTTCTATGACTGCAAAGTATTCCATGGTGTATATCTGCTACATTTTCTTAATCCAGTCTGTCATCATTGCACATTTGGGTTTGTTCCAAGTCTTTGCTATTGTGAATAGTGCCACAATAAACATACGTGTGCATGTGTCTTTATAGCAGCATGGTTTATAATGCTTTGGGTATATACCCAGTAATGCAATGGCTGGATCAAATGGTATTTCTACTTTTAGATCCCTGAGGAATTGCCACACTGTCTTCTACAATGCTTGAACTAGTTTACAGTCCCACCAACAGTGTAAAAGTGTTTCTATTTCTCCACATCCTCTCCAGCACCTGTTGTTTCCTGACTTTTTAATGATCACCATTCTAACTGGTAAGAGATGGTATCTCATTGTGGTTTTGATTTGCATTTCTCTGATGGCCAGTGATGATGAGCATTTTTTCATGCATCTTTTGGCTGCATAAATGTCTTCTTTTGAGAACTGTCTGTTCATATCCTTTACCCACTTTTTGATGGGGTTGTTTGTCTTTTTCTTGTAAATTTGTTTGAGTTCATTGTAGATTCTGGATAGTAGCCATTTGTCAGATGAGTAGATTGCAAAAATGTTCTCCCATTCTGTAGGGTGCCTGTTAACTCTGGTGGTAGTTTCTTTTGCTGTGCAGAAGCTCTTTAGTTTAATGAGATCCCATTTGTCAATTTTGGCTTTGGTTGCCATTGCTTTTGGTGTTTTAGACATGAAGTCCTTGCCCATGCCTATGTCCTGAATGGTATTGCCTGGGTTTTCTTCTAGGGTTTCTATGCTTTTAGGTCTAACATTTAAGTCTTTAATCCATCTTGAATTAATTTTTGTATAAGGTGTAAGGAAGGGATCCAGTTTCAGCTTTCTACATATGGCTAGCCAGTTTTCCCAGCAACATTTGTTAAATACGGAATCCTTTCCTCATTCCTTGTTTTTGTCAGGTTAGTCAAAGATCAGATAGTTTTAGATGTGTGGTATTATTTCTGAGGGCTCTGCTCTGTTCCATTGGTCTATATCTCTGTTTTGGTATCAGTACCATGCTGTTTTGGTTACTGTAGCCTTGTAGTATAGTTTGAAGTCAGGTAGCATGATGCCTCCGGCTTTGTTCTTTTGGCTTAGGATTGACTTGGCAATGCGGGCTCTTTTTTGGTTCCATATGAACTTTAAAGTAGTTTTTTCCAATTCTGTGAAGAAAGTCATTGGTAGCTTGATAGGGATGGCATTGAATCTATAAATTACCTTGGGCAGCGTGGCCATTTTCAGGATATTGATTCTTCCTACCTATGAGCATGGAAGGTTCTTCCATTTGTTTGTATCCTCTTTTATTTCATTGAGCAGTTGTTTGTAGTTCTCCTTGAAGAGGTCCTTCACATCCCTTGTAAGTTGGATTCCTAGGTATTTTATTCTCTTTGAAGCAATTGTGAATGGGAGTTCACTCATGATTTGGCTCTCTGTTTGTCTGTTGTTGGTGTATAAGAATGCTTGTGATTTCTTTACATTGATTTTGTATCCTGAGACATTGCTGAATTTGTTTATCAGCTTTAGGAGATTTTGGGCTGAGACAATGGGGTTTTCTAGACATACAATCATGTCATCTGCAAACAGAGACAATTTCACTTCCTCTTTTCCTAATTGAATACTCTTTATTTCTTTCTCCTGCCTGATTGCCCTGGCCAGAACTTCCACCTACAATGAACTCAAACAAATTTATAAGAAAAAAACAAACAATCCCATCAAAAAGTGGGTGAAGGATATGAACAGACACCTCTCAAAAGAAGACATTTATGCAGCCAAAAGACACATGAAAAAATGCTCATCATCACTGGCCATCAGAGAAATGCTAATCAAAACCACAATGAGATACCATCTCACACCACTTAGAATGGCAATCATTAAAAAGTCAGGAAACAACAGGTGCTGGAGAGGATGTGGAGAAATAGGAACACTTTCACACTGTTGGTGGTACTGTAAACTAGTTCAACCATTGTGGAAGTCAGTGTGGCAATTCCTCAGGGATCTAGAACTAGAAATACCATTTGACCCAGCCATCCCATTACTGGGTATATACCCAAAGGATTATAAATCATATTGCTATAAAGAAACATGCACACGTATGTTTATTGTGGCACTATTCACAATAGCAAAGACTTGAACCAACCCAAATGTCCAATAATGATAGACTGGATTAAGAAAATGTGGCACATATACACGATGGAATACTATGCAGCCATAGAAAAGGATGAGTTCATGTCCTTTGTAGGGACATGGATGAAACTGGAAACCTTCATTCTAAGCAAACTATCACAAGGACAAAAAACCAAACACTATATGTTCTCACTCATAGGAGGGAATTGAACAATGGGTACACATGGACACAGGAAGGGGAACATCACACACTGAGGCCTGTTATGGGATGGGGGGAGGGAGGAGGGATAGCATTAGGAGAGATTACTAATGTTAAATGACGAGTTACTGGGTGCAGCACAACAACATGGCATATGTATATATATGTAATAAACCTGCACTTTGTGCACTTGTACCCTCAAACTTAAAGTATAATAAAAAAAAAGAAGAATGATCTCTAGGAAGAAGGAAAAACCTCTGAAATGGAAAAAAGTAAATGCAGGAAAGATGGAAGACTAATTGAAAGAAGAAATATAGCAATAAATAACATGAATATTAATCATATGTAACATCAATAAATACAAAACCAAGAAAAAAGTGGGGATTTATATTCAATACATAATTAATTTTATCCTTTTAAATGAGCAAATTTCTCCTATTTAAGAAACATAACACAATGGTAAGAGCCTTATAAGAGAAACATACTAAATAACAGGATAGAAAGTGAAAATAAAATAATAGAAGAAACTGCATAAGTTCTGACAAAAAGAACATTATTTCCATGCTAATATCAGACAAAACCAAACTTCCATGCATGAAATATTGCCAGAAATAAATGTTTGTAATGCCAAAAATTAGTAACACGAATAAAATGATAAATTGGCACAACTTTATGTTATTTTTGAAAAACAGGCTGACCTAAAAGGAGAAATAGGCAAATCAGCAATAACAGGAAAATTTTAGCACAACTCTAAGTGCTAGAATATACACACAAAAAATTTATAAAGGTATTTAAGGTTTAAACAAAACCATTAATAAATCTGATGCAGTGACATATGAGAGGATCACATACAACAGCTGCAAAATGCACATTCTTTTCAAGAGCATATAAAACATTTTCCAAAGTCAATTATATGCTGGTTCATAAAGCAACTCTCAATGAATTTCAAATAGTCATCAAAATAAAATATGTCACTGAACAACAAGAAAATCAGCTAAAAAATGAAAAACTAAAATTAGCCAGAAATTTTCTATGGCTCAACATTAAACAAATCACTCCTAAATAATCCATTGAAAAATAAATCACAGAAGTTAGAAAATATTTGGGCCTAATAATAATGAAACTACAACAATATCAAAGCTTGTAAGTCTCAGCTAAAATATTACTTGTATTTGCTTGAAAATAATAAAGACTAATGCCGCAATAAACATACGTGTGCATGTGTCTTTATAGCAGCATGATTTATAGTCCTTTGGGTATATACCCAGTAATGGGATGGCTGGGTCAAATGGTATTTCTAGTTCTAGATCCCTGAGAAATCGCCACACTGACTTCCACAATGGTTGAACTAGTTTACAGTCCCACCAACAGTGTAAAAGTGTTCCTATTTCTCCACATCCTCTCCAGCACCTGTTGTTTCCTGACTTTTTAATGATTGCCATTCTAAGTGGTGTGAGATGGTATCTCATAGTGGTTTTGATTTGCATTTCTCTGATGGCCAGTGATGATGAGCATTTTTTCATGTGTCTTTTGGCTGCATAAATGTCTTCTTTTGAGAAGTGTCTGTTCATGTCCCTCGCCCACTTTTTGATGGGGTTGTTTGTTCTTTTCTTGTAAATTTGTTTGAGTTCATTGTAGATTCTGGATATTAGCCCTTTGTCAGATGAGTAGATTGCGAAAATTTTCTCCCATTTTGTAGGTTGCCTGTTCACTCTGATGGTAGTTTCTTTTGCTGTGCAGAAGCTCTTTATTTTAATTAGATCCCATTTGTCAATTTTGTCTTTTGTTGCCATTGCTTTTGGTGTTTTGGACATTGCGGCATTATTCACAATAGCAAAGACTTGGAACCAACCCAAATGTCCAACAATGATAGACTGGATTAAGAAAATGTAGCACATATACACCATGGAATACTATGCAGCCATAAAAAATGATGAGTTCATGTCCTTTGTAGGGACATGGATGAAATTGGAAATCATCATTCTCAGTAAACTATCACAAGAACAAAAAACCAAACACCGCATATTCTCACTCATAGGTGGGAATTGAACAATGAGATCACATGGACACAGGAAGGGGAATATCACACTCTGGGGACTGTTGTGGGGTTGGGGGAGGGGGGAGGGATAGCATTGGGAGATATACCTAATGCTAGATGACAGGTTAGTGGGTGCAGCGCACCAGCACAGCACATGTATACATATGTAACTAACCTGCACAATGTGCACATGTACCCTAAAACTTAAAGTATAATAAAAAAAAGAAAAGAAAATAAATAATAAAGACTGAAAATCAGTCCACTAAATATCTATTCAAGAAATCATTTCACTTAGCATAATGTCCTCTAGGTACATCTATGCTATCACATATGATATAAAAACATCATCTGCACTCCACAAATACACACAATTACTGTTTGTCAATTAAAAACAAAATAAAACAAAGAGGTTATTAAGCCTTCCAGGTTCATTCATATTGTCAAAAATAGCAGAATGTTAGTATAAGTGTGCATGTGTACATTAGATAGATGATTGATGATAGATAGATGATAGAGATAGATAGATAGATAGATAGATAGATAGATAGATAGATAGATGATAGATAGATAGATAGATAGATAGACAGACATATAGATATCACATTGCCTTTATCCATTCATCTGTCGATGGACATCTAAGTTGTTTCCATATCTTGGTGATTATGAATAATGCTGCAGTACATATGGGAGCCCAGGTATGTCTTCAAGATACTAATTTCATTTTCTTTGGATACATACCGAGTAGTGGGATTGCCGGATCATATGGTAGTATTATCCTCCATAGTGTCTTCTATAATGGCTGTATCAATTTACATTCCACCAACCATGTAAAAAGGTTCCCTTTTCTCCACACTGAAGGTAAAGACCACGTGATCTCAGTTACATGAGGAATCTAAAAAAAAGTCAAACTCATAAGGTCAGAAAGTAGAATGGTGATTGCCAGGGACTGTGGGGAGGGAGAGATGAGGAGATGTTGGTCAAAGAGTACAAAATTTCAGTTATACAGAATGAATAACTTCTGGAGAGCTAAGTTACAGCATACAGACTATACTTCGTAATACCATAGTGTATACTTGAAGTTTGCTGAGAAAATAAATCTTAAATATTCTCACCACACACAAAAGGTAATTATGTGAGGTGATGAACATGTTGATTGTGGTAATCATTTCTCAATATATACATTTACCAAAATATCACATTGTACATCTTAAATATATATAATACATTTTTGTCAAATATACCTCAATAAAGCTAGAGAAAATAAAAAACAAACTATATTTTAAAGATGACAACAACAAAAGGAGTAACCAATCTGCCTGGAATGGCAAAAACAGACAAAACTCTGCAAATGCTGCACTGTCCCTGGAAGGTGGTCTGGAAGCACTGGAGTGAAGGAAAAGCCTCCCAGAGGGCAGTATTTTGAGCAGTCAGTCTGGTTTTTCCACTGTATGTGGAACGTGTAATAACCATACTTACGGATCTATGCTGAAAATGGACACTGGCTAACAGGTTTGATAAGCTAATGAGGAAACTGGAAATTTTAAAATTGAAAAATGATGACAAAGTAGTTGGAAGAACCATATGTGGGTGACTCTCTCAAAATGAAGATCAAATACTACAATGTTAGTTTCTGACATAAATGCCCAACAAAAAGAATCTACTGCAGAAGAAGCTTTCAGGAATCTCATAAACATGAACTGCACTTTGGATGTCAGTCGGCCTTTTTCCCAGTTGTATTTGTAGTCACTGTTGCAGAGATGAATACTCTACAAAGCCTCAAGGTCCAAAATGCCATCAGCAATGTCCATCATTGACACCTTAACATGGCACAAATAGCTAGGGAAGACAGCCACAACCCTGTAACAGCTTACTTCATTGCAACCCCTAAGTCTGGAGAAGACAGCATTTTGTCATCAAATATTCTGGTTATATATTTGTCCTAGCACTTGCCCTATTTATTGTTCACAGAGTAGAATCCATTATCCATTGCCATGATATCTCATTCATTCTTTATCCAGAAGAATCATTTCTAGTAAATAAACTAAAACAAATCACTCATCACCATAAGCTTTTTTTTCCTCATGAACATGTGTCTCCACCTTTATTACTCTCAGCCATGGAAAGCGCCACTTACAATAAAACTTTCAGAAAAATAGGACTACAGAGAATGTTCTCAATTTAGCAAAAGAAACTTATTAAAAAACTACATCTTACATCATAGTTAATGGTTGAAGACTGAATACATTCCCCAAAAGACTGGAAACAAACTAAGATTATTCTCTCTCCTCTGTGTTTGGTGAAGAGCCTAGCTTGTTGAAATATGGCAGAATTTGTGGTATAACCTCATTTCTCATCATCTAGAAGCTGAAAAAATGAGACATTGGAAAGTCCTCCTAAAGGGTGAGTCATGGTGCCAGTTGGACAATCCTAACCTGAGAACATGAAATGCTCACTCCCATATGTTTGACACACAGTGTGTGCTCAGTAAGTTATAGTCATCATATGCCCATACTACATATATTCTGAGAAATTATCCCAATTGTAATAAACATTCCCCAATACAGGCATCTATTTTGCCTTTTGTGTTCGAATATCCACAAGATCCATTTCCACAGGTTCCTCCAATTCTTGCCAGTGCATATTATTTAGACTCTGCAATTTGTTTATCAAATGAAATATTTCCTTCCACAACAAGGTTATATTTCCCACTTGCGCTCAAGTGACACCTAAATACAGATCTACATGCAAAAAGGGACTTCTCAGGGAAAGGACATGAGGCCTTTGGGGAGGTGGCTTTCTGCAACTTCTACAGATATTGAAAGGGCTAATATCTGAAGGTTGTCTATGAATAGCATGCTCAGCAACTGGAAAAATACATCCTTCTTTCCTAAAGGGAGGGTAAGGAAGTACATCTTATATCTATCACAGTCTACCTCTTATGTCACTTGAATCCATTTCTTCATATACACATGAGAATAGTTTATTTAGTATTCTCTTCTTGGGGGGAAATTAGAAGAGAAAGGTTAAGGGACAAACTATGTCTCTTGCCACCGTGGCTGATGATAGAGTTGCAACTGCTTTTTAACATTTATTCCTTCATTGTCAATTCTATTTCTCCCACTTCACCTTCTACTAGCACCGCTACTGATCTCATGACTTACTTAAAGGTGTAACTTAGACCTTCACCCACAAAATGCATCATCCCTGAACACTGTACTCATTCAGAACAGGATTCTTGTACTTTCTCACTTATTATCACAATTGGACAAGAGCATGACAAGATGTGCCCACGTCAGTCACCTGGAAGATAAAAATATCATTCCCTGCCACTATTGTGTTATAACACCTCCATTCTTCATCATAACCAGGTCAATTAACTCTGCCACATTTATGAAAAGAGTCTTCTCTCAATGGTTACAGATAGCAACTCTTCTTGTGATAAGAGAGATTAAATCCAACATGGGACACACAGGATACAATGAACGAAGAAAAGGGCTCCTTCATTAAATAATTAATCAATTTTAACCACTTACCATGAAGCTGGACATAACATTGAATTTTACACTTATGTTAGCCAAGAAATAAATATTCTTCTATTTCAAAATAGATTGAATTGAGTATTCTGTTATTTGTAACAAAAACGTCATAAATGAAACATCCTCAATTTAAATATGTATAGGAAACTGAAGTAATGTACAAGTCCTATAATTTATTTATCAAATGTATATATTTGAAATAGTACAACACTGTTTTAATTGTCATAACCTTATAATCTGTCTTATCCAGAATAGCTCATCATTCTTTCCATATTTAATTGCAATTTCCTTATCTTTATGCTTCCAGATGAACTTTTACAATCAAAGGAATATGATGAATAGTTCAGTTTTATGTAGAAAAAAAGGTAAAATGTGTTCATCATTTTTCCCCAAGGATATATATTTAGCACACTGACATAATTTGGTGAAATAAAATTTACACACTAATATAATAAAAGTAAATAAATTCATTCTGATTTGATTAATTCATTGATAACAACATAATAGCTGACTCCTCAGAAGAAGCTTGGAAGAATATGGGAGTGAAAATAAATATCAGTGTCTAGTGTGACTGATCATTCTAGCCAAAATACAGAGTTTGGAGTAATAAGGCAAGTTCCTTGGAACAACTTGGTCCATGACCAACAGAGACATTGTAGAAACCTTACCAAATATAACATCTCTTTCACATCCTGGTAACACAAAAGAAGTAACAATAGTTCTAGGAGATTTATAATGGGAAGTTACTCACACAATGTCATTGAAACCCAATAACCTTAATGGCCAGTTGTTTTCAGAAGTATCTGCTATGGGAAGTTATGCACACTGGAAGCTCCCACAGAAGCCTAATTCTGCCACCCTAGGATGAAAACTGGCATTTTGGATTCAATATCCCTAATACAGTGGCCAGAGGAGGGCAATTTGAATGACAACTACTGAAAAGTGGTTGAACTTTCACAGAGACAGAAATTAATTCATTATAAGTGTCCTCGATGTCATGGTGATGGTAGAGGGCCAGTTAAAAAAAATAGCATGGCATGGCAAAGTTTCTTAATAAAATGGAAATATCATATGTAGAAATGTTGAAGGGGGTGGCTCTGAGAAATGTATCATATTTATAAGTATAAATTTTGAACAAATAGAACCTCTGACAGAATTTTTCATTCCTGCTAATCACTGGTATGAATGCAATTATTCTTTTCCTGATGAAGAAAAACAAGATATTTAATTTCCTAATGGAGATTCTCAAACTAAAGAGTATGATTCATATGGAAATCTGCTGAAATTCTCCCTCTGAATAGTAGAAATTTGGTTCAAGAAAGTAAAATTAAGTCCTCTGAATGACCATATTTATGGGAAGCATAAACTTTAGTTCTTGGAGCATTTGGTTGTCACTCTCAGAACAATGTCTGAATATTTCCTGACACCTGTGGTGTAACCTCACCATTTGGTCAGGCAGACAAGCCTCTGAACAATGGATGACCAAGAAATCCAGTAATAGAGAATCCTATTGTGGAAGCCTCATTAGGATTCTAAGGGAAGATTAAAGTGGGCGCTATAGGTCTTTCAGGCACATAGGTTTTGATTCTTTTTAAAAAAGGAATACAAAGTCTTTCTCCCCGGATTTTCAGTGGCCATTTGGATATAAGAGATGAATGACACATAATGATGGGAAGAATAGTGACATACTCCACTAAGTCAACCAAAACTAGTAATATGATAAAGACTCAGATGCTATAACAATAGCAGAACTGGGAGGAGCCAAGATAGCCGAATAGGAACAGCTCCGATCTACAGCTCCCAGCGTGAGTGATGCAGAAGATGGGTGATTTCTGCATTTCCATCTGAGCTTTGAAGAGAGCAGTGATTCTCCCAGCACGCAGCTTGAGATCTGAGAATGGGCAGACTGCCTCCTCAAGTGGGTCCCTGACCCCTGAGTAGCCTAACTGGGAGGCACCTCCCAGTAGGGACGGACTCACACCTCACATGGCCGGGTACTCCTCTGAGACAAAACTTCCAGAGGAACGATCAGGCCACAGCATTTGCGGTTCACCAATGTCCGCTGTTCTGCAGCCTCTGCTGCTGATACCCAGGCAAACAGGGTCTGGAGTGGACCTCCAGCAAACTCCAAGAGACTTGCAGCTGAGGATCCTGACTGTTAGAAGGAAAACTAACAAACAGAAAGAACATCCACACCAAAAACCCATCTGTACATCACTACCATCAAAGACCAAAGGTAGATAAAACCACAAAGATGGGGAAAAAACAGAGCAGAAAAACTGGAAACACTAAAAATCAGAGCGCCTCTCCTCCTCCAAAGGAAAGTACCTCCTCAACAGCAATGGAACAAAGCTGGATGGAGAATGACTTTGATGAGTTGAGAGAAGAAGTCTTCAGATGATCAAACTACTCTGAGCTACAGGAGGAAATTTGAACCAATGGCAAAGAAGTTAAAAGCTTTGAAAAAAAATTAGACGAATAGATAACTAGAATAACCAATGCAGAGAAGTCTTTAAAGGAACTGATGGAGCTGAAAACTAAGAAACAAGAACTACGTGATGAATGCAGAAGCTTCAGTAGCCGATGCGATCAACTGGAAGAAAGGGCATCAGTGATGGAAGATGAAATGAATGAAATGAAGTGAGAAGAGAGGTTTAGAGAAAAAAGAATAAAAAGAAACAAACAAAAACTCCAAGAAATATGGGACTATGTGAAAAGACCAAATTTACTTCTGATTGGTGTACCTGAAAGTGACAGGGAGAATGGAATCAAGTTGGAAAACACTCTACAGGATATTATCCAGGAGAACTTCCCCAATCTAGCAAGGCAGGCCAACATTCAGATACAGGAAATACAGAGAACACCACAAAGATACTCCTTGAGAAGACCAACCCCAAGACACATAATTGTCAGATTCACCAAAGTTGAAATGAAGGAAAAAATGTTAACGGCAGCCGGAGAGAAAGGTCGGGTTACCCACAAAGGGAAGCCCATCAGACTAACAGCTGATCTCTCTGCACAAACTCTACAAGCCAGAAGAGACCAGGGACAAATATTCAACATTCCTAAAGAAAAGAATTTTCAACCCGGAATCTCATATCCAGCCAAACTAAGCTTCATAAGTGAAGGAGAAATGAAACACTTTACAGACAAGTAAATGCTGAGAGACTTTGTCACCACCAGGCCTGCCCTAAAAGAGCCCATGAAGGAAGCACAAAACATGGAAAGCAAAAATTGGTACCAGCCACTGCAAAAACGTGCCAAATTGTAAAGACCATCAAGGCTAGGAAGAAACTGCATCAACTAACGAGCAAAATAACAAGCTAACATCATAATGACAGGATCAAATTCACACATAACAATATTAACTTTAAATGTAAATGGACTAAATGCTCCAATTAAAAGGCAAAGAATGGCAAATTGGATAAAGAGTCAAGACCCATCAGTGTGCTGTACTCTGGAAACCCATCTCACGTGCAGAGACACACATAGGATCAAAATAAAGGGATGGAGGAAGATCTACCAAGCAAATGGAAAACAAAAAAAAGCAGGAGTTGCAATCCTAGTCTCTGATAAAATAGACTTTAAACAAACAAAGATCAAAAGAGACAAAGAAGGCCATAACATAATGGTAAAGGAATCAATTCAACAAGTAGAGCTACCTATCCTAAATATATATACACCCAATACAGGAGCACCCAGATTCATAAAGCAAGTCCTTAGTGACTTACGAAGAGACTTAGAATCCCACACAATAATAATGGGAGACTTTAACACACCACTGTCACCATTAGACAGATCAATGAGACAGAAAGTTAACAAGGATACCCAGGAATTGAACTCAGCTCTGCACCAAGCGGACCTAATAGACATCTACAGAACTCTCCACCCAAAAACAACAGAATATACATTCTTTTCAGCACCGCACCAAACCTACTCCAAAATTGACCACATTGTTGCAAGTAAAGCACTCCTCAGCAAATATAAAAGAACAGAAATTATAACAAACTGTCTCTCAGACCGCAGTGCAATCAAACTAGAACTCGGGATTAAGAAACTCACTCAGACCTGCTCAACTACACAGAAACTGAAAACCTGCTCCTGAATGACTACTGGGTAAATAATGAAATGAAGGCAGAAATAAAGATGTCCTTTGAAACCAATGAGAACAAAGACACAATATATCAGAACCTCTGGGACACATTCAAAGCAGTGTGTAGAGGGAAATTTATAGCACTAAATGCCCACAAGAGAAAGCAGGAAAGATCTAAAATTGACACCCTAACATCACAATTAAAAGAGCTAGAAAAGCAAGAGCAAACATATTCAAAAGCTAGCAGAAGGCAAGAAGTAACTAAGATCAGAGGGGAACTGAAGGAAATAGAGACATAAAAAACCCTTCAAAAAAATTAATGAATCCAGGAGCTGGTTTTTTGAAAAGATCAACAAAATTGATAGACCGCTAGCAAGACTAATAAAGAAGAAAAGAGAGAAGAATCTAATAGATGCAATAAAAAAATGATAAAGGGGATATCACCACCGATCCCACAGAAATACAAACTACCATCAGAGAATACTATAAACACCTCTACAAAAATGAACTAGAAAATCTAGAAGAAATGGATAAATTCCTCAACACATATACCCTCCCAAAACTAAACCAGGAAGAAGTTGAATCTCTGAATAGACCAATAACAGGCTCTGAAATTGAGGCAATAATTAATAGCTGACCAACCAAAAAAAGTTCAGGACCAGATGGATTCACAGCCGAATTCTACCACAGGTAAAAAGAGGAGCTTCTACCATTCCTTCTGAAACTATTCCAATCAATAGAAAAAGAGGGAATCCTACTTAACTCATTTTATGAGGCCAGCATCATCCTGATACCAAAGCCGGGCAGAGACACAATCAAAAAAGAGAATTTTAGACCAATATCCTTGATGAACATCGATGCAAAAATCCTCAATAAAATACTGACAAACCGAATCCAGCAGCACATCAAAAAGCTTATCCACCATGATCAAGTGGACTTCATCCCTGGAATGCAAGGCTGGTTCAACATATGCAAATCAATAAATGTAATCCAGCATATAAACAGAACGAAAGAAAAAACCACATGATTATCTCAATAAATGAAGAAAAGGCCTTTGACAAAATTCAACAGCACTTCATGCTAAAAACTCTCAATAAATTAGGTATTGATGGGACGTATCTCAAAATAGTAAGAGCCATCTATGACAAACCCACAGCCAATATCATACTGAATGGACAAAAACTGGAAGCAGTCCCTTTGAAAACTGGAACAAGACAGGGATGCCCTCTCTCAGCACTCCTATTTAACATAGTGTTGGAAATTCTGGCCAGGGCAATCAGGCAGTAGAAGGAAATAAAGTGTATTCAATTAGGAAAAGAGGAAGTCAAATTGTCCCTATTTGCAGATGACATGATTGTATATCTAGAAAACCCCATTGTTTCAGCCCAAAATCTCCTTAAGCTGATAGGCAACTTCAGCAAAGTCTCAGGATACAAAATCAATGTACAAAAATCACAAGCATTCTTATACACCAATAACAGACAGAGAGCCAAATCATGAGTGAACTCCCATTCACAATTGCTTCAAAGAGAATAAAATACCTAGGAATCCAACTTACAAAGGATGTGAAGGACCTCTTCAAGGAGAACTATAAACCACTGCTCAATGAAATAAAAGAAGATACAAATAAATGGAAGAACATTCCATGCCCATGAGTAGGAAGAATCAATATCATGATAAAGGCCATACTGCCCAAGATAATGTATAGATTCAATGCCATCCCCATCGAGCTAACAATGACTTTCTTCACAGAATTGGAAAAAACTACTTTAAAGTTCATATGGAACCAAAAAAGAGCACGCATTGCCAAGTCAATCCTAAGCCAAAAGAACAAAGCTGGACGCATCACGCTACCTGACTTCAAACTATACTACAAGGCTACAGTAACCAAAGCAGCATAGTACGGGTACCAAAACAGACATATAGACCAATGGAACAGAACAGAGCCCTCAGAAATGATACCACATATCCACAACTATCTGATCTTTGACAAACCTGACAAAAACAAGCAATGGGGATAGGATTCCCTCTTTAATAAATGTTGCTGGGAAAACTGGCTAGCCCTAAGTAGAAAGATGAAACTGGATCCCTTCCTCACACCTTATACTAAAATTAATTCAAGATGGATTAAAGACTTAAATGTTAGACCTAAAACCATTGAAACCCTAGAAGAAAACCTAGGCAATACCATTCAGGACATAGGCATGGGCAAGGACTTCATGTCTAAAACACCAAAAGCAATGTCAAAAAAAGCCAAAATTAACAAGTGGGATCTAATTAAACTAAAGAGCTTCTGCACAGCAAAAGAAACTACCATCAGAGTGAACAGGCAACCTACAGAATGGGGACAATTTTTGCAACCTACTCATCTGAGAAAGGGCTAGTATCCAGAATCTACAATGAACTCAAACAAATTTACAAGAAAAATCAAACAACCCCATCAAAAAGTGGGGGGAAGGATATGAACAGATACTTCTCAAAAGAAGACATGTATGCCGCCAAAAAACACATGAAAAAAATGCTCATCATCACTGGCCATCAGAGAAATGCAAGTCAAAACCACAATGAGATACCATCTCACACCACTTAGAATGGCAATCATTAAAAAGTCAGGAAACAACAGGTGCTGGAGGGGATGTGGAGAAATAGGAACACTTTTACACTGTTGGTGGGACTGTAAACTAGTTCAACCATTGTGGAAGTCAGTGTGGAGATTCCTCAGGGATCTAGAACTAGAAATACCATTTGACCCAGCCATCCCATTACTGGGTATGTACCCAAAGGACTATAAATCTTGCTGCTATAAAGACACATGCACACATGTGTTTATTGTGGCACTATTCACAATAGCAAAGACATGGAACCAACCTAAATGTCCAACAACAATAGACTGGATTAAGAAAATGTGGCATATATACACCATGGAATACTATGCAGCCATAAAAAATGATAAAGTTCATGTCCTTTGTAGGGACATCGATGAATCTGGAAACCATCATTCTCAGCAAACTATCGCAAGGACAAAAAACCAAACACCACATGTTCTCACTCATAGGTTGGAATTGAACAATGAGATCACATGGACACAGGAAGGGGAACATCACACACCGGGGACTGTTGTGGGGTGAGGGGTGGGAGGAGGGATAGCATTAGGAGATATACCTAATGCTAAATGACGAGTTACTGGGTGCGGCACACCAACATGGCACATGTATACGTAAGTAACAAACCTGCATGTTGTGCACATGTACCCTAAATCTTAAAGTATAATAATAATAAAATTAAAAAAAAAATAGCAGAACCACTGTTTAAATAGGATTAAAGAGTTCTTGCTAGTGCCAAGAACCAAAACAGAGCTTTTAGGATTATTACAAAAGACCAATAGCCATAGTTCCTAGTGATGTCAAATGGATTTACCATGATTAGACTTTTAATGACACTTTGAGATTCACTTAGCCTGTAATCCAAGCCACAAATGAAAACACCATCTGGCTATTGAAATAATACATGGACTATCAATTTGATCCCCAACTCTCATTGAATCAAACCACAAATTTTCTCATGGCCAGTGGACATAAATGAGCTAAGAAGTACATCACATAGGCCGGTAGCAGTGGCTCACGCCTGTAATTGACAGCACTTTGAGAGGCCAAGGTGGGCAGATCACCTGATGTCAGCAGTGTGAGACCAGCCTGACCAACATGGTGAAAATCTGCCTCTACTAAAAATACAAAAATTAGCTGGGCGTGGTCATACATGCTTATAATCCCAGCTACTCGGGAGGCTGAGGCAAGAGAATACCTTGAACCCAGGAGGAAGAGATTGCAGTGAGCCAGGATCATGCCACTGCATTCCAGCCTAGATGACAGAGTGAAACTCTGTCTCAAAACAAACAAATAAAAAAGTACCTCAAATGGACATATTATAATACCCCTTACAAACCACATAATAATGGTTTTTTCAAAAGATGAATTGGAATTAAATAGGTAATAGTTTAAAGGAAAAATCATATCAGATGTAAAAGGAGCACACAAATGGGTGATAACACCTAGAATGGACACTCTTATACTTTACACATGACATTATCCTCCTCTAGAGAATAAAACTCCAGTTTCTCTCATATGTGATGTGAAGTCAGCTAATGCTAGGAAAGGACAATGAACCCCTTCTCACTAGAATGGGAGAACTACACTGAAGTTATTTAATGCTCTGTCTGAGAATTGTATTATTTGTAGGAAAGATACAAGGCAGTAAATGCTTCTGTTGATACAACCGCATAAAAACAAATTATAACTATAAAAATGTGAAGATGATAAAAGATAAAGAAAGAAAAAGAGTAGCCCTATTGATAAAGGATGTCAAAAAGTGTTACTGTATAATCCTTAATTCTGGGATGTTGACATTAATGCTGAGACATGGAGCTTCTTGAGTTTCAACAGAAAGCTGAAAATTTACTATATCACTCTACTAGGGCAGAAATTGAACTTCAAACTCTTTTCCAACACCCCTTGTACCAGCGAATTGCTGGAATTTCCTCTCACTCTCAATCTTTTACCTATTTTGTGTAAGGGGAGAGCTAAATGTGGTCTCAACCTGCCATATGCAATTCAGTAATGAGCTCAGTACTTGAGAGATGAGAAATGTAATAGCCATCACACCTGTATTATGAAAAATGCAAAAAAAATTCCTCAGGCTGAAAAACACAATATTATATAAAAATTATAATTTATAGAAAAGTATTCAAAAAGTAGATATACATAGGGGTTAAACAGAGATTCTTTTTCTTTCTCTTTTTAGTTGTTTTATAAAAATTGTTCAAAGAAAATTAATAACAATATATTCAGAAGTTAACAACATCCAGCAGTAAAATATATAAAACAATTTCAAGTGCTGTGGGATGTTAAGTAGAATGACACTCAAAAGTTTTTTTCATTTCTATTGAGAAACTGAGTCCTGCCAACAATCAGGTTATAAGTGGATCCTTCCTCAGTCAAGCCTTCATACGAAACTGTAGCCCCAGCCAGATGACGATTACAGATTTGTAAAAGACCTTGAAGCACTAGGATCTGCTAAGCCAGCCTTAGTTCCCTGACCTACAGAAATAGAGACATAATAAGTACATAGTGATTCGAGCCTAAGTTTTAGAGTAACTTTATATGGGAATAAGTAGCTTATATATCTAGAAAAATCTTCAAATATTTGGAAACTTGGTAATAAATTTTTGATAACATATGAATCAGAGTAAAACTTATAATAGAAATAAGCAAATATTTGGAACTCAACACTAACTAAAACATATCAAGATTTGTGAGATGTGATCATGATCAATGCAGAAGACAGGTAATTTCTGCATTTCCACCTGAGGTACCTGGAAAATCAGGACACTCCTGTCCAAATATTGCACTTTTCCAATGGTCTTCACAAACAGCACACCAAGAGATTATACCCCACACCTGGTTCAGCAGGTCCCACACCCACAGAGCCTTTCTCACTGCCAGTGCAGCACTCTGAGATTGAACTGCAAGGTGACAGCCTGGCTGGGGAAGGGGTATCTGCCATTGCTGAGGCTTGAGTAGGAAAACAAAATGACTAAAGAAACTCAAACTGGGCAGAGCCCACCGCATCTCAGCAAGGCCTATTGCCTCTGTAGATTGCATCTCTGGGAGCAAAGCATAGCTGAAAAAAAGGAAGCAGAAATTCTTGCAAACTTAAATGTCCCTGTCTGACAGCTCTGAAGAGAGCAGTGCTTCTCCCAGCATGGTGTTTGAGCTCTAAGAATGGACAGACTGCCTCCTCAAGTGGGTCCCTGAACCCTGTGTAGCCTAACTGGGAGACACCACTCAGTAGGGGCTGACTGACACCTCATACAGCTGGGTGCCCCTCTGTGATGAAACTTCCAGAGGAAGGAACAGGCAGCAATATTTGCTGTTCTGAATATTTGCTGTTCTTCAGCCTTTGCTGGTGATATCTATGCAAACAGGGTCTGGAGTGGACCTCCAGGAAACACCAACAGACCTGTAGCTGAGAGGCCTGACTGTTACATGGAAAACTAACAAGCAGAAAGGAATACCATCAACATCAACAAAAAGGACATCCACACAAAAACCCCATCTGTAGGTCACCAACATCAAACACCAAAGATAAATAAAACCACAAAGATGGAGAGAAACCAGAGCAGAAAACCCGAAAATTCTAAAAACCAAAGCATCTCTTCTCCTCCAAAGGATTGCAGCTCCTCGCCAGCAATGGCATATAGCTGGATGGAGAATGACTTTGATGAGCTGACAGAAGAGGGCTTCAGAAGGACAGTTATAACAAATTCCTCTGAGCTAAAGAAGGATGTTTGAACCCATCACATGGAAGGTAAAAACCTTGAAAAAAGACTAAACGAATGGCTAGCTAGAATAAACAGTGTAGAGAAGACCTTAAATGACCTGATGGAGCTGAAAACCATGGCACAAGAAATACGTGATGCATGCACAAGTTTCAATAGCCAATGCGATCAAGTGGAAGAAAGACTATCAGTGATTGAAGATCAAATTAATGAAATGAAGTGAGAAGAGAAGTTTAGAGAAAAAAGAGTAAGAAGAAATGAACAAGGCCTCCAATAAATATGGGACTATGTGAAAAGACCAAATCTATGTTTGATTGGTGTAGCTGAAAGTGATGGGAAGAATGGAAACAAGTTGGAAAACGCTCTGCAAGATATCATCCAGGAGAATTTTATCAACCTAGCAAGGCAGGCCAATATTCAGATTCAGGAAATACAGAGAACACCACAAAGATACTCCTCGAGAAGAGCAACTACAAGACACATAATTGTCAGATTCACCAAGGTTGAAGTGAAGGAAAAAATTTAAGGGAAGCCAGAGAGAAAGTTTGGGTTATCCACAAAAGGAAGCCAATCAGACTCACAGCGGATCTCTTGGCAGAAACTCTATAAGCCAGAAGAGAGTGGGGGCCAATATTCAACATTCTTAAAGAAAACAATTTTCAACACAGAAATTCATATCCAGACAAACTAAGCTTCATAAGTGAAGGAGAAATAAAATCCTTCACAGACAAGAAAATGCTGAGAGATATTTTTCACGACAAGGCCTGCCTTACAAGAGCTCCTGAAGGAAGCACTAAACATGGAAAGGAACAACTGGTACCAGCCACTGCAAAAACATGCCAAATTGTAAAGACCTCCAAGGCTAGGAAGAAACTGCATCAACTAACAAGTAAAATAACAAGCTAACATCATAATGACCGGAACAAATTCACACATAACAATATTAACCTTAAATGTAAATGAGCTAAATACCCCAATTCAAAGACGCAGACTGGGAAATTGGATAAAGAGTCAAGACCCATCAGTGTGCTGTGTTCAGGAGACACATTACATGTGAAGAGACACACATAGGCTCAAAATAATGGGATGGAGGAAGATCTTCCAAGGAAATGGAAAACAAAAAAAAGGCAGGGGTGGCAATCCTAGTCTCTGATAAAACAGACTTTAAACCAACAAAGATCAAGAGAAACAAAGCCATTACATAATTGTAAAGGGATCAATTTAACAAGAAGAGCTAACTATCTTAAATATACATGCACCCAATACGGGAGCATCCAGATTCATAAAGCAAGTCCTTAGAGACCTACAAAGAGACTTAGACTCCCACACAATAATAATGGGAGAATTTAACACCCCACTATCAACATTAGACAGATCAATGAGACAGAAGGTTAACAAGGATATCCAGGACTTGAACTCAGCTCTGCACCAGGCGAACCTAATAGACACCTACAGAACTCTCCACTCCAAATCAACAGAATATACATTCTTCTCAGCACCACATCACACTTATTCCAAAATTGACCGCATAGTTGGAAGTAAAGCACTCCTCAACAAATGTAAAATAATAGAAATCACAGCAAACTCTCTCTCAGACCACAGTGCAATCAAATTAGAAGTCAGCATTAAGAAGCTCACTCAAAACCGCTCAACTACATGGAAACTGAACAACCTGCTCCTGAATGACTACTGGATACATAACGAAATGAAGGCAGAAATAAAGATGTTCTTTGAAACCAATGAGAAGACAAACAATGTACCAGAATCTCTGGGATGCATCAAAAGTGGTCTCTAGAGAGAATTTTATAGCACTAAATGCCCACAAGAGAAAGCAGGAAAGATCTAAAATCGACACCCTAACATCACAATTAAAAGAACTAGAGAAGCAAGAGCAAACACATTCAAAAGCTAGCAGAAGGCAAGAAATACCTAAGATCAGAGCAGAACTGAAGGAGATAGAGACACAAAAAAATGCTTCAAAAAATCAATGAATCCAGGAGCTGGTTTTTTGAAAAGATCAGCAAAATTGAAAGACCACTAGCCAGACTAATAAAGAATAAAAGAGAGAAGAATCAAATAGATGCAATAAAAAATGATAAAGGAGATATCACCATCAATCCCACAGAAATACAAACTGCCATCAGAGAATACTATAAACACCTTTACACAAATAAACTAGAAAATCTAAAAGAAATGGATGAATTCCTGGATATGTACACCCTCCCAAGACTAAACCAGAAATACATTAAATCTCTGAACAGACCAATAGACCAATAACAGGCTCTGAAATTGAGGCAATAATTAATAGCCTACCAACCAAAAAAAGTCCAGGACTGAATAGATTCACAGCCAAATTCTATCAGAGGTACAAAGAGGAGCCGGTACCATTCCTCTGAAAATATTCCAATCAACAGAAAAAGAGGGAATCCTCCCTAACTCATTTTATAGGGCCAGCATCATCCTGATAGCAAAGCCTGGCAGAGACACAACAAAAAAAGAGAATTTTACACCAATATCCCTGATGAACATCAACATGAAAATCCTCAATAAAATACTGGCAAACTGAATCCAGCAGCACAACAAAAAGCTTGTCCACCATGATCAAGTCAGCTTCATCCCTGGGATGCAAGGCTGGTTCAACATACACAAAGCAATAAACGTAGTCCATCACATAAACAGAACCATTCACAAAAACCACATGATTATCTCAATAGATGCAGAAAAGACCTTCAACAAAATTCAACAGCTCTTCATGCTAAAA
Organism: Homo sapiens; assembly: GCF_000001405.40. NCBI lineage: Eukaryota > Metazoa > Chordata > Mammalia > Primates > Hominidae > Homo > Homo sapiens. Next base: position 48,555,765 of record NC_000011.10, on the reverse strand, counting down.
ACTCTCATTAAACTAGGTATTGATGGAACATATCTCAAAATAATAAGAGTTCTTTATGACAAACCCACAGCCAATATCATACTGAATGGGCAAAAACTGGAAGCATTCCCTTTGAAAACTGGCACAAGACAGGGATGCCCTCTCTCACCACTCCTATTCAACATAGTGTTGGAAGTTCTGGCCAGGGCAATCAGGCAAGAGATAGAAATAAAGGGTATTCAAGAGAGGTATGTTCCAAGAGGGCCAAACGGGAACAGCTCCAGTCTACAGCTCCCAGTGTGAGCAACACAGAAGATTGGTGATTTCTGCATTTCCAACTATGGTACCAGGTCCATTTCACTGAGGCTTGTTGAACAGTGGGTGCAGGACAGAGGGTGCAGCCCATGGAGTGTGAGCTGAAGCAGGGTAAGGTGTCGCCTCACCTGGGAAGCACAGGGGGTTGGGGAATTCCCTTTCCTAGCCAAGGAAAGCCATGACAGACAGCACCTGGAAAATTGGGTTGCTCCTACCCTAATACTGTGATTTTCCAATGGTCTTAGCAAACGGCACACCAGGAGATTATATCCCACACATGGCTCAGAGGGTCCCATGCCCACAAAGCCTCCCTCATTGCTAGCACACCAATCTCAGATTGAACTGCAAGGTGACAGCGAGGCTGGGGGAGGGGTGCCCACCATTGCTGAGGCTTGAGTAGGTAAACAAAGCTGCCAGGAATCTCGAACTGGCTGGAGTACACTGCAGCTCAAGGAGGCCTGCCTGCCTCTGTAGACTCCACCTCTGGGGGCAGGGCACAGCTGAACAAAAGGCAGCAGAAACTTCTGCAGACTTAAACGTCCCTATCTGACAGCTTTGAAGAGAGTAGTGGTTCTCCCAGCATGGAGGTTGACATCTGAGAACAGACAGACTGCCTCCTCAACTGGCTCCCTGAACCCCGAGTAGCCTAACTGGGGGTCACCTCCCAGTAGGGGCTGACTGACAGCTCATACAGCCAGGTGCCCCTCTCAGATGAAGCTTCCAGAGGAATGATCAGACAGCAACATTTGCCATTCTGCAATATTTGCTATTCTGCAGCCTCTGCTGGTGATAGCCAGGCAAACAGGGTTTGGAGTGGACCTCCAGCAAACTCCAACAGACCTGGAGCTGAGGGTCCTGACTATTAGAAGGAAAACTAACAAACAAAAAGGACATCAACACCAAATCCCCATCTGTACATCACCATCATCAAACATCAAAGGTAGATAAAACCAAAAAGATGGGGAGAAACCAGAGCAGAAGAGCTGAAAATTCTAAAAATCAGAGCACCTCTTCCCCTCCAAAGAAAAGCAGCTCCTCGCCAGCAATGGAACAAAGCTGGATGGAGAATGACTTTGACAAGTTGAGAGAAGAAGGCTTCAGATGATCGGTAATAACAAACTTCTCCCAGCTAAAGGAGGATGTTTGAACCCATTGAAAAGAAGCTAAAAACCTTGAAAAAAGATTAGATGAATGGCTAACTACAATAAATAGTGTAGATTAGACCTTAAATGACCTGATGGAGCTGAAAACCATGGCACGAGAACTACGTGATGCATGCATAAGCTTTAGTAGCTGATTCAATCAACTGGAAGAAAGGGTATCAGTGACTGAAGATCAAATAAATGAAGTGAAGTGAGAAGAGAAGTTTAGAGAAAAAAGAGTAAAAAGAAATGAACAAAACCTCCAAGAAATATGGGACTATGTGAAAAGACCAAATCAACGTCTGATTGGTTTACCTGAAAGTGATGGGGAGGATGGAAACAAGTTGGAAAACACTCTTCAGGATATTATCCAGGAGAACTTCACCAACCTAGCTAGTCAGGCCAACATTCAAATTCAGGAAATACAGAGAACACCAAAAAGATAGTCCTTGAGAAGAGCAACTCCAAGACACATAATTGTCAGATTCACCAAAGTTGATATGAAGGAAAAAATGTTAAGGACAGCAAGAGAGAAAGGTCGGGTTACCCACAAAGGGAAGCCCATCACACTAACTGCAGATCTCTTGGCAGAAACTCTACAAGCCAGAAGAGACTGCGGGCCAATATTCAACATTCTTAAAGGAAAAAATTTTCAACCCAGAAATTCATATCAAGCCAAACTAAACTTCATGAGTGAAGGAGAAATACAATCCTTTGCAGAAAAAAAAAAAAATGCTGATAGATTTTGTCACCACCAGGCCTGCCTTACAAGAGCTCCTGAAGGAAGAACTAAACATGGAAAGGAACAACCAGTACCAGCTACTGTGAAAACATGCCAAATTATAAAGATCATCAATGCTAGGAAGAAACTGCAAAAACTAATGAGCAAAATAATCAGCTAACATCATACTGACAGGATCACATTCACACATAACAATATTAACTTTAAATGTAAATGGGCTAAATGTTCCAATTAAAAGACACAGACTGGCAAATTGGATAAAGAGTCAAGATACATCAGTGTGCTGTATTCAGGAGACTCAACTCACATACAGAGACACACATAGGCTCAAAATAAGGGGATGGAGGAAGATCTACCAAGCAAATGGAAAACAAAAAAAAAAGGCAGGGGTTACAATTCTAGTCTCTGTTAAAACAGACTTTAAACCAAAAAAGATCAGAAGAGACAAAGAAGGCCATTATATAATGGTAAAAGGATCAATTCAACAGGAAGAGCTAACTATCCTAAATATACATGCACCCAATACAGGAGCATCCAGATTCATAAAGCAAGTCCTTAGAGACCTACAAAGGACTTAGACTCCCACACAATAATAATGGGAGACTTTAACACCCCGCTGTCAACATTAGAAAGATCAACGAGACAGAGAGTTAACAAGGATATCCAGGAATTTAACACAGCTCTGCACCAGGCGGACTTATTAGACATCTACAAAACTTTGCACCCCAAATCAACTGAACTTTCCACCCCAAATCAACAGAATATACATTGTTTGCAGCACCACACCACACTTATTCCACAATTGACCACATAGTTGGAAGTAAAACACTCCTCAGCAAATGTAAAAGAACAGAAATTATAACACACTGTCTCTCAGACCACAGTGCAATCAAACTAGAACCCAGGATTAACAAACACTCAAAATTGCTCAACTACATGGAAACTGAACAACTTGCTCCTGAATGACTACAGGGTACAAGACAAAATGAAGGCAGAAATAAAGATGTTCTTTGAAACCAGTGAGAACAAAGACACAACATACCAGAATCTCTGGGACACATTTAAAGCAGTGTGTGGAGGGAAATTTATAGCACTAAATGCCCACAAGAGAAAGCAGGAAAAATCTAAAATTGACACCCCAACATCACAATTAAAAGAACTAGAGAAGCAAGAGCAAACAAATTCAAAAGCTGACAGAAGGCAAGAAATAACTAAGATCAGAGCAGAACTGAAGGAGATAGAGATACAAAAAACCCTTCAAAAAATCAATGAATCCAGGAGCTGGTTTTTTGAAGCGATCAACAAAATTGATAGACTGCTGGCAACACTAATAAAGAAGAAAATTCAGAAGAATCAAATACAAGCAATAAAAAATGAGAAAGGGGATACCACCACTGATGGTACAGAAATACCAGCTACCATCAGAGAATACTATAAACACCTCTATGCAAAAAAACTAGAAAATCTAGAAGAAATGAATAAATTCCTTGACACATACAGCCTCCCAAGACCAAACCAGGAAGAAGTTGAATCTCTGAATAGACCAATAACAGGCTCTAAAATGGAGGCAATAATTTGTAGCTTATCAACCAAAAAAAGTCCAAGAACAGGTGGATTTGCAGGTGAATTCTACCACAGGTACAAAGAGGACCTGGTACCATTCCTTCTGAAACTATTCCAATCAATAGAAAAAGAGGGAATCCTCCCTAACTCATTTTATGAGGCCAGCATCATCTTGATACCAAAGCCTGGCAGAGACACAACAAAAGAAGAGAATTTTAGACCAATATCCCTGATGAACATCGATGCAAAAATCCTCAATAAAATACTGGCAAACCGAATCCAGCAGCACATCAAAAAGCTTATCCATCATGATCAAGTGGGCTTCATCCCTGGGATGCAAGGCTGGTTCAACCTATGCAAATCAAAAAATGTAATCAATCATATAAACAGAACCAAAGACAAAAACCACATTATTATCTCAATACATGCAGAAAAGGCCTTAGACAAAATTCAACAATGCTTCATGCTAAAAACTCTCAATAAATTAGGTATTGATGGGAAGTATCTCAAAATAATAAGAACTCTTTATGACAAACCCACAGCCAATATCATACTGAATGGGAAAAAGCTGGAAGCATTCCCTTTGGAAACTGGCACAAGACAGGCATGCCCTCTCTCACCACTCCTATTCAACATAGTGTTGGAAGTTCTGGCCCGGGCAATCAGGCAGGAGAAAGAAATAACGGGTATTCAATTAGGAAAAAAGGAAGTCAAATTCTCCCTGTTTTCAGATGACATGATTATATATTTAGAAAACCCCATCATCTCAGCCCAAAATTCCCTTAAGCTGATAAGCAACTTTAGCAAAGTCTCAGGATACAAAATAAATGTGCAGAAATCACAAGCGTTCCTATACACCAATAACAAACAAACAGAGAGCCAAATCATGAGTGAACTCCCGTTCACAATTGCTACAAAGAGCATAAAATATCTAGGAATCCAAGTTACAAGGGATGTGAAGGACCTCTTCAAGGAGAACTACAAACCACTGCTCAACAAAATAAAAGAGGACACAAACAAAGGGAAGAAAATTTCATGCTCATGGGCAGGAAGAATTAATGTTGTGAAAATGGCCATATTGCCCAAGGTAACTTACAGATTCAATGCCGTCCCCATCAAGCTACAAATGACTTTCTTCACAGATTTGGAAAAAACTACTTTAAAGTTCATATGGAGACCGATGGAACAGAACAGAGTACTTAGAAATAACACCACACATCTACAAATGTCTGATCGTTGACAAACCTGACAAAAACAAGAAACGGGGAAAGGATTCCCTATTTAATAAATGGTACTGAGAAAACTGGCTAGCCATATGGAGAAAGCTGAAACTGGATCCATTCCTTACAACTTACATAAAAATTAATTCAAGATGGATTACAGACTTAAATGTTAGACCTAAAACCAACAAAACCCTAGAAGAAAACCTAGGCAATACCATTCAGGACATAGGCATGGGCAAGGACTTCATGTCTAAAACACCAAAAGCAATGGCAACAAAAGCCAAAATTGACAAATGGGATCTAATTAAACTGAAGAGCTTCTGCACAGCAAAAGAAATGACCTTCAGAGTGAATGGGCAACCTACAGAATGGGAGAAAAAATTTGCAATCTACCCATCTGACAAAGGGCTAATATCCAGAATCTACAATGAACTCAAACAAATATACAAGAAAAAATCAAACAACCCCATCAAAAAGTGGGCAAAGGATATGAATAGACACTTCTCAAAAGAAGACATTTATGCAGCCAACAGAGATATGAAAAAGTGCTCATCATTACTGGCCATCAGAGAAATGCAAATCAAAACCACAATGAGATACCATCACACACCATTTAGAATGGCAATCATTAAAAAGTCAGGAAATAACATATGCTGGAGAGGATGTGGAGAAATAGGAACACTTTTACACTGTTGGTGGGACTGTAAACTAGTTCAACCATTGTGGAAGACAGTGTGGTGATTCCTCAAGGATCTGGATCTAGGAATACCATGTGACCCAGCCATCCCATTACTGGGTATATACCAAAAGGATTGTAAATCATGCTACTATAAAGACACATGCACACATATGTTTATTGCGGCACTATTCACAATAGCAAAGATTTGGCACCAACCCACATGTGCATCAATGATAGACTGGATTAAGAAAATGTGTCACAAAAACATCATGGAATACTATACAGCATAAAAAGGATGAGTTCCTGTGCTTTGCAGGGACGTTGATGAAGCTGGAAACCATCATTCTCAGCAAACTATCACAAGGACAGAAAACCAAACACCACATGTTCTCACACATAGGTGGGAATTGAACAATGAGAACACTTGGACACAGAGTGGAGAACATCACACACTGGGGCCTGTTGTCGGGTGGGGGGCAGGAGGATGGACAGCACTGGGAGAAATACCTAATGTAAATGATGGGTTGATGGGTGCGGTTGCCCAGCATGGCACATGTATATCTGTGTAACAAGACAGCAAGTTGTGAACAGTGCCCTAGAACTTAAAGTATAATTTTTAAAAAACCCTAAAAAAATAAAAAACGTAAACAAAAGATTTGGCAGATATAATTAAAATAGTACTGAGAGGGAAATTTATAGCTATAAGTGTTATATTAAAAAAAATATTTAAAAGCACCAATCAGAACTTTCACTTTAAGAAGAGTAAATTAAAGCCAAGGTAAGCAAAAGAAAGGACATGATAATTATAAGACCAAAAATCAATAAAATGGGAAACATAAAATAGAGAAAATCAAAATAGTGAAAAGTGGGTACTTTTATAATAAAATTGACAAACTTCTAGAAAGAATGATCAAGAAAGAGAAAAGAAATAGAAATTCATATTATCAATATCAGATTTTTTAAAAAATCATCTTCAAATAGATCCTTTAGACTTTAAAGGATAGAAAAGGATTGTTATCAAACAGATTATTTCAATTACTTTGACAGCTTAGATAAAATGGTGAAATGTAGGGAAAATCCAACCTTCTGAAAATGACCCCAAAACAAATTGAAAAGCTAAACGTTACTCTATCCCTCCAAGTAATGAACTTTTCTTGCTTATAGATAATATGATAGTGTCTCAGAACACTCTAAAGAATCTACAGAGATGGTGAGAAATAAGTGACAAATTTAGCACATTTCTAAGGCTCAAATGACTAATTAAAATATTCAATTGCACTTATATATACTAACAGCAATAAAAATTGGAATTTTTTTAATTACAAACCTGTGAATGCATCTGAACACATAAATACTTAGGAACAGATGAGCAAGATCCCTACACTAATAACTACAAAACTTTTCAAACATAAATATTTAAAACATATAACAAATATATGGTATTCAAGAATTAGAAAATCCACTATTGTTAAGATGTTAATTCAGTCCAAGATGATTTATGTATCCAGCTCAATCTGAATAAAACTCCCAATATGTTCTTTTTCAGATGCAGATAATTTTCTGCACACTGCTCTGCAAAGTGACTTTGCCACTTCCCCATCAAGGATTATCATCTGTTTCTGTAACATTTCAAATCTGGGATGGTCATATGACCACTCTGAACTATAGAAGATGGTGCAAGAGAGATTCTGGACATAGCCGTTAATTGACCTGTTCTGGACATAGCCCTTAATTGACCTGACATCTTCTACTTTCTACCATGGGGATCTCTTAGTGCCATGTAAAAAGCCTGACTATCTTTTGAAGAGACCTTGTGGTCCTCCATCAAAATGCATAGGAGGAAGAACTCAGTGAATCTCTTCCAGTCATCACCTCAAAGATGCTATAAATGTGAAGTAAGCTTTCCTGGATCCTACAGATGACCCCGCTATCAGCTGGATAACACTGACTTCAGTCCATGCCACATGAAACAGAAGAAATACCCAGCGAACCAGTGCCTGAATTTCTAGCCCACAAAATTTGAAAATAAAATAAATTGGTGACTGTTTTAAGTCACAAAAACTGTGGAGCCTGTGGTGGAGCCAAGATTGCCAAATAGGAAGAGCTCCAGCCTACAGCTCCCAGCATGAGAGATGCAGAAGATGGGTGATTTCTACATTTCCAACTGAGGTACCGGGTTCATCTCACTGGGGAGTGCTGGGCAGTGGGTGCAGGATAGTGGGTGCAGTGCACCCTGCATGAGCCAAAGCAGGGCGAGGCATTGCCTCACCTGGGAAGTGCAATGGGTCAGAGAATTCCCTTTCCTAGTCAAAGAAAGGGGTGAGAGACGGCACCTGGAAAATTGGGTCACTCCCACCCTAATACCGTGCTTTTCCAATGGGTTTAACAAACGGCACACCAGGAGATTATATCCCGCACCTGTCTCAGAGGGTCCTACACCCACGGAACCTAAATCATTGATAGCACAGCAGTCTGAGATCAAACCACAAGGCTGCAGCGAGGCGGGGGGAGGGGCGCCTGCCATTGCCAAGGCTTGAGTAGGTAAACAAAGCAGCCAGGAAGCTCGAACTGAGTGGAGCCCACCAAAGCTCAAGGATGCCTGCTTGCCTCTGTAGGCTCCACTTCAGGGGGCAGGGCACAGACAAAGAAAAGACAGCAATAACCTCTGCAGACTTAACTGTCCCTGTCTGACAGCTTTGAAGAGAGTAGTGGTTCTCCCAGCACACAGCTTGAGATCTGAGAATGGGCAGACTGCCTCCTCAAGTGGGTCCCTGACCCCCGAGTAGCCTAGCTGGGAGGCAGCCCCCAGTTGGGACAGACTGACACCTCACACGGTCGGGTACTCCTATGAGACAAAACTTGCAGAGGAATGATCAGGCCACAGCATTTGCAGTTCACCAATATCCACTGTTCTGCAGCCTCTGCTGCTGATACCCAGGCAAACAGCGTCTGGAGTGGACCTCCAGCAAACTCCAAGAGACCTGAAGCTGAGGATCCTGACTGTTAGAAAGAAAACTAACAAACAGAAAGGACAACCACACCAAAAACCCATCTGTACGTCACTATCATCAAAGACCAAAGGTAGATAAAACCACAAAGATGGCGGAAAAACAGAGCAGAAAAACTGGAAATTCTAAAAATCAGAGCACCTCTCCTCCTCCAAAGGACCGCAGCTCCTCACCAGCAATGGAACAAAGCTGGATGGAGAATGACTTTGATGAGTTGAGAGAAGAAGGCTTCAGAGGATCAAACTACTCCAAGCTAAAGGAGGAAGTTCGAACCAATGGCAAAGAAGTTAAAAATTTTGAAAAAAAATTAGACGAATGGATACCTAGAATGACCAATGCAGAGAAGTCCTTAAAGGACCTGATGGAGCTGAAAATCAAGGCACAAGAACTACGTGATGAATGCACAAACCTCAGTAGCCGATTCGATCAACTGGAAGAAAGGGTGTCAGCGATGGAAGACGAAATGAATGCAATGAAGCGTGAAGAGAAGTTTAGAACAAAAAGAATAAAAAGATATGAAAAAAGCCTCCAAGAAATATGGAACTATGTGAAAAGACCAAATCTACATCTGATTGGTGTACTGGAAAGTGATGGGGAGAATGAAACCAAGTTGGAAAACACTCTGCAGGATATTATCCAGGAGAACTTCCCCAATCTAGCAAGGCAGGTCAACATTCACATTCAGGATTTACAGAGAATGCCACAAAGATACTCCTCAACAAGAGCAACTCCAAGACACATAATTGTCAGATTCACCAAACTTGAAATGAAGGAAAAAATGTCAAGGGCAGCCAGAGAGAAAGGTCGGGTTACCCACAAAGGGAAGCCCATCACACAAAGAGCGGATCTCTCGGCAGAAACTCTACAAGCCAGAAGAGAGTGGGGGCCAATATTCAACATTCTTAAAGAAAAGAATTTTCAACCAAGAATTTCATATCCAGCCAAACTAAGTTTCATAAGTAAAGGAGAAATAAAATCCTTTACAGACAGGCAAATCCTGAGAGATTTTGTCACACCAGTCCTGTCCTAAGAGAGCACCTGAAGGCAGCACTAAACATGGAAAGCAACAACCTGTACCAGCCACTGCAAAAACATGCCAAATTGTAAAGACCGTCAAGGCTAGGAAGAAACTGCATCAACTAATGAGCAAAATAACCAGCTAACATCATTATGACAGGATCAAATTCACACATAACAATACTAACATTAAATGTAAATGGGCTAAATGCTCCAATTAAAGGAACAGAATGGCAAATTGGATAAAGAGTCAAGACCCATCAGTGTGTTGTATTCAGGAAACCCATCTCATGTGCAGAGACACACACAGGCTCAAAATAAAGGGATGGAGGAAGATCTACCAAGCAAATGGAAAATAAAAAAAGACACAGGTTGAAATTCCAATACTAGTCTCAGATTAAACAGACTTTAAACCAACAAAGATCAAAAGAGACAAAGAAGGTCATTACATAATGGTAAAGGGATCAATTCAACAAAAGAGCTAACCATCCTAAATATATATGCACCCAATACAGGAGCACCCACATGTATAAAACAAGTCCTTAGTGACCTACAAAGAGACTTAGACTCCCACACAATAATAATAGGAGACTTTAACACCCCACTGTCAACATTAAACAGATCAATGAGACAGAAAATTAAAAAGGATATCCAGCAATTGAACTCAGATCTGCACCAAGCAGACCTAATACACATCTACAGAACTCTCCACCCAAAATCAACAGAACACACATTCTTCTCAGCACAACACCTATTCCAAAGTTGACCACATAGTTGGAAGTAAAGCATGCCTCAGCAAATGTAAAAGAACAGAAATTATAAAAAGTGTCTCTAAGACCACAGTGCAATCAAACTAGAACTCAAGATTAAGAAACTCACTCAAACCTGCTCAACTACATGAAAACTGAACACTCTGCTTCTGAATGACTACTGGATACATAACGAAATGAAGGCAGAAATAAAGATGTTCTTTGAAACCAGTGAGAAAAGGAACACAACGTACCAGAATCTCTAGGACACATTCAAAGCAGTAGGTAGAGGGAAATTTATACCACTAAATGCCCACAAGAGAAAGCAGCAAAGATTTAAAATTGACACCCTAACATCAGAATTAAAAGAACTACAGAAACAAGAGCAAACACATTCAAAAGCTAGCAGAAGGCAAGAAATAACTAAGATCAGAGCAGAACTGAAGGAAATAGAGACACAAAAAACGCTTCAAAAAATCAATGAATCCAGGAGGTGGTTT